>NC_000011.10:43393333-43696363 GCF_000001405.40 Homo sapiens | reverse complement strand
ATATCCTTTGCCCACTTTTTGATGATTTTTTTTCTTATAAATTTGTTTAACTTGCTTGTAGATTCCGGATATCAGAACTTTGAGACCATGGCTTTCTTGCTCATCACTATATTCTCATACCCAGCACAGGGCCTAGCATATAATCACCACACAATGAATATTTATCTGCTCCATAAAAAAGAACAAGATCATGTCCTTTGCAGGAACATGGATGGAACTAGAGGCCATTATCTTTAACAAACTAATACAGGAACAGAAAACCAAATACCACATGTTCTCACTTATAAGTGGGAACTATAATAGATGATGAGAACATGGACACATAGAGGGAAACAACATACACATGGGCCTTTCGGAGGGTGGAAGGTGGGAGGAGGGAGAGGATCAGGAAAAATAATGGGTACTAGGCTTAATACCTCGGTGATGAAATAATATGTAAAACAAAATTCCATGACACAAATTTACCTATGTAACAAACGTTCACTTGCACCCCTGAACTTAAAATAAAAGTTAGAAATATATGTATTTATTTATTTATCTGCTGAAGGAATGACCCAATCTGACTGTTTAATTACTACAAAGGTCATCCAGATGGCCAACTAAAATCTAAATTTCTTCTGGTAGAACCTAAGCCCATTTTCCTCCTTCCTCATCATTTAAAAGGCTTAAAAAGAAGAAGAAGAAGAAGAAGACTAATTAGAACATCCTCTTCAGTCTATTGCCTCTTTAAGAATCATCATTAAAAGATATCATTTATATTAATTTCATAATAAAGATTTTTTTTTGAGACGAAGTTTTGCTCTTGTTGCCCAGGCGAGAGTGCAATGGTGCAATCTCAATTCATTGCAACCTCTGCCTCCCAGGTTCAAGTGATTCTCCTGCCTCAGCCTCCCAAGTAGCTGGGATTACAGGCGTGCACCACCACGCCCAGCTAATTTTGTATTTTTAGTAGAGACCGGTTTTCACCGTGTTGGTCAGGCTGGTCTCAAACTCCTGACCTCAAGTGATCCACCTGCCTCGGCCTCCGAAAATGCTGGGATTACATGTACGAGCCACCACGCCCGGCCAATAAAGATAATTTTTAAAAACCCATCTGGGCCGGACACGGTGGCTCACTATTATAAACCAAGCCCTGGTATTCAGAAGATATTTGGTTAAAAAGCCTGCATGGATAATCCACTGTTTTTTCTAGGGCTAGTCCAGTGTTTCCCAAAATGCATGATCTTTTGAGACAGAGTCTCACTCTGTCTCCCAGGCTCAAGCAATTCTCCTGCCTCGGCCTCCCAAATGGCTGGGATTACAGACATATGCCACCACTTGGGGCTAATTTTTGTATTTTCAGTAGAGATGGGGTTTCACCATCTCTACTAGACCAGGCCAGGCTGGTCTAGAGCTTCTTGACCTCAAGTGATCTGCCCACCTCAGCCACCCAAAGTGCTAGGGTTACAGGTGTCAGCCACCGTGCCTGGCCCCCAAAATGCATGACCTTAAGAATCATCTTATTTGTTAAAAATACATGGTCCCATGCTCTTTTCTTACAGATTTTTTTTCTGTAGGTCTGTAGTAAAGCCCTAGAATGTAACGTTAATGAGCACACTGGACTGATTCATATGATCCAGATGAATTTGAATACTGCCATGATATAAACAGACCTTTAACTTTTATGTTTCTTTTTTGAGACAGGGTCATGCTCTGTTACCCAGGCTGAAGTGCAGTGGTGCAATCATGGCTCACTGCACCCTCAATCTCCGGGGCTCAAACAATCCTCCCACCTCAGCCATCTGAGTAACTGGGACTACAGGCATGTACCACCATGCCTGGCTCATTTTTTTTCTTTTTTCTTTTTTTTTGCCCTGGCTGATCTGGAACTCCTGGGCTCAAGCAATCCTCCCACCTCAGCTTCCCAAAGTACTGGGATTACAGGCATGAGCCACCACACCTGGCCAACCTTTCACTTTGAAGCAACATTTGAGAAATTCTCCAACTTGTAAGCTCATGTGCAAGTATTCCAAATGGCCTTAAAATCACCCTTATTTAGCAGCTTTGGCAGTAAATTAGAAAGAACATGGAGCCTAGAGTCAGAAAACCTAGATTCAATTTCTTCTGCTACTTACTATCTGTGTAACCCTTATACCAGTCACTGCATCTCCATCTGGTCTTGGTATATTACATGGAAATAACAAAACCAACCCTAACCTGCCTCATAGGGTTGTTATGGAAATAATTCAAGAATACTTGAAAAGGGCTCTGTAAATTAAAATGTCACCATTACAGTAACATTTTATTAAATCAGCCTGCTCTAATTCAGAATGTGTGAATGTTGTTGTCTAGCCCAATGTGGCTTTTGTTTTCACGTTATCTGTAAGGAGATCATCGCCTCCTTACACATGACAGACAGTGATAGGCATTGGAACACACAGATAAGCAGTAGCTTCCTGTTCCACGGCAAAATTATAAGATTGGATGTGCAAGATCAGGGGAACCTGTCTACTGTATGAGTACTGCTTCTACAGGACTAGAGTCTCAGCTATCAGTAAAGCAAAGCTGACAATATTCCTACTGGAAGTTAGCTTGGTTATGAGCAGTTAATGCCAGTCATTACAGTAAAATCAATCTGAAGAAGTTTTCTCCAGACTAGGAATATTAAAGGATTTTTTTACACTGGTATTTAAATTTCTAAAAAATACTATATTCTTTTTTGGCCACCTTGAGGAACATATACTAAATGCAGTATTTCCTTGGGAATTAAGTGTCATCAACATAATCAGTAGTTTGGGATATAAGCACAGCTGAGACTCTGGGTAGGAGATATTGGATCAACTAACTTAGCTTGCACCACTATATACAATGAACAAGTGCCTCCTGGTCTTAACATCTATGTAGGGTGTACCAAGAGCATGGCATAATGGCATCCTTAAGGGCTAAAAAGGTACATATCATTTCTTTAAGAGTTTAGGCTCTTGTATAGAGAGGACTGTTTCTTGCCTCATACCAGTTTCAGGAATGTGTGATGATGTCCAGTTCTGCCAGCATCCTCATCACTATCACTAAATCACCTCTGCTTTTCCTCCTCACCACTTTCCTCTAATTCAACCCAGACAAATCTCTTCCACTTTGCTGTCAGAGCCTGCTGCTCATCGCTCCTATCGTTGCTTTTAATCAATCTACCACAGATGCATCCACCACTTCTGCCCTTTGCCACTGAACTGTCTGGCCTGGCCATTCTCTAACTGGATGCATAATCTTGGGCAAGTCATTACCTTTTCCAGCATGTATTTCCCTAATAATTGAAGTGAAGAGGTTGCTAACATCCCTTCCAGTTCTGCTATTCTATCATGATTCTCTTCTGCCTCCTGATTTTTTTCATTTTCTCAAGTTTTTTCACAAAATGGCTGACTAAACTTGTGTAAAAATTGTCAACCAACTGTAGTATTCATTTATTTCCATGAAGCAAATAAACTATATACTCAATGCTCTATGGTTAACTTTATAGCAGTTTCTGGTTCTATATGCTTACTATTCAATGTATTTACTATCAAAGAGATTTTCCAGGGAATTTGGTCCAGAGTCTTCAACAATTCAAAAAGAATGGTAGTTCCAGAAGGTATGGACTTATTTTATCACAATTTCAAAATTAAAAACTACATTTTGGTCAACACACTCTAGAATTTAATTTTTCACGAATTAGTCTTACCAATAAGCCTTACCAATTAGCAAGGTGTTACTAAAACTTTAATTGGAGAAATCTTTCTTACTAAAGGAAAATCTACTCACAACAATTTTGTAAAGATTTGGGAAAGAATAATAAATATACTACCAAATTTATATTTAATGTTTATTAAATATGGCAGAGTGTTCAGTTCCCTGTAACTCCCTGTAATTTCCTGATACCACAGATGAAGAAAGGTTAGCCTGTTACCAATACTATTCAAGGACATCTTTTTGATCTCAGTGCACTATACATTTTCAAAACTAGTATGACAGCCCTGCTATCATAACTCTGTAACCAGCTTTGTCTAACCAGCCTTGGTTTATTTTCAATCTAGCATTTTTAGATGTATAGCACTTGAGGTTTCAGAAGAAGGAGAAAAAACAGTTCACAAATTATTTTGCAAAGTAGAACAAAAAATAGAAAACTAAAGCAAAACATCTGACCCCCCAATTGAAATACACCAGAACCTCAAGGAAAAAAGTATTCACTCATGAAATATTATAGTGCAAATACACTTTTGAGCAAATGAAGTGATACATGCACACATATACATACACACGACTAATAAGGTAAACTGTGAAAAAGCCCACCAGAATGAATACAAGAAATACTATTAGAGTTCCAAAAGTGCACAGTCACTATCATCTAGAAAGCTCTCAATGCAAAAAGTCACAATTGACACTCTGGAACATGAGTAGAATTTCACAAACAGGAAGAGTGAGGAAGAGTGTGGAATATGAGAAAGAGCACCTCAGGCAGAGTGAGGCCAACATGCAACAACCACCAAAACCTACTAAATGCCTCTGCACAAGCAAGGCCCTGGAGGCTGCAAGAAGCAGGAAAGCACAGGCATGTCTGGGACACAGGACGTCATCCAGGATGCATCCAAGGAAGGGTGCAAAGGAGGTGACATCAGAAACAGACACAAGGCCAAGATCAAAAGGGCCAAGGAGCCTGATGTTTGCATAGACATTATGAAACTTCTGACCTGTATGTGTAAGGTATAAGGAAGGGGTAACTTGATTGGAGGCTTCACTGGTAGATTAAACTTGCGCCAGAGTGAGTGTAAGATTTGGTAGGGAGGCAATATATTAGGAGAACATAGAGGAAGGTATGGATGCGAGAGAGACTGTAGTGGTAGATTCAGCAAGATTTGGCAATTTCCTGTCTAGATGTGCAAAGGAAAGCATGATTCTAAGACTTAGAGATGAGGGAGCAAACTGGCTACTTGATGCATCTAGCCACTGACATAATTTATTTGGTCCACAGAGTAAACCTGAGAAATTTGCATCAACTCTAAACAATTAAGAAACTTTCTATATGAAAATCTAGATTTGGGCTGCTGGTGAAAATCTGAGAGGACTGTGCCAGTGTTGCTGAAGGCTGCTACTAGAGACCATGCCTGGTTACCTGGACAGTGTCTTGACATGCATTACACCTGGTCCACTTCACTCATTTTACTTGACCTGCCTGAGGCATCAGAATTTGCCATCTCTGATTTGGAGCTTCATGACTAGCAAGACGATGACATAATTAGCAAAAATAAGGAAGTCCAGAACACGCTGGGGAGAGTAGAAAAGCTAAATTTTAGACATACTAAAATTGACGACTTTGATAATCATCTAGAAGGGAATATGCAGTGTCTTTAGAAATTTGAGGGAAAGTCGGGAAAAGATGCATGTGGATAAAATCAGAATCATCCCATCAGATAATATCTGCTATCATTTCTATAGTATTTAACATTGAAATGTCAGGTAGTGTTCTCAGTAGTCTAAGTATTCCACACACATTAAATCAGTTAGCCCCATTTAATCAGTATTTCCAATCTATAATTATCCCAATTTTACAGATGAGGAAACTGAGGCACACAGAAGTTAAGGTGATAACACTGTAACTAGCTGAGCTGGGATTCAAAAGTAGGTAATCTAGTTCCAGAGTCTGTATTAGGAGAACTTCGTCCTGAGGTTACTCTATATTTTTAGATTAAATAATTTCATTCTTAGAGGTTGGGAAACCGCTAATATTTGTTAGATTTGTAGCTGATAAGAGAATGTAAAAAGAGAAGATAATTCACAAAAATCATTATCCCTTAATATTAAAAAGACTGGAAGCCAGACACAGCTGGGACACATGCCTATAGTCCCAGCAACTCAGGAGGCTAAGGCAGGAGGATTGCTTGAGCCCAGGAGTTTGAGGCCAGCCTGGGCAATATAGTGAGACCCTGTCTCAGAAAAAAAAAAAAAAAAATATATATATATATATATATATATATATATATATATATATATATGTATGAATACCTTACTTAACAGATATTTCCATTAATTCAACAAAGGTACATTGGCACTTACTGTGTACAGACATTGTTCTAGGTGCTTGAGATTAAAAGACAAAGATCCTTGCCTTACAGTGCTCACATTCTAACAGAAACATCATAAATGAGCAAAGTATACAGTAGGGGAGATGGTGACAAGTGCTATGACAAAAAGGAAAAGTGGGGCAGGGTAATGGATAGGAGTGGGAGTGAGGGAGAAACGACTGTGAGTTTATAGGTAGGAGGGGCGGTTCCATTGAAAAGGTGATATTTCTGCAAAGACTTGAAGGAGAGTAAGAAGGGTCAGTCACATGGATATCTGGGGGAAGAGCATTCCGTGAAGAGGAAAAAGCAAAGGCCCCAAAGCAACAATGCCAAGGTTGTTCAAGGAACAGCAAGAGGTGTATGTGGGTGGAACGGAGTAAGAGTAGTGGAGATGAGGTCAGAGGTCAATGGAAGCAGGAAGCAGGTGGTTTAAAGCCTTGTTCAGGCCGGGTGCGGTGGCTCACACCTGTAATCCCAGCACTTTGGGAGGCTGAGGCAGGTGGATCACCTGAGGTCAGGAGTTCAAAACCAGCCTGGTCAGTATGGTGAAACCCCGTCTCTAATAAAAATACAAAAAAATTATCAGGGTGTGGTGGCACTCGCCTGTAGTCCCAGCTACTTGGGGGGCTGAGGCAGGAGAATCACTTGAACCTGAGAGGCAGAGGCTGCAGTGAGCTGAGATCACACCACAGCCCTCCAGCCTGGGTGACAGAGCAGGACCCAGCTTCAAAAAATAAAAATAAACATAAATATAAAATAGAATAAAATAAAATAAAGCCTTATTCAAAGCCACGAGACAAATACTGAGTTTTAATCTGAGTGGGTGAGAAACCACTAGAGAGATCTAGGCAGAGCATCACATAATCTGACCAAAGCTTGTCAAGGATCACTGTGGCTGCTGTGTGAGAATCAACTGCAGGAGAGCCAAGGTGGAAGCAGAGAGATAAGAAACTTGTTATTAGAGAGACAAGAGTCTGTGGTGGCTTAGAACTCACTAGATTCTGGATATTTTGAAGTTCAGAGTCAACGGGATTTCCTAAAAGGCTGCATGTGGTGAAGACTTAAAGATAACTCTAAGGTTTTTACAAATGTAATTGAAAAATTATAAATAACCAAATTTTTTGAAGTCCTTCCTATCTTAGATTTACTCACTAAGGGGATCTATATATAAAGGAACTGCTTAGTAAATCTTTTACCCAAGCAAGGAATTCTTCTGCAGTAGCACTAGTCATCTCCTAATTGGTCTGTTCATAATTTTAGATTTTCAAGTGTATACCTGCTGAGTGAACTACAATTATTTCTTAGTTTCAACAATCCCTTTTCATCCAATAAGAGTAATCTATACAAACAAATGATGCTCTTAAATATATGTTACTTAATATTCATAAAAATACAGTAAGGACTATACTAGAACCTCATTTACATCTCATTTAATTGTCATAATAATCCCGAAAAGTATCATCCCCCTAAAAAATGAAAGAAGTTATGCTCAGAGGTTAACTATTTTTGCCTAAGGTCAACCAGCTTAGTAACAGCACAGCTTGCCCACTGACTCCAAAGCCAATCTGTTTGTTAGCTATACTGTTTCCCAATGTAATACTCTTGAGAGGCACCAATTGTTCAAGTTCTTAAACTGTCTAGCCCTTCCTCTCTTCCACAATGACTAGGTTATTTAAATGGAAATAACTTCACTAAATGGTGGCAAAGATAACTTTCCAGAAACTGGATAGTTTTCCTGGAATTGCCAGTTAGAGATAGGGCAAACGCATTGTTTTGTAGACAAAAATCGACAAATAAAACAAAGCGTTCTTTCTGATACAGATTTGTGGCAAGCTTCTCAACTACCACACCATGGTATTATGGAGTTACCATGACAACGCAATAACCTAGTTTCAGTGTTTCAATAACCCCATCACTCAGTCCCTGTAAGAGAAGAACTTCCCATACCACAGTGATCAGACTTTTCCCCCAGACAGAAATGGTCTCTGAGAGATGATAACTAAGAAGTGCACAAAAGTAGCATCCCTTACAAAAAGCATAAATTCCCATTTTATTGTATTCATTAAATTTTTTTTTTTTTTGAGACAGAGTGTTGCTCAGTTGCCCACTCTGGAGCGCAGTGGTGCAATCTCGGCTCACTGCAACCTCCGCCTCCTGGGTTCAAGCTATTCTGGTGCCTCAGCCTCCCGAGTAGCGGGGACTACAGGTGCATACCACCACACTTGGCTAATTTTTGTATTTTTAGTAGAGATGTGGTTTTGCCATGTTGGCCAGGCTGGTCTGAAACTCCTGGCCTCAAGTGATCCGCCCACTTCAGCCTCCCAAAGTGTTGGAATTACAGGCATGAGCCACTGCGCCCAGCCAATTGACATTTTAAAAAAGGCAATTTTAACTGAGTTTATCTGAATACCTAGACTGATCTATCTCTGTGTAACAATGTTTTCCCAAAGAGGGCCGGCAATAACTCTAGGGAAGTCATAGAAACAAGAAATTCGGCTTACAGTTGCAAACACAACAGTGTTACCCTTCTGCTTAAAATCACCTCAACTGCTTTCCACTGCTCCAGGATAAAGGCTGAAGGCCCTGCTCATTGCCCTTCTTGCCTCTCCAGTTCCATGGCACTCATATCTGAGCTTTCCTGGCTCGTCACTCAGCCCTCGTTTCATGAGGGCCCTGCCCTTTCCTGCCCTAGGAATTTAGCAACTGCTTTTCCTTCTGCCAAGAACATTCTTCCCTCTGCCCTTCCTGTCACTCCAGCTTGCTCACTTACACTCAACCGCCAGATCTCAGCTGAGGCACTGCTTCCCCAGCACAGCTCTAGAACTTTCCCTCACAAATTCTCATAGGACCAAATACTTCCTGTTCTCACCACTTACCATAGCACAGTTTATTCATTTTGTTACTGTTTGTCATCCCATTGGACTATTATAAGGTCTATAGTTAGCACTCAACAGTATTTGTGGTGGATAAATGGGCAAATGAATAGTGTTATGTCATACTCTCCACCAAGCCCAGTGAGGGCTTTGCTCACCCTGCCTCCCTAACCTTAATCTCAATCCATCCCAGATGACATGCATATGAATTGCTACATGTTGTTTTGCTAAGAGTGACAAGAAGGGAAATGAAATAAAGGATGCACTGTTTTTAAAATATACATTTAACTTATCCTTATCTACAAATAGCTTTTAATGGCACTGAAACTGATCTATTCAAATCCGTTTACCCATGCATTCTAAACTTATAAATTTTGTTATGTAAATCTGACAAATTTTTCTGAAACTGAAAGAAATAAATTATCCTCAATTCAACCAACCAAAACCAACAACAACAAAAAATTAGTTTTAAAGCTCAACACTCTCAGTTGCAAGTAGCAATGGTAATCTCAGTTATCTGACAATGTAGTCACCCAGATATCAACTCTTTCTTCTAAACCCTACCCTGGCAATTAGCTCAGGTAATCAGAGCACAGTGCTACTAAGGCTAATAATACTATAATAATAACAAGTTATCAAGCACTTATGTACTATCTGTTTTACAGAGAATAAGTATTCTCATTTACCCTTCACAATAAGCCTATGAAATCTGTAGGGAAGCTAGAATTCAAGTCTAGGTTTGGGTCTCCAAGTTCAAGTTTGACCTCTAAATAGGAAAGTTAGTGTTGCACAGAAAGAAAGAACAGGAAAAAAAAAAAAAAAAACAGGGTGGGAGCAATGGGGGCTAGTCGGGAGGGGAGTGAGGGAAAAAGATATTCAGGGAATGTAAACTCAGGATCTGTAATCCCAGGAAACCTCCCTCTTTGGTTTTTCCTCCAAATCAAATAAAGGTATGCTTTTAGGTCCAATCTTCAGTTGCATCTGTTTCCTCTTATGTAGACTCCAGCACTAGTACTTGAAAGTTGCCCTGCCAACTTTAATCTGCAGAACTTTTTCCATTTAGGCACACGTACTCCCTTTCGGGAGCCAAAGGGCAGAATAAACAAATATTCAAAAACATTTATGACTAAGTTTGTTTCTCTGCCTTCCCTCACCTTCCCTGCCTCTGCGAAAAACATAACCCATGTAATGACTACTGCGATCAACATTGGCTCGCCAGTAAGAACAGGTATCTATACCCCAATACTAGAATGTCAACAGCAAGCATATGACATTTACCAAGCTGGACCTCCAGGGAGTCACTAAATCCATTCAAGAATGCCAGAGCGATAAACAGAAAATAGCATTCGAAGTCAAATCCCACCATTCTGATGACTGTCAAACCCTTTGCTTTGTTAAGCACCTTAGTAACTTTCCAGTATTTTCTCATACGACAAGATTTATGGTTGCAAATCTGAAGAAAATCCCAAGCTACTTGATCCCAAAATGTGCCAACTATTCTGCAATCCTTCCAGAAAAATCATGAATGTGCAAATTTGAAACTGTGCCTTTTTTTGGTCTGAGATTGTTCTTAAAAATAAAACAAAAATTTAAATTTTAAAAAGTGAAAGTGTGTCTTCAATCAAAAAGCTTTTAATAAAGTTTGTAGGTATAAAGAAATCTACTCCCGAGTACTCATCCAGTCTGTAGGCCCATCACCAACATACAGTGTACGAATGTTGCAGAACGGATGACTTGGTTTCAAATCCTGACTCTGCAATTTAATAGCTATGAAACCATAGATAATGAAAGCAATTTACTAAACCCTCTGATTCTTCCTCTGTCCACTGGGGACAACGGAGCACAGCTCAAAGAGGTTAAAAATAATCTCAAGTTCCTGGCACATTTCAAGCACCCATTCAATAAATGATAGTTATTAATATTTCTTCTGGGTTGTCAATTTAAATAACTAACATTTCATATATAATTCTTCAAATCATGTGATATCACAAACTCTTGTTAAAGAAAGACACCTACTATTAATAAGCTCTAGTTACACAAGTATTCTTCAGTCATTTGAGGTTAACCCTGTGCAGTTAACCAATGTGAAAACAGAAATTGTGATTATACCTGTGATTTTGAGAATCCTTTGATGCATGTTTTCATGAATGGTTTTTCCAGAGGAGAACCACACCATTCCATGCCATTTTTAAGTCCTCACTATCTACTGAATTAGGAGAACCTTGGAATACTGCAAAGCCAAACGAGTTCCATCAGCAACCAGAAGCTACATCTTAGAGATTTGCTAATGTAAACATCCAGAGGGTAGAACAAAGGGTTGAAGACTTTTTTTGTGAAATCTGACCTCACTCCACAAAACAGAATATTATTCAGCAATACAAACAAAATGAAGTACAGATTTCATAGATGAAACTTGAAAACATTATGCAAAAATCAAAGAGCCACTAACAAAAAAGAACACCTATTGTATGATTCCATTTATATGAAATATCCAGAACAGGCAAACCTACGTAGACAGAAAGTAGATTGGTAGTTGACTAGGGCTGGAGCGGGTGGGGGTCAGGGAGTGAAGGGCCTAATGGGTACAGCATTTCTTTTAAGGAAGATGAAAATGTTCTGAAATTAGATTTGATGATGGTTGCACAACCCTGTGAACATAAGTAAAAACCTTGAATTGTACACTTTAAATGGGCAAATTGTATGGTATATTAATTATATCCCACTAAAGTTGTTTTAAAAAATCTAACTCACTAACTGATTAGTGGATCATTTATTCTTCACTGCGTGTAACAATATCCTCTTCATTAAAAACTAAAAATAAGTGCTCAGAGTGCTGTCTTATGTTTAAAGTTATAAAATATCTTGACATTGGAAGTCTACTTACCTTGCCTTTGCATCTATCATCTCCACTTTATTTCAATAGCAATCATTTTAGATGAACTCCAGCAATGGAAACTACTCAAATACTTGCAAAATGTATTTATGGTCAAACCACATTCTACAGATCACATTTTTTATTGCTCTATAGCAGTGACTGTTCTTTCCTTTATTTAATACAAACTGACCACCTTTGTTATCAATCTTTTTTTGATTACTTGCTACACTGACCTTCAAACACCTGAAACTCCACATTCACAGGATCTCCTTTTGTTCTCCTAAGAAATACAGGAAGTATTCGGGTAACAATGACAAAGAAGTCTTACTTACTAAATTGGCTAAACCCACCTTCTAGGGGTATAGGGAACACAGGGGATTCACCTGAGTGGGAATGTTACTGGTGAGAACTAGGAGAAAGAGATGGCCCAGCTCTTGACCAGGAGATGGAGATAAATTAGAGTGTGGGCCAGCCAAGTAATGGACAGTCTTGAAAGCCTAACAACACTAAGGAAACTGTTATCTAGAATATTTTACTGATTGTGAAGCATACCTGTATTTCAAGTTTTTCAAAGTTTTTGTTCTTAAATTTAGAAGAGCCAATTTGTGAGAAAAGACAAAAAGTGAGAATCCACGCTTTCTGCCCCTCAGATCCTAAAATCTGAGGCAGACAGATTAAACATACTCACATGAAGATACTCACATGAAGAGACTAAGAATAACAAGAATAAAAATATAGTATCAATTCAACATATACTAATAAAATACTTAAAATATATAATTGGTTTTAAAGAGGAAAATATTAAATATTAGTACTAGAAAGTAGATTCAAAGGCTGCATAAGAACAGAGACTCTTGAGATTAAGATAGTAATTTCGTAGGGAAAAAACTTACTAGTACTATTTACATACAACAATTCTAAAATCATAACTTTGGTGGAACAATATTTTTAATCACAACTCTAATTATTCAAGTGTCATCTCTGCTAGTTTGTTTTTCAAATTATTTCAGTTCACCCCTCCAACTCATGTGAAGAACCTGTTTAAGATGAGCTGCTCTTAATTTTGTTTTTGAAGAGTCCCAGAATTTGAAGATAAAGGGAGTATTTTCTTTTAAGATCACTTCTTCTGCTTAAGCATTTAAAAAAAAAAAATCCAAAACCCAGGGTAAATTGAACCTGTCAGCATTTCACTTCAATTATGATACTATGATCCTCTGCTGTTCCAGTGTTCCAGTTCAAATTTCATATCTAAATCTTACACAAATACTTCCCTTAATTTATCAATTATCCTTCCTCTGGGGCCAAATCTTTTCAACACAAATGTTACTTATGGTGTTACATCACTTGCCTTTTACTGTACACTCATATGTAGATGACTTGGACTTATCATTTGAATAATCAACCAATATGGTCAATTTTAAAGAGAAAAAAAAAAAAAAACAAAAAAAAACACATCCAGGCATGGTGGCTCACACATGTAATCCCAGCACTTTGGGAGGCTGAAGCAGGAGGATTGCTTGATCTCAGGTCTTCCAGACCAGCCTCTGAAACAGAGTGAGGCCTTGTCTCTACAAAAAACAAAAAAAATGAGCTGGTGTGGTGATGCACACCTGTAGTCCCAGCTACTCAGGAGGCTCACATGGGAGGATCACTTGAACCCAAGAGTTCGAGGCTGCAGTTGGCTATGATCACACCACCACACCACTGCCCTCCAGCCTGGGTGACAAAGTGAGACCCTGTCTCAAAAAAAAAAAGAAAAGAAAAGAAAACAACAAGTTATTAACATTAGTCTTTGCTTACCAATTACAAATTTTATCTTGATACAATTCCCTAATTTTTATCTTGTATAAAAATCTTGTAGTCTTTTGTAGTCAAAAGTCTTCAAACAGGTTTTCCAAAACTAACAATGAAGAATGTGGGCAAGTCAATTGGGAAATCATAATCTTAATTATAACCAAGTTGAATACTTCACTTTCTGTTTTTTTTTTTTTTTTTTTTTTGAGATGAGTCTCGCTCTGTCACCCAGGCTGGATGGAGTGCAGTGGCATGATCTCGGCTCACTGCAAACTCCGCCTCCTGGGTTCAAGCGATTCTCTTGCCTCAGCCTCTGGGACTACAGGGGCGCGCCACCACGCCCAGCTAATTTTTGTATTTTTAGTACAGACGGGGTTTCACCGTGTTGGTCAGGCTGGTCTCAAACTCCTGACCTTGTGATCCACTCGCCTCGGCCTCCCAAAATGCTGGGATTACAGGCGTGAGCCATCACACCCAGCTGAACATTTCACTTCCTTTTTCAGAGAAACAGGTGACTGTGAAACAGAATTATAATGTTGCTCCACATCGTCCAAAGATTTCACATACATATCCACTGCTAAGATGTTTTCTCTTAATGTTAACATAAACCCAAAAGGTTAACATATGTCTTTCCTACTAGGTTGTTTAAATGTTTCTAAATAAACAAAGAACATGGAGTAACATTATTAGTGTATCTTACCTGAGCCCAGTCTGCAGGCAATGCCTAACCACCCCAAAATTCAATAAAATGCTTAGGAAGTGCACATTCGATTATAAAACATCAAAATAAATAATCATCTCAGGGTAGGACCACAAGCATATCATAAGTAATCACTCGGTTTAAAGGGAAAAAAGGCCAAGAGACGAAAAATAAAGCAAAGAAGGAAACAAAATAGGTTGAAAAAGAAAAAAAAAAGGGGGGGGGGAGCAAAACTTCCCTGCAGATAATTTTCCCTATTTCCTCAACCTGACCTTCGTCCTCCATTTTAAAAATCCTCCGACTACAAGTTCCATGTGTTTGGTTCACTCTTTACGGGTATACTTTTTCCTACAAACGTCCTTGTGAAAAAAAAAAAAAAATCTGATTTTAACATGATGAGTTATCATTTTACAGAAGCAATAGTTCTTGCTACTCGTTAGGACTCCAGAACAGTTTAGCGAGAATTCCTTTTAAAGGGGCTTTGTAATTGTATGAAATAGGCCAAATCCAGATACGATTACTATCTTAATCGTAACTGGGGAGGTACGATTCCGCAGTGCAAAAAGCCTTCTGAAATTGTGTCCCTACACCCCTTTCCATCCTCTGCCCAAACATGTTAACAGAATGCTCTGCATCCTTAGCACAGGGCCAATATTCAAACCGAGCGAAAAACTTTATTTTAAAAACACTTACAAGGGGCGAACCAAGGAGGACAGCGTGTGACTGAGGAGGCAGCAGGGCGACTGACTGGCTCCATGAACACGGAATGGCTTAAAGGGCACAAGCCCCAGAGACTTAAGGCAGTTTTCTCCTACACCCTAAGCTGAGCTTAGATTCCCAGGATTGAGCGAGCAGTGTATTTCGTACCTTAAAACTCTGCAAGTAGTCTAAGCAAGCAGAAGACAGCCAAGGGAGCCAGGAGGGGCCCGCGGGGCACAGGAGCCTGAGAAAGAGGAGAGCTGGGGAGGGGAAGGCCAGGAGCAGACCCCAGAACTAGTCATCACGGCCCAGGCCTGGTCCGGGCCGCCGCGGGAGCGAGGACGCGGCGCTGCATCCGACTCACCTGCCCATTCTCCGAGCCCCGGGCCGACCCCCGCCTCATTCCCCACTCCCCAGACCCGGAGGGCCGTGAAGAGCGAGTACGAAATACGCAGGGCTAGGTAGGCCACGGTGCCCGCGCCGACCCAGTACAGGAAGCCGGCGGCGGGGAGAGCGCTCTCCATGGCTTTCCACTAGGCCTCACTACCTTCGTGAATGAAAAGAGCGAGTGAATGAATCCAGGAGGAGGCGCCGGCCGTGACGGTGAGGATGACACTAATAGGCGCTGCTCCGACACCACTTTGGGCCTAAACCCCGCCCGCGGGGCCATATCCGTGTCGCTATTGGTGACCCGTCTTTCCCTCTGCGCGTAGTGCGTCAGCCATTAGCTGACTCCAGTTCCACTGCCCCTCCCACACTCCTCCCATCACCGCGTCCCCCGGGGTTCCGCCAGTGAGCGCCCTGTCTCACCCCACCGAGGCGCCCCGGTCTCTCATTGGCTGCAGCCGTACTCGCGACTGCGGAAGACTGCGCTCGGATTGGCCGGTCAGACCCAGGCTGGTTTGAGCTCAGGTTCGAAGAGGAAATGGGATCAGAGAAGCCGCTAGTGAATGGAAAGATTATAGTAAGAAGTGGGCGTAGGCAGGGCGCGGTGGCTAACACCTGTAATCCCAGCACTTTGGGAGGCCGAGGCGGGCGAATCGCTTGAGCTTAGGAGTCCGAGACCAGCCTGGCCAACATCCGAACCCCGTCTCTACTAAAAATACAAAAATTAGCCGGGCGTGGTGGCGTGCGCCTGTAATCTCAGCTACTCGGGAGGCTGAGGCAGGAGAATCACGAACCCGGGAGGCAGAGGTTGCAGTGAGCCGAGATCGCGCCACTGCATTCCAGCCTGAGCGACGGAGTGAGACTCCATCCCAAAACAAAAACAAAAAAAAAAAGAAAAGAAATAGGTGTGGAGCCACAGTTTTATTTTCAACTCTTTATTAAATAAATATATATTTTACATATATGATATAATTATATAATAAATATATCATTGTTAAGCGTGCTGTCATTGTTGCCATAAACTTTTCCAGATAAAGGCTTGCAGTCTTCTGTGTCTGTGCCTTCCTCGCTGCAGGCATTCGCCCGGGTTACACTCACTCATAGAGAGCCCTTAAATGCCAGACCTCCCTCCCAGCTGAGCACTAAACATCACTTAGTTCCCAACGATTTGGGGTTCAAGGCAAATAACCTGATGGAGTCTAATAACTGTTAGACGATGGCATCAGAGCTGTATGGTGAATGAAAAATATAGGAACACAGCTTGCTGAACAATTAGTTTTGGAAGGAGACTATATCTTTTAATTTGTCTTCAAAGGGGGATAGAAAATTTTACTTTCTTTTTTAAATTTCCCTTTTTTGGTTGGGGAGTGGGGGAGTGGTATTTCCAGGGGGCACAGAAGTGTGAAGTCCAGATAGAGGCATGGGAACTACGTTAGCAAAGTTGCAGAGGAGAAAGATCACAAGGTAAGTTTAAAAAATTGTGTAAAACTTAAGGAGATTTTGGGCTGAGACGATGGGGTTTTCTAAATATACAATTATGTCATCTGCAAACAGGGACAATTTGACTGCCTCTTTTCCTAACTGAATACTCTTTATTTCTTTCTCCTGCCTGATTGCCCTGGCCAGAACTTCCAACACTATGTTGAATAGGAGTGGTGAGAGAGGGCATCCCTGTCTTGTAACTCAATGTGCAAAAATCACAGGCATTCTTATACACCAATAACAGACAAACAGAGAGCCAAATCATGACTGAACTCCCCTTCACAATTGCTTCAAAGAAAATAAAATACCTAGGAATCCAACTTACAAGGGATGTGAAGGACCTCTTCAAGGAGAACTACAAACCACTGCTCAACGAAATAAAAGAGGACACAAACAAATGGAAGAACGTTCCATGCTCATGGATAGGAAGAATCAATATCGTGAAAATGGCCATACTGCCCAAGGTAATGTATAGATTCAATGCCATCCCCATCAAGCTACCAATGACTTTCTTCACAGAATTGGAAACAACTACTTTAAAGTTCATATGGAACCAAAAAAGAGCCCGCATTGCCAAGTCAATCCTAAGCCAAAAGAACAAAGCTGGAGGCATCACACTACCTGACTTCAAACTATACTACAAGGCTACAGTAATCAAAACAGCATGGTACTGGCACCAAAACAGAGATATAAACCAATGGAACAGAACAGAGCCCTCAGAAATAACACCACACATCTACAACTATCTGATCTTTGATGAACCTGGCAAAAACAAGAAATGGGGAAAGGATTTCCTATTTAATAAATGGTGCTGGGAAAACTGGCTAGCCATATGTAGGAAGCTGAAACTGGATCCCTTCCTTACACCTTATACAAAAATTAATTCAAGATGGATTAAAGACTTACATGTTAGACCTAAAACTATAAAAAACCCTAGAAGAAAACCTAGGCAATACCATTCAGGACATAGGCATGGGCAAGGACTTCATGTCTAAAGCACCAAAAGCAATGGCAACAAAAGCCAAAATTGACAAATGGGATCTAATTAAACTAAAGAGCTTCTGCACAGCAAAAGAAACTACCATCAGAGTGAACAGGCAACCTACAGAATGGGAGAAAATTTTTGCAATCTACTCATCTTACAAAGGGCTAATATCCAGAATCTACAAAGAACTCAAACAAATTTACAAGAAAAAAACAAACAACCCCATCAACAAGTGGGCAAAAGATATGAACAGATACTTCTCAAAAGAAGACATTTATGCAGGCAACAGACACATGAAAAAATGCTCATCATCACTGGCCATCAGAGAAACGCAAATCAAAACCACAATGAGATACCATCTCATACCAGTTAGAATGGCAATCATTAAAAAGTCAGGCAACAACAGGTTCTGGAGAGGATGTGGAGAAATAAGAACACTTTTACACTGTTGGTGGGACTGTAAACTAGTTCAACCATTGTGAAAGACAGTGTGGTGATTCCTCAAGGATCTAGAACCAGAAATACCATTTGACCCAACCTTCCCATTACTGGGTATATACCCAAAGGATTATAAATCATGCTGCTATAAAGACACATGCACGCGTATGTTTATTGCAGCACTATTCACATTTGGAACCAACCCGAATGTCCAACAATGATAGACTGGATTAACAAAAAGTGGCACATATACACCATGGAATACTATACAGCCATATAAAAGGATGAGTTCATGTCCTTTGTAGGGACATGGATGAAGCTGGAAACCATCATTCTCAGCAAACTATCGCAAGGACAAAAACCCAACACCACATGTTCTCACTCATAGGTGGGAATTGAACAATGAGAACACTTGGACACAGGAAAGGGAACATCACACACTGGGGCCTGTCATGGGGTGGTGGGGGGGTGGGGAGGAATAGCATTAGGAGATAAACCTAATGTAAATGACGAGTTAGTGGGTGCAGCACACCAACATGGCACATGTATACATATGTAACAAACCTGCACATTGTGGACATGTACCCTAGAACTTAAAGTATAATTTAAAAAAATTGTGTAAAACAATAAAGTGCTTCACACTTACTCTCTACCTTCCTTCAAGAGTTTTTGTTTCCTTCTCTGGCATGGATTTGGGCTCAGAAAGGTACCTAAAATTTGTTCTTAGCCAGTAGGGGCTGCTGATTCAAGACTTGAGTGTTTTTTGTAAAGCAAGAACTTAAGGATAATAATTCTAAGGGTAACAGTTCAACATACCTTGCAGCTAACTTCATAGTTTGATAAGATTCAATTTGAGCCTTATTTCTTGCTGCCCAAACCCCCCCTTCTCCATTCTCTTATCAGATTAATTAGGTCTAACCCTAAGGCTGTAAATGTAAACCATCAATTACCCTGCAGAATTCAGCCATGTGAGTCGAGCTGACATCATATTTTATTTTAATTGAATTTGGTACCTTTGGCTGGGGCTGCCTCTTCAGTTCAACTAAAGGCCCACCACTCTTCGTCCTCAACTTCTCCCTCTTCCCCAAATCTTTGCCTACAGTATAGCTATATCCCCAAATTTATATATCCCAGCTCATCATTGCTCACCAACAAGGCACCCTCTAGATATTCAGTCCCATTCTCCTTAGAATAGGGTGGAAGGGGGAGAAGACAGTTATTATAAACTAACAATACATATTTTTTGTTGCATATGTCTGTCTGTGGCCCCCACTAGAATCTATGATTATAGGGAACACTATGCTGTGAATCCATAGGACCTAAAACAGTGCCTGGTACCTAGGGTACCCCAACAAATATCTAAGAAATAAACAGAAGTGAAGATTCATTCATTCAACAAATATTATTGTGTTCTAATTATGTGCCAGTCCACTGAGCTAGGTACTAGGTATAAAATAGTGAGCAAATGGGCAATTCTCAGTCCTAACCCTACTCTACCATTCAACAGGGAGTGGCCACTGCTTTCCTCTCAGTGTCCTTTGCTGGCCCCTTCTCTTACTGGCCTCTAAATTACACAGTGCCCTCAGGCTCAGACCCCAGCTCTCTTTACGTCTCTAATATATGATTTTATCCAGTCCCTTGGTTTTAAATATCAGCTGTAAGCTGATTATTTCCAAATGTCTCTGTCCAGGCTCAACTTCTGCTTAGAGGTCCAGACTTCTATACAGTATATATATCCACCTGCCTATTCGCATCTCTACTCAGATATAAAATAAACATTTCAAACTTAACATGTTTAGAATAGAACTCTACGCTTAACACATACACACACACACACACACACACACACACCCTCTTCCTCTTTTCATTCCTATTTCTATTAATGATACCATCATTTACCCCCTTTCTAAGGCCCAAGACTTAGGGATGAATGTTAACTCTTTCTTTTCTTTTTTTTCCCGCTCTTACCGCCCAGTCTGGAGTGCAATGGCGCAATCTCAGTTGACTACAACCTCCGCCTCCCAGGTTCAAGTGATTCTCCTTCCTCAGCCTCCCAATTAGCTGGGGTTACAGGTGCCCGCCATTATGCCCAGCTAATTTTTGTATTTTTAGTAGAGACAGGGTTTCACCATGTTGGCCAGGCTGGTCTCAAACTCCTTACCTCAAATTATCCGCCTGCCTGGGCCTCCGAAAGTGCTAGGATTACAGGCATGAGCCAACATGCCAGGCCTGAACCTTGATTCTTTTCTTTCCATTACATTCCATATCCAATTCTTTAGCAGGTCTTATTCACTCTACTTCCAAAATATATCTTGACTGGCCACTACTAACCTAATTCAAATCACAAGCATTTTTAGCCTGGAATATGGCAATAGCCTCCTAACTGGTCTCCCTAAAGCCTGTGTTGGAGTTTGTTGTCCATGTAGCAACTAGAGGGTTTTTTTTTTTTTAAGTAAATTAGATATCATTTTCTTCTACTCAAATCCCTTCAAGGACTTTATATCACATTAAGAACAAAATCCTCCAAGTTGAGTTTGTCTGCCCTGACCTCTCCGGCAACACGGACCACCCTCTCCTGTGCTCACTTGATTCCAGCCACACTAACTCCTTGCAGTTCCTCAAATAAGTCAATTTCATTCTGGTCTCAGAGTCGTTCTATTACACTTCCACTTCCCTCTGCCTGGAACCTCTTACTATCTTCCCAAGGCTCACTCCTTTGTATTATTTAGGCTTTTGTTCACATGTCATCCCCCTTAGAATGGTATTCCCTGACCTCCCTTCATAACTTTCCCAAATAGCTTTATCCTCTGCTCTAGCAATCCTTATCCTTTTATCTTACTTTGTTTTCCTTACAGAACATAATGCTTTCAAATTGTTTGATTACTAGGTCTTTGTCCATCTACCTAATAGAATGAATGTAAGTTCATTAGTACAGTGAACTTTTCTTGTTCACCACTGTATCTTTAGCTAAGATGTGCACCCAAGAGTACCTGACACTTGGTATGCAATAAATACCTGTTGAATGGGTGATGAAGGAATAAATGAAAATAGATTGTCTAGTGGGAGAGACAGACATTCAGCAAACTTCCAACTAATTATATGATAAAAATTGTAATACGTACAAAGAAGAAAATAATAGGACATAAGGAAAGAGGTTAACAAGAGGACCTAATTTAGGTGGGGGAAAAGAAACAGCCTTGAAACGCCTTTCTAAGGAACCCATATTTGAACTGGGATCTGAGAAAATGCAGAAATTGAGTGAGGGTGTGGTAGAGGAGAAAGCAATCAACACCGGAATGAAGGCTTTGATGTGGTTTTGAAGAATACACATCTGTGCCTCTTGCAACTATCACAGCATATGGCATAAAATTAAATAGGCAATAATTGTTGGTGTAGGGCTATTTAAAATAAACACATGTACTTTGGAAATGGAATTTCCATTGCTGTTGGAATTTAGTTATTTTAATGAAAAGGAATGTTAAAGACTGAAACCATCTCATTTTGGTATGCATTCCTCTTCTAAAATGCCTAGGCACTACCCATGCAATTAATAGAATAATCGTTATTTAAAATGTACACATTTATTCTGATCACCTCAGCCTCTTTTTAGGAATTAGGAATACTAATTGTTTTATCTACTAAGGGAAAAAATGGCGACTTCCACAAAGTGAAGCAGTACATGCCAGATAGCCCTTTGGAGTTCAGGTGGTCACACACTTTTGGAATTCAACAATCCTTTGTCGCTGAATAAATTTTACGAACCACAGTAAACTCTAATGCATACAGGACCCTATAATGATGACCCACTCCTATTCAGCAGTATTCTGTGCTGAAATTTAACATCTAATGAAGGGTTAGTAGAGCCATACTAACCAAACATGTGACTAATAGCTCTCCGAAGAAGAGGCAATACGATAAAACTCTGGCCTTTAGTGTCAGGTAAATCTGGAACCAGATCCTGATTCTGCCTCTTATTAGCTGTATGATCTTGTATAGATTTAATTATTATGCATTCAAATTCCACATCTGTAAAATGAGAACAATACTACTTAAGCATTTAGCAGTGATTGGCAGATAGATATTAAGTGTTCAGTGAGGTAGGTACTACTCTTAACCCCATTTTATGAATGAGGAAACAGAAGCTTAAAGCTAGTAAGTGGAAGAATTGGAATTTGAACCAAAAAGGTGTGACTATGAAATCATATCTCCAGAACTAGCTCAGAGAAAGCAGCATCTAAAAAATGACTAAAGGCTGGGTGCCGTGGCTCATGCCTATAATCCCAGCACTTTGGGTAGATCCCTTGAGCTCAGGAGTTCGAAATCAGCCTGGGCAATATAGCGAAACCCTGTCTCTACAAAAAATACAAACAAACAAACAAACAAACAAACAAACAAACAAAACTAGCTGGGCTTGGTGGTGCATGCCTGTAGTCCTAGCTACTTGGGAGGCTAGGCAGGATAATTGCTTGAGCCTGGGAGGCGGAGGATGCAGTGAGCTGAGATTGCGCCATTGAACTCCAGCCTGGGTAACAAAGTGAGACCCTGTCTCAAAAAAAAAAAAAAAAAAGAAAAGAAAAGAAAAGAAAAGAAAAGAAAAAGACTAAAGGAGAGTAGAAGAGTCTCTAGAAATATTTTGTTATTACACAAATAAAATACTCAGATGTAATCACATTAGATTTCTGCTTCATTTATTAACAAATTTAGAGTTTAGAATAGTATTTAATATGAAAAAAATGAAGCAACAATATTGTATCATATTAGTATACAAATATTCCCATTTAGTCGAAAATTCATTTTTAATATTTCTGTAAATTGAGTTTCAGATCAGAGTTTCCTGATGAAATCAGGAGTAGTTCTATAGAATGAAAGTACACTTCATAATCAGGGAGTTTCATAGAAGCGAGGAATTATTAAGCATACCATCTTGTTTAATCCTTTGGGACATAGCTGAATCCTTCACTTGGCTGTAAAATAAAACCTTTTAACAGTTCTGTCTTCTCGCTCATCTTGATTTAAACATTGTTCAAAATATTGAACTTTAACTTGCCTTTAAATTCAGTTGTCCAATCCTGGGTTAAAAAGAAAAAGTGTTGTGATGAACAAACCAATTTAAAAGAAACTGAGTCTTAAGCATTAGAAATTGGGAGGTTTCCCAAAGTTAATATTTAATTTATTTAACAAGAAATATTACCATAAGAAAGGAAGATTAACATTTATTGGCCAGGGTGCGGCGACTCACGCCTGTAATCCTAGCACTTTGGGAGGCCGAGGCAGGCGGATCACCTGAGGTCAGGAGTTTGTGACCAGTCTGGCCAACATGGTGAAACCCCATCTCTACTAAAAACACAAAAATGAGCCGGGTGTGGTGGCAGGCGCCTGTAATCCCAGCTACTCAGGGGACTGAGGCTCTCTTGAACCCAGGAGGTGGAGGTTGCAGTGAGCCAAGATCGCACCACTGCACTCTAACCTGGGCAACAGAGTGAGACTTTATCTTAAAAACAAACAAACAAAAACACCTATTATGCTTTAATATTGCAATATCAACTTCAAAGTCACTTCACATACATTACCCCATTCAAACATCACAATAACACCCCCATTTTTCCAACAGGGAAATTAACTCTTTAAGTTAACCTTCTTGCATACGGACTACTTTAGTGCAGCAGGCCTGTTTCTAGAACCAAGATGTCTTCACTAAAAATGAAGGGCTAGGCCGGGAGCGGTGGCTCACGCCTGTAATCCCAGCACTTTGGGAGGCCGAGGCAGGCGGATCATGAGGTCAGGAGATTGACACCATCCTGGCTAACACGGTGAAATCCCGCCTCTACTAAAAACACAAAAAAATTAGCCGGGCGTGGTGGCGGGCGCCTGTAGTCCCAGCTACTTGGGAGGCTGAGGCAGGAGAATGGCGTGAACCCGGGAGGCAGAGCTTTCAGTGAGCCGAGATCATGCCACTGCACTCCAGCCTGGGCGACAGAGCGAGACTCGGTCTCTAAAAAAAATAAAAAATAAAAAATAAGAAGGGCTCTTTCTACTCTGCCACCTATTTTATAACAGAACTTAGACTCACATTCATAGTCTTCTGTAAACATATTTCCCAAATAAAGCTGAAATCAGTCATTTTGAAACAAGTGATTAGAAAATATAGTTTTAACATTTTACTTATTTTTTAGTTTCAAAAGCACACGGAATTATATGAAATGAAAAAGCATCCCACCCCATTTTCTATTCCCACTAACAGTTGGCAATTTGTACTGTATTCTTCCATTTCTTTTTCTTTTCACTGACATTTCTAAGTATGAAGCTATATAATATACACAACATATACATATATACTTTTTTAGAAGTAAAAGCTGTGATTATGCAAAAATAATTCAACAACTTTCTTTCTCCACTCAATAATATATGATTAAAAATATCATAGTGAAATCTTGACATACCAATATTGCACATTAACTGGTTTTCTTTATTGCATCAGCAGATCTAATAATTGTTCCATCAATCTTACTCAGAATACTTTCGCTTAAAGAAAGGAATTAGTGCCATGGTAAACAAACCAGTTTAAAACCGTGTGAAAGGGGCCAGGTGCGATGGCTCATGCCTGTAATCCCAACACTCTGGGAGGCCAAAATTGGCGGATTACCTGAAGTCAGGAGTTTGAGACCAGTCTGGCCAACATGGCGAAACCCCGTCTCTACTAAAAAATACAAAAATTAGCTGGGTGTGGTGGCACAAGCCTGTAATCCCAGCTACTTGGGAGGCTGAGGCTGGAGAATCACTTGAACCTGGGAGGTGGAGGCTGGAGAATCGCTTGAACCCAGGAGCCAAGATGGCGCCACTGCACTCCAGCCTGGGCAACAGAGTGAGACTCCATCTCAAAAAAATAAATAAATAAAATAAAACCATGTGAAAGGGAAAGTAAACCATAATATCTTACCTACATCATATTTCCAGCATAACTGTAGGACAGTTATGCAAGCAAACTTAAGGCAAATAATATAGCGGAATTTGAGGAGGTTTTCTTTACCTGAATCCTTAATTTGGCAATAGGTCCAAGGATTTGTTATCTTTACCCACACTTTTTTTTTCTAAAAATTCTAGCTACTTTAGTTTATATTATTTTTGCCTAGTTCTTTCCTTTATTCCCCTTATAATCTTTTTTAAAAATTTGTATAAAGACAGAGTCTTGCTCTGTCACCCAGGCTGGAGTGCAGTGGTATGATCATAGCTCACTGCAGCCTTGAACTCCTGGACTCAAGCAATCCTCCTGCCTCAGCCTCCCAAGTAGCTAGGACTACAGGCACACAGCACCACACCCAGCTAATATTTTTTGTAGAGACAAGGCCTTGCTATGTCGCCTAGGCTGGTCTCCAACTCCTGGGCTCAAGCAATCCTCCTGTCTTGGCCTCCCAAAGTGCTGGGATTACAGGCATGAACTACTGTGCCAGACTCCCTTGCTATCTTTTAAAATACATTTGATGTATACAAAAGATTAGATGAAATATATGTTAGTTATATAAAGCATAATATAATGAAAAACTGTAAACTCACCACCTAACTCAAGAACCAAAAACCAAAAACCTACCCTAGTCCATTCTCCAAAGGTAAGCACAGCCCTAAATGTTGTATATCGTTCTACTGCTTTTAAATATATATGCTTATATCAAAATATATATGAAATAATAACATGGTGTTTCATTTTGCTTATTTTTGAGCTCTATTTAAAAAGCATGATATGCTGGGTGCTGGGGAAGGCATCCCAGATCTTCCCTCCAGGACCAAGACCTTCATTCCCACATTTGCTGACAATCCTGGTCTATGTCCCTCTATGGGACCTGTCCTAGGCTAAAGGGAGCTGCTTTGCCCCTCTCCAATGGCAGCCTACATCCAATGACTGGATGATGCAGGAGTACAAAAGCCTGGACCACCTATCTTAATTATGAACATCTCTGAAAAGCCTTCCCAGCTTCAGAGCTCCCAGTGGAATTTCCTGAAGCTTCCATTATACTGCAGTGCAGTTCAACTTCTCTTTCAGCTTAATCCAGCTTCCCTCCCTCCCTTAAGGATGTTGTTCCCCAGTGTATTCCATTACAAATCCCCTGCAAGCAAATCTCAATCTCAGAGTCTGTTTCCTGGGTAACATGACTGTTGCAGGCTGCAGTGTATCTCCCTAAAAGATATGTTAAAGTCCTAACCCCACAACCTGTGACCTTGGCCTTATTTGGAAATAAGGTCTTTGCAGATGTAATCAGGTTAAGATGAGGTCATAAAGGATTAGGGTGGGCCCTAAACCCAATGTCTGTTTCCTTATAAAAAGAGAGAGATTTAGAGAAACACAAAGAGACAGAGGGAGAGACAATGGAAGCAGAGATTTTAGTAATACAGTTTCCAGCCAAGGAACGTTCAAAATGGCCAACAACCACCAGAAGTTAGGAAGAGGCAAGGAAGGATGCTTCTGGAGAACCTGCAGAGAGGGCATGGCCCTTCCCAACACCTTGATTTTGGACTTCTAGCCTCAAAATTGTGAGAGAATAAATTGCTATTCTTTTTTTTTTTTTTGAAACAGAGTCTAACTTTGTTGCCCAGGCTGGAATGCAGTGGCACCATCTTGGCTCACTGCAACCTCCGCCTCCCAGGTCCAAGTGATTCTCCTGCCTCAACCTCCCAAGTAGCTGGGATTACAGGTGCCTGCCACCACGCCCAGCTAATTTTTGTATTTTTAGTAGAGACGGGGTTTCAGCATATTGGTCAGGTTGGTCTCGAACTCCTGACCTCAAGTGATTCACCCACCTCAGCCTCCCAAAATTCTGGGATTACAGACGTGAGCCACCTTGCCTGGCCAATAAATTGCTATTCTTTAAAGCCACCTAGTTTGCAGGTGCACCTTGTTGCGGTAGACCTAAGACACACACTTGGGTAGTTTTCTGGAATTTGCTTTTTTTTTTTTTTAACTCAGCATCATGTTTCTGAGAATTATTCCTGTCATTGACTCTGGTTGTGGTTCTCTATTTATTTTCTTCAATATCAGTGGCAATATCTCATCAGAGATATATTAGCAATATACACAGCCAGGTGCAGTGGCTCATGCCTGTAATTCTAACACTTTGGGAAGCCAAGGCATAGAGGATTGCTTGAGCCCAGGAGTTCGTGATCAGCCTGGGCAACATAGCTAGACTCCATCTCTAAAAAAAAAATTTTTTTTTTTAATTAGCTGGACATGGTGGCACACACTGGTCGTCCCAGTGTGGGAGGATCATCTGAGCCAGGAGTTTGATGCTGCAGTGAGCTATAATCATGTCACTGCATTCCAGCCAGAGTGACAGAGCAAGACCCTGTCTCAAAAATATATATAATAATATTATTGAAAAACCTTTAATTCTATTCATTCTAAAATGATTATGCCTCTGTTTTGGGATACACTCTCTTACAGTATTTATGTTTATTTCAAATGTTTGAGAAAAGTTTCTATATAAATTTTTAAATTAATTACATATTTATCTTTACACATATGTGTTTGGCAGAATAATGACCTTCTAAAGATATCCATGTCTACATATCTGTGAATGTTACCTTGTGTGGGACCATATTATAAGGATGTGATTAAATTAAGGACCTTTGAGGTGGGCGGTTACCCAGATGAGCCTAATCTAATCAATCACAGGGGAGGTCCTTAAAATTGGAGAATCTTTCCCAGCTTTGGTCAAAGAGAGAGATGTGACTGTGGGAGAATGATTAGAGATGCAACATTGCTGGTCTGAAGATGGAGGACGGGTCCAGGAGACCAGGAATGTGCACAGCCTCTAGAAGCTGAAAAAGGCAAGGAAATTAACTTCCTCCTAGTATCTCCAGAAAATAATGCAGTGACTTTAGCCCAGTGAGATCCATGTTGGCATTCTAACCTATAGAATTGTAAGATGATTGTTTTAAGCCACTAATCTGCAGTAATTTGTAACAGCAACAATTGAAAACTAATTGTATGTGTGTGTGTGTGTTCCGTAAGGAAGTGTATCATGCTCTGGTCCCTAGCCTCCTACCTTGCTCACCACACTCAAGCATTAAGGGCCTTCTCTACAGCCCTCAAAAGCACCAAGGTCCATCCTACATGGGTTTTTTTACACATACTGGTCCCAACCATACTTTAAGTTTCATAAAGACCTGTTTGTCTTATTCACCATTTTGCCCTCATATACATTTAATAAATACAGGTTGAGCATCCCTAATCCAAAAATCCAAAATCTGAAATACTCCAAAATCCAAAACTTTAGAGCACCAACATGATGCCTTAAGTGGAAAATTCCACATATTAGTGCTTAACACAAACTTTGTTTTATGCAGAAAATTATTTAAAATATTATATGAAATTAACCTCAGGCTATGGTATAAGGTGTATATGAAACATGAATGAATTTCGTGTTTAGATTTGGGTCACATCCCCAATATATCTCATTATGTATATGCAAATATTCCAAAATATGCAACACTTCTGGTCCCAAGCATTTTGGATAAAGGATACCCGATCCGTATTCATTAGATGAATGAATGGATTATTATGGCAGAAGGAAAAGGGTAAAGTTAGTTGCAAGGAGCAATAACTTCTAGTTAAAAAATAAACTCAGGCTAGGTGCGGTGTGGTTCATCCCAGCATTTTGGGAGGCTGAGGCGGGCGGATCACTTGAGGTCAGGAGTTCAAGACCAGCCTGGTCAACATGGCAAAACCCTGTCTCTACTAAAAATACAAAAATTAGCCAGCCGTGGTGGCACACGCCTGTAATCCCAGTTACTTAGGAGGCTGAGGCAGGAGAATCGCTTGAACCTGGGAGGCGGAGGTTGCCATGAGCCAAGATTGCACCACTACACTCCAGCCTGGGCCATAGAGTGATACTCTGTCTCAAAAAAATAAAAAATAAATAAACTCAGTCAGAATTTTAAAACTATATAGTGTATCAGTTATCTCTACTTTTCTCTTAATTTATTACTTATGAATTGTTCATTTGTAGAAACAAGAATTGAAATGGTGTGACTATGGAAGCTGTGGCTTTGTTGCCTCACCTATCCCAAATCAGTTGGTTTGCTATCTGCAGGGAATAAAGAGCAAGTTATTAAAAGCAGTAAAAAGTAAACACGCAATTATTGAATAGTTGGTTATTCGTCCTCATTTCATTTGGGCTGTCTGGCAGATGTACTGACTTCATTCTCAACTCTTAAGAGTGATCTTAGGAAAATCGTCTCATGTTGCCCTGTTTACATGGAACATTTTAATAATCAGAATACCAGAAAATGTCGTGTGAAGTATAGTGAACGACATTCACATTATCTATACAGGGTATCTAAACATATTTTCCTGTCTCTAGCCTCCTTCTATTAATTTTCCTTATTTTGTATTATGAGAATGTTAATGAGTCCCCTCAAAATCTTCTTTCAAACTAGGCAAAGAATGAAAAATAGGCCAGCACTTTGGGAGGCCCAGGCAGGTGGATCACTTGAGTTCAGTAGTTTGAGACCAGCCTAGGCAACATGGTGAGATGCTGTCTCTACAAAACAAACAAACAAAAAATGGCCAGGTGTGGTGGTGTGCGCCTGCAGTCCCAGCACTTTGGGAAGCTGAGGCAGGAGGACTGCTTGAGTCCAGGAGTTTAAGACCAGCCTGGGCAGTATGGCAAAACTCTGTCTTTGCCAAAAAAATAAAAGTTACCTGGGCGGGGTGGTGTGTGCCTAAGGTCCCAGCTGCTAGGGGAGCTGAGGTTGGGAGGATCTATTGAGCCCAGGAGGTTGAGGCTGCAGTAAGCCATGACTGCACCACTGCACTCCAGCCTGGGTGATAGAGTAAGACCCTGCCTCAAAAAAATAAAAATAAATATTTCCCCTTTCCTAGCACCCAGATATTGAGAAAATGGAGGGACTAGCATGCCTAAGGGCTCTAAAGTGGAAAAAATGCAGGAAGGAAGAAAGAGTAGCATGACTGGAGTGGAAAGGAAGGGAGGGTGGGAATGGGAATGATGGAAAGCTAATTTAAAAGTGAGCCAGGTGTGGTAAGATGCACCTGAGTCTGTGGTTAACCACATACAACCATAAAATATCCTTGGCGTACAATAAACTCCATCTACTTCTCATTCCCAACTTGTCTACTCCGTGGGTTGACAAGAATTTGGCCAATATAGGCTGATATCAGCAGGCTTTGCTCCAGGCCAAGGGTTGGATTTATCTTTGCTGTTTCTCTCAATTAGCTGGGATCACCCAGATCAGAAGATAATTTTAGACAAGGCATGCTTGTGTGTGTGTGTGTGTGCATGCGCGTGTGTGCGTGTGTAGAGCAAAGCATATCAGGAATAGAATCTTCTTTTTCTTTTTCAGAATGAGCCCTCAGTTGTGTGACCTTGGCCATTCTGGTATTTAGTTAGCTTACCTGTAAAATGGGGATGCAAATAATGTCTACCTTTCAGGGAGGATGACACCAAGAAACCTGAAGGACCTACTAGATTTACACTTCCACAAGTGGTCAATGGATTATTTGCTTCATCTCATTCTCATCAATAGTAGTTATCACCAGGCATGGTGGCTCACTCCTGTAACCCCATCACTTTAGGAGGCTGAGACGGGAAGATCACTTGAGGTCAGGAGTTCGAGATCAGTATGGGCAACATAGTGGGATCCTGTCTCTACAAAAAATTTAAAAATTAGCTGGGCATGGTGGCGCATGCCTGCAGTCCCAGCTACTCAGGAGGCTGAGGCACAAGAATCGTTTCAACCCGGGAGATGGAGGTTGCAGTGGGCCCAGATCGCACCACCGCACTCCAGCCTAGGCGACTAAATAAATAAATAAAACTTTAAAACCAGAGTTTTAGTTAGGGAAAAACAACCTTTGTCAAGACATGAGTAATTCTAGGGCTTTGTTTTCTGCTTCCAATCTATGCACTGTGTCAGACACTTCTCTTTCAGAATTGCCTTATTTACAACTATTAATATATTATGTATTACATTATCATGTATATTACGTGTTTAAGAAGGATATGAATGAACATTTTTTCTATAAAGACTTTAACATGGGTCTCTTTCTGATCTGGATTTGCAGGAAGACCAAAAGCCTTCACAGGATCCTCATAAATAAGCTCTTCATTCATCGTTTCATGAACGAGACATTTTAATCTTTTAAATGCAAATGTTAGAAAGACTTGCTTTCCAAAAACCAAGAATATTCCTTATTCATGCAAGATGTTTAGTAAACTGGGCTTAACATTAAAAACTCCGTTACTAGAAATCCTATTAATTGCAAATTTATGGAGAAACAACAAGAAATAATTTGTGTATGAGACAGAGCAGGGACCCCTCTTAGGGACTTGTGGGCACCCCCAAGCATGAAAATAAAGGAACATCTTAAATTCCTTCAAGGGAAGTTCCAGGCTCCTAGCTAGTCTTGAGAAGTAAATGAGCAACTTCATAAGCAAGAAGGTAGGAGTAGCCTAGAACAATAGCCATGGAAGTTAGAGTGATGTTTGGTTCCCTATGTAAAAAAACTAAAGATAACATCTTAACACATGTCCCTGTGTTATTTTTCAGAAACACAGACCCCCACCAAATGGATCGGCTGGCACATAGGCCTCAGATAAGAGGGAACTGAGGAATGAACTCTGAGGCCTGCTGTTTTTTGTTCTAAATTTCTTCTTGAGGGGCCTGGAGGAAGTCATGCCCATGAGCCAGTACAAATATTCTTTTCTGCTGACCCCAAATTTTTAAACAGAGCTTCTCTCCCTTACTCAAACTGCAAATGAGAACATCTTTGAATCTACATATGGTCTGTAAGCCTCTGCTTCAAGATATCCCACCCTTTTAGGCCAAACCAATGTATAACCTCCATATACTGATTTATGACTTAGCCTGTAACCTCTGCCTCCCTGCCTTAGAAACCCTTACCTGGGCCGGGCATAGTGGCTCAAGCCTGTAATCCCAGCACTTTGGGAGGCTGAGGCAGGCAGATCACGACATCAGGAGTACTGAGACCAGCCTGACCAATATGATGAAACCCTGTCTCTACTAAAAATACAGAAATTAGCCAGGCATGGTGGCGCATGCCTGTCATCCCAGCTACTCAGGAGAATCGCTTGAACCCAGGAGGCAGAGGTTGCAGTGAGCTGAGATCACGCCACTGCACTCCAGCCTGGGCAACAGGGCGAGACTCCATCTCAAAAAAAAAATAATAAAAATAAAAAATAAAAAAATAAAAATAAAAACCCTTACCTGTAAGCCACTAGAGGGGTTGAATCTTAAGCGTGCACTGCCTGATACTCCTTGCTTGGCACCCTGTACGTAAACATGCTTCTTTCTCCCACTGCAAACCTTGGTGTAGGTGTTGGCCTTACTATGCCAGGCTAAGGAACTCCAGTTCAGTTGGTAACATGGACAAGATTATAATTTTTGACTACAGGTTTCCAAGTATACAGAAAACATGGTTTAAAATGTTTGAAGGCTACCACTAACAAAATTTGTCTGCCTTACTTTCAAAAAATTGATGATATTCAAAAATATATCCAATTGGCTGGTCATGGTAGCTCATGTCTGTAATCCTGGCACTTTGGGAGGCTAATGCAAGAGGACTGCTTGAGGCTAGGAGTTTGAGACCTGCCTGGGCAACATGGTGAGACTATCTCTATAAAAAATAAAAAATAGGCCAGGCATGGTGGCTCACGCCAGTAATCTCAATACTCTGGGAGACTGAGGCAGGCAGATCACTTGAGGTCAGGAGTTTGAGACCAGCCTGGCCAACATGGTGAAACCCTGTCGCTACTAAAAATACAAAAATTAGCTGGGCGTGGTGGCACATGCCTGCATCCCAGCTACTTGCGAGTTCTGAGGCAAGATAATCACTTGAATCCGGAAACGGGAGGTTGCAGGGAGGCGGAGGTTGCAGTGAGCTGAGATCACGCCACTGCACTCTAACCTGGGCAGGCAGATCGAGACTCTGTCTCAAAAAAATAAAAATTAAACAACAAGGCAAGACCCTGTCTCTCAAAAAAATTTTTTTTAAATCTAATTACTTTAATAGTCCTTTGTCCTGTTTAGATACTTCCTTGCTGTTCTAGTATCTGTTAAAGTTAAGATGAATCCTATCTCTGAATTAATCTATTCTTTCTGTTTAATCATGAGATGAAAATTTCAGGACACTCTGGTGAAGACTAGTCAAATAATTTCACAGGACCTTTACTACATATTGAATGTATGTTCAAACCCTATTTAGATAAACTTCTTTGCTTTCCCTACCCCCAAGGTAGGAATAGTCAATAGTCTAAGTGGTCCTGCTCTGAAGCTGTCCAACCAGTAGATTGGAAATTCTACCTGCAGGCTATAGATGGAATGACATATTCTGACCCTTTCCATGATATTCCTCTGGGAATGTATTGTGAATCCATGCTTAAATTTAAATCCATGTTACAATTACAACTTTGCCCTTGTTTTAAGTCTCATTTCAGCTTTGCTCTGATTTGAGATATAACAGGTGTCCTCTTAATCTAATGAGGAAGATTTTTCTTTTTCTTTTTTTTTTTTTGAGATGTGGCCAACTTTGGGGGGCTAAGGTGGGTGGATCATTTGAGGTCAGGAGTTCGAGACCAGCCTGGCCAACATGGTGAAACCCTGCCTCTACTAAAAATACACACACACACACACACACACACACACACACACACACACAAATAAAATAAAATTAGCAGGGAGTTGTGGCAGATGCCTGTAGTCCCAGTTACTGGGGAGGGTAAGACAGGAGAACTGTCTGAACCCAGGAAGCGGAGGTTGCAGTGAGCTAAGATTGCACCACTGCACTCCAGCCTAGGTGACAGATTGAAACTCCGTCTCAAAAAAAAAAAAAAAAAGAGACGTGGGCTCACTCTGTCACTCAGGCTAGGGTGCAGTGGTGCGATCACAGCACACTGCAGTCTGGAACTCCTGGTCTCAGGTGATCCTTCCACCTTGGCCTCCCAAACTGCTAAGATTACAGGCGTGCACCACCATGCCGAGCCTAAAATTTTAATTTCATCCATTTCCCACAAGAAGGAAAGTATAAATGGAGGTACCGGATATTCAGATCTTATTTATATGTCACAAAAATCCCACTTAACCCTCATTTATCAATAAGATAGTGAATTATTTTTGTTCTTTCAACTGCCAGTTTAAAAACAAAATCTAGAGTGTATATTATATTCTACCTTTCTATTTAAAGTAGTAAACATTTTTCCATATCATAATTTCAATATAACTTTTAATGGCTTGATATACTTTGTGCATGAATATATCATAGATTTAAATAATGTCCTTTTTCTGGGCACTTGGGTTAAGTATTTAGCTATTATAAATAATGCTGAAATGAACATCCTTGTATGTAAGTTTTATACACATCTCTGATTCCTTTTTCCTCCTTTTTTGTGGAGAATGGGGTCTCACTATGTTGTCTAGGCAGATCTTGAACTCCTGACCTCAAGCTATCCTCCCACCTCTGCCTCCCTAAGTGTTGGGATTACAGGAGTGAACCACTATGCCCGGCTCACATCTCTAATTCTTTTTATTAAGTTATTAGACATGCACTTACTGGGTTAAATTGCACGAACACTTTTTTCTTAGTCCACTTATCAAGGACTTTCTTAGTCCACTTTATTGTATTTACAAACAATCTACAAATTTTATGTGTAGTCACCACAATCAAGATATACAACATTTCCATAATCTCCAAGAGTTTCTTCATGCCTCCTTATGGCCAATGCCCTTTTTGACCCCCAACCCATCATAACCACTGATTCTGCTGTCATTCTAGTGTTGCCTTTCTAGAAATGCATATAAGTGGAATCATGCAGCATGTGGTTTTTTGTGTCTGGCTTCTCTCACTTAGCATACTACCATTGAGATTAAGCTGTGGTGTGTATTGGCAGTCTGTTCCTTTTTATTATTATTATTGAGATGGAGTTTTGCTCTGTTGCCCAGGCTGGAGTGCAGTGGCAAGATCTTAGCTCACTGCAACCTCTGCCAACCAGGTTCAAGCAATTCTCCTCCCTCAGCCTCTGGGGTAGCCAGGATTACAGGAATGCACCACCACACCCAGCTCATTTTTGTATTTTTAGTAGAGACGGGGTTTCGCCATGTTGGTCAGGCTGGTCTTGAACCCCTGACCTCAGGTAATCCACCTGCCTCAGCCTCCCAAAGTGTTGGGATTACAGGCATAAGCCAGAGAACCCGGCCAGTCTGTTCCTTTTTATTGCTGAGTAGTATTTCATTTTGTTAGCCACTCTTCAGCTGATGAATGTTTAAGTTGTTCCCAATTTTTGCCTGTTATAGATAAAGCAGCTATGAACATTCATATACAAGTCTGTGTAGAACATGAGCTTAATTTCCTTTGGGTAAACAATAGTGAGGAGCAAACTAATAGGTTATATGGTAAATATTTAATTCTAGAAGAAACTGCCAAACTGTTTTCCAAAGTGGCTGTACCAGTTTGCTCTAGTTGCTGTGCATCTTCAACACCACTTAGTATTGTCTTTTTAATCTCATTGATATGTAGTGGTGTCTCAATGTGACTTTAATTAGTGTTAGTTAATTCAATCATATTAATCTTCAATTAATAACTTACAGCATGATCTTTGCTGTAAAGATAATGAGCATCTTTTCATGTTTAAACATTTCAATGTCTTATTGGACATTTGTTTATCTTAGTTTGTGAAGTAACTGTTCAAATCAAGTGGAGGGTCTGAGGGACTTGGGGGCTGATCAAAGAAAAAGATATGAAGCAGTAATAACACACGGCAAGCTTTATTGAATGGTTCTTGGACAACCATGCATGAGAGAGGAAGTCCTTCACAGCATGAGACTTTCTGGATGCTAACAATGAGGGGCCTACCCTCCAGCAGGAGAGGGAGGGTATGGGAACTCCTTGGGAGAAGAGGAAAATCAGAGAGGGAGTTTACATGCCCAGGTGATAACACTCCACTAGCACGGCAAGGGAGTCTCTGGATCAGAGAACATTGAAGGACAGAAGCAGCAGTGATTTGGGTCCTGGAGCTTATCCTACATTTGGCTAGCAGGCGTGGAGTGATTTCATGGGTTATACCAAGCAGGCAGGTTCTAAAGTGCTGAAAATCTAGTTTGGGCTTAAAAAAAAATTAGATTTGTAAAAAAATTGACTTTGGCACTGGTAGACTTTCGAACTAATAAGTCTCAGCCTGCAGTGCTGAAATAAACAACCTAGAAGCCAAAACATCCAGGCCATCTTTGGCTCACTTATATAAGAAAGGTTTTGCTCATATTTTTAATTAGTTTGTCTGTTTTATTACTGAGTTGTAAGAGTTCTTTATATATCCTGGAGATGAATCCTTCATCAGATGTCTTGCAAATATTTTCTTCCTTTTGTGTAGCTTGCTTTTCATTTTCTTAACTGTATTTTGATAAGGAAAAGTTTTTAATTTTGATGAAGTCTAATTTATCAATTTTTTTCTTTTATGCTTCCTACTTTTTATGTATTATCTAAGAAATTTTTGCATCAACTGGGGGGTGGAGCCAAGATGGCCGAATAGGATCAGCTCCAGTCTACAGCTCCCAGCGTGAGCGATGCAGAAGATGGGTGATTTCTGCATTTCCAACTGAGGTACCGGTTTCATCTCACTGGGGAGTGCCAGACAGTGGGTGCAGGACAGTAGGTGCAATGCACTGTGCGTGAGCTGAAGCAGGGCAAGGCATCGCCTCACCTGGGAAGCACAAGGGGTCAGGGAATTCCCTTTCCTAGTCAAAGAAAGGGGTGACAGATGGCAACTGGAAAATCGGGTCACTCCCACCCTAATACTGCGCTCTTCCGATGGGCTTAACAAACGGCACACCAGGAGATTATATCCCGCACATGGCTCAGAGGGTCCTACGCCCATGGAGCCTTGCTCATTGCTAGCACAGCAGTCTGAGATCAAACTGCAAGGCAGCAGCGAGGCTGGGGAAGGGGCGCCCACCATTGCCCAGGCTTGAGCAGGTAAACAAAGCAGCTGGGAAGCTCGAACTGGGTGGAGCCCACCACAGCTCAAGGAGGCCTGCCTGACTCTTTAGGCTCCACCTCTAGGGGCAGGGCACAGACAAACAAAAGACAGCAATAACCTCTGCAGACTTAAATGTCCCTGTCTGACAGCTTTGAAGAGAGTAGTGGTTCTCCCAGCACGCAGCTTGAGATCTAAGAACGGGCAGACTGCCTCCTCAAGTGGGTCCCTAACCACTGAGTAGCCTAACTGGGAGGCACCCCCCAGTAGGGGCGGACTGACACCTCACACGGCCGGGTACTCGTCTGAGACAAAACTTCCAGAGGAACGATCAGGCAGCAGCATTTGTGGTTCACCCATATCCGCTGTTCTGCAGCCACCGCTGCTGACACCCAGGAAAACAGGGTCTGGGGTGGACCTCCAGTAAACTCCAACAGACCTGCAGCTGAGGGTCCTGACTGTTAGAAGGAAAACTAACAAACAGAAAGGACATCTACACCAAAAACCCATCTGTATGTCACCATCATCAAAGACCACAGGTAGATAAAACCACAAAGATGGGGAAAAAACAGAGCAGAAAAACTGGAAACTCTAAAAATCAGAGTGCCTCTCCTCCTCCAAAGAAACGCAGCTCCTCACCAGCAAACGGAACAAAGATGGATGGAGAATGACTTTCACAAGTTGAGGGAAGAAGGCTTCAGAAGATCGAACTACTCCGACCTAAAGGAGGAAGTTCGAACCAATGGCAAAGAAGTTAAAAACTTTGAAAAAAAACTAGACGAATGCATAACTAGAATAACCAATGCAGAGAAGTCCTAAAAGGACCTGAGCTGAAAACCATGTCACGAGAACTACATGACGAACGCACAAGCCTCAGTAACTGATGTGATCAACTGGAAGAAAGGGTATCAGCGGTGGAAGATGAAATGAATGAAATGAAGCGTGAAGAGAAGTTTAGAGAAAAAAGAATAAAAAGAAACGAACAAAGCCTCCAAGAAATATGGGACTATGTGAAAAGACCAAATCTACGTCTAATTGGTGTACCTGAAAGTGACGGGGAGAATGGAGCCAAGTTGGAAAACACTCTGCAGGATATTATCCAGGAGAACTTCCCCAATCTGGCAAGGCAGGCCAACATTCAGGAAATACAGAGAACACCACAAAGATACTCCTCAAGAAGAGCAACTCCAAGACACATAATTGTCAGATTCACTGAAGTTGAAATGAAGGAAAAAATGTTAAGGGTAGCCAGAGAGAAAGGTCGGGTTACCCACAAAGGGAAGCACATCAGACTAACAGCTGATCTCTCAGCAGAAACTCTATAAGCCAGAAGAGACTGGGGGTCAATATTCAACATTCTTAAAGGAAAGAATTTTCAACCCAGAATTTCATATCCAGCCAAACTAAGCTTCATAAGTGAAGGAGAAATAAAATACTTTACAGACAAGCAAATGCTGAGAGATTTTGTCACCACCAGGCCTGCCCTAAAAGAGCTCCTGAAGGAAGCACTAAACATGGAAAGGAACAACTGGTACCAGCCACTGCAAAAACATGCCAAATTGTAAAGACCATCAAGGCTAGGAAGAAACTGCATCAACTAATCAGCAAAATAACCAGCTAACATCATAGTGACAGGATCAAATTCACACATAACAATACTAACCTTAAATGTAAATGCGCTAAATGCTCCAATTAAAAGGCACAGACTGGCAAACCGGATAAAGAGTCAAGACCCAGCAGTGTGCTGTATTCAGGAAACCCATTTCACGTGCAGAGACACACATAGGCTCAAAATAAAGGGATGGAGGAAGATCTACCAAGTAAATGGAAAACAAAAAAAGGCAGGGGTTGCAATCTTAATCTCGGACAAAACAGACTTTAAATCAACAAAGATCAAAAGAGACAAAGAAGGCCATTACATAATGGTAAAGGGATCAATTCAACAAGAAGAACTAAGTATCCTAAATATATATGCACCCAATACAGGAGCATCCAGATTCATAAAGCAAGTCCTTAGTGACCTACAAAGAGACTTAGACTCCCACACAATAATAATGGGAGACTTTAACACCCCACTGTCAACATTAGACAGATCAATGAGACAGAAAGTCAACAAGGATACCCAGGAATTGAACTCAGCTCTGCACCAAGCAGACCTAATAGACATCTACAGAACTCTCCATCCCAAATCAACAGAATATACATTCTTTTCAGTACCACACCACACCTATTCCAAAATTGACCACATAGTTGGAAGTAAAGCACTCCTCAGCAAATGTAAAAGAACAGAAATTATAACAAACTGTCTCTCAGACCACAGTGCAATCAAACTAGAACTCGGGATTAAGAAAGTCACTCAAAACGGCTGAACTACATGAAAACTGAACACCCTGCTCCTGAATGACTACTGGGTACATAACGAAATGAAGGCAGAAATAAAGATGTTCTTTGAAACCAACGAGAATAAAGACACAACATACCAGAATCTCTGGGACACATTCAAAGCAGTGTGTAGAGGGAAATTTATAGCACTAAATGCCCACAAGAGAAAGCAGGAAAGATCTAAAATTGACACCCTAACATCACAATTAAAAGACCTAGAGAAGCAAGAGCAAACACATTCAAAAGCTAGCAGAAGGCAAGAAATAACTAAGATCAGAGCAGAACTGAAGGAAATAGAGACACAAAAAACCCTTCAAAAAATCAATGAATCCAGGGGCTGGTTTTTTGAAAAGATCAACAAAATTGATAGACCGCTAGCAAGACTAATAAAGAAGAAAGGAGAGAAGAATCAAATAGATGCAATAAAAAATTACAAAGGGGGGAAATGATCCCACAGAAATACAAACTACCATCAGAGAATACTATAAACACCTCTACGCAAATAAACTAGAAAATCTAGAAGAAATGGATAAATTCCTTGACACATACACTCTCCCAAGACTAAACCAGGAAGAAGTTGAATCTCTGAATAGACGAATAACAGGCTCTGAAATTGAGGCAATAATTAATAGCTTACCAACCAAAAAAAGTCCAGGACCAGATGGATTCACCGCCAAATTCTACCAGAGGTACAAGGAGGAGCTGGTACCATTCCTTCTGAAACTATTCCAATCAATAGTAAAAGAGGAAATCCTCCCTAACTCATTTTATGAGGCCAGCATCATCCTGATACCAAAGGCTGACGGAGACACAACCAAAAAAGAGAATTTTAGACCAATATCCCTGATGAACATTGATGCAAAAATCCTCAATAAAATACTGGCAAGCCAAATCCAGCAGCACATCAAAAAGCTTATCCATCATGATCAAGTGGGCTTCATCCCTGGGATGCAAGGCTGGTTCAACATACGAAAATCAATAAACGTAATCCAGCATATAAACAGAACCAAAGACAAAACCACATGATTATCTCAATAGATGCAGAAAAGGCATTTGACAAAATTCAACAGCCCTTCATGCTAAAAACTCTCAATAAATTAGGTATTGATGGGACGTATCTCAAAATAATAAGAGCTATCTATGAGAAACCCACAGCCAATATCATACTGAATGGGCAAAAACTGGAAGCATTCCCTTTGAAAACTGGCACAAGACAGGGATGCCCTCTCTCACCACTCCTATTCAACATAGTGTTGGAAGTTCTGGCGAGGGCAATCAGGCAGGAGAAGGAAATAAAGGGCATTCAATTAGGAAAAGAGGAAGTCAAATTGTCCCTGTTTGCAGATGACATGATTGTGTATCTAGAAAACCCCATCGTCTCAGCCCAAAATCTCCTTAAGCTGATAAGCAACTTCAGCAAAGTCTCAGGATACAAAATCAATGTGCAAAAATCACAAGCATTCTTATACACCAATAACAGACAAACAGAGAGCCAAACCATGAGTGAACTCCCAATCACAATTGCTTCAAAGAGAATAAAATACCTAGGAATCCAACTTACAAGGGATGTGAAGGACCTCTTCAAGGAGAACTACAAACCACTGCTCAGTGAAATAAAAGAGGATACAAACAAATGGAAGGACATTCCATGCTCATGGGTAGGAAGAATCAATATCGTGAAAATGGCCATACTGCCCAAGGTAATTTATAGATTCAATGCCATCCCCATCAAAATACCAATGACTTTCTTCACAGAATTGGAAAAAACTACTTTAAAATTCATAAAATTCATATGGAACCAAAAAAGAGCCCGCATTGCCAAGTCAATCCTAAGCCAAAAGAACAAAGCTGGAGGTATCATGCTACCTGACTTCAAACTATATTACAAGGCTACAGTAACCAAAACAGCATGGTACTGGTACCAAAACAGAGATATAAACCAATGGAACAGAACAGAGCCCTCAGAAATAACACCACACATCTACAACCATCTGATCTTTGACAAACCTGACAAAATCAAGAAATGGGGAAAGGATTCCCTATTTAATAAATGGTGCTGGGAAAACTGGCTAGCCATATGTAGAAAGCTGAAACTGGATCCCTTCCTTACATCTTATACAAAAATTAATTCAAGATGGATTAAAGACTTACATGTTAGACCTAAAACCATAAAAACCCTAGAAGAAAACCTAGGCAATACCATTCAGGACATAGGCATGGGCAAGGACTTCATGTCTAAAACACCAAAAGCAATGGCATCAAAAGCCAAAATTGACAAATGAGATCTAATTAAACTAAAGAGCTTCTGCACAGCAAAAGAAACCACCATCAGAGTGAACAGGCAACCTACAGAATGGGAGAAAATTTTTGCAACCTACTCATCTGACAAAGGGCTAATATCCAGAACCTACAAAGAACTCAAACAAATTTACAAGAAAAAAGCAAACAACCCCATCAAAAAGTGGCCGAAGGATATGAACAGACACTTCTCAAAAGAAGACATTTATGCAGCCAAAAAACACATGAAAAAATGCTCACCATCACTGGCCATCAGAGAAATGCAAATCAAAACCACAATGAGATACCATCTCACACCAGTTAGAATGGCAATCATTAAAAAGTCAGGAAACAACAGGTGCTGAAGAGGATGTGGAGAAATAGGAACACTTTTACACTGTTGGTGGGACCGTAAAGTAGTTCAACCATTGTGGAAGTCAGTGTGGCGATTCCTCAGGGATCTAGAACTAGAAATACCATTTGACCCAACCATCCCATTACTGGGTACATAGGATTATAAATCATGCTGCTATAAAGACACATGCACATGTATGTTTATTGCGGCACTATTCACAATAGCAAAGACTTGGAACCAAGCCAAATGTCCAACAATGATAGACTGGATTAAGAAAATGTGGCACATATACACCATGGAATACTATGCAGCCATAAAAAATGATGAGTTCATGTCCTTTGTAAGGACATGGATGAAGCTGGAAACCATCATTCTCAGCAAACTATTGCAAGGACAAAAAACCAAACACCACATGTTCTCACTCATAGGTGGGAATAGAACAATAAGAACACATGGACACAGGAAGAGGAACATCACACACCGGGGACTGTTGTGAGGTGGGGGAGGGGGAAGGGATAGCATTAGGAGATATACCTAATGCTAAATGACAAGTTAATGGGTGCAGCACACCAACATGGCACAGGTATACATATGTAACAAAGCTGCAAGTTGTGCACATGTACCCTAAAACTTAAAGTATAATAATAATAAGAAAAAAAGAAATTTTTGCGTCAACCAAGACCTCAAAGATTTTTCTCCTATTTTCTTCTAAAGTTTTATGGTTTTAGTTCTTATGTTTAGGTTTATGAGTAATTTCAACTCCATCTTTGAATACAGTATGAGGCATGGAACAAGACTCATCTTTTTGCATATGGATATCCAACTGTTCCAGCACCATTCCTGGCTCATAACTCCCATATCCCTTGTTATAGTCTTTTGTTATAATGTTGGGATGCTTTAGACCTCAGAAGAAAACAGATTCTTCAGGAAACAGAATCTCTCTCTGACCTTCCTTCCCCTGCCCTCCTTCCACCAGCCCAAGGCAGGACTCTAATCTCCCCCTACTTTTCTGATTGTAGGTCATAAGACCCTCATTTCAGAAGGGTACTGCCCCATACCCTGGAAGAAAAAAAAATGCTGCCAGAGAGCCCAAGAATCTGAACTGTCCAGCCTTACTGGGTTTCCTCATTCAGTAATAGTAATGAATAGTATGATCTTATTAGTATTAGATCATACTCTTTTTATCCATTCATATTTCCACACAGTCCTCATCATGCCTAACCAACGAAGTCTCCATAGAAGACCCAAGAGGACAGAGTGTGGGGAGCTTCCAGATATCTGAACATGTGAAGTTTCCTGGAGGGTGTGTGCCTGGGGAGGGCATGGAAGCTCTTCACCCCTTCCTCCATACCTCGCCCCATGTATCTCTTCATGTGTATTTTTTTTTTGTAATATCCTTTAAACCAGCATACATGTTCTGTGAGCCACGCTAGCAAATTAATTGAACCCAAACAGGGGGTCATGGGAACCCTATCTTGAACATGGTTGGTCAGATGTTCTGGAGGCCCAGACTTGCAACTGGCATCTGAAGGGTGGTGGCAGTCTTGTGGGACTGAGCCCTCAATCTGAGGCTATCTCCAGGTAGATAGTGTCGGAATTGAATTGGAAGACACCCAGCTGGTGCCTGCTGCAGAACTGCTTGCTTGTCTGGTGTGTAGGGGAAAAATCTCCACACATTTGGTAACAGACATCTTCTCTGTGTTGATGATTGTGTGGTGTGAGACCAGAGGAAAAAGTTCCTTTTTCCACACCTATTGTTTTACATAGCATAAATTTATAAATTTGATTATTTTAACCAAATTCCACTGTCTTGATTACTGTGGTTTTAAATTGTTAAAACCAGGAAATGTAAGTCCTCCAACTTTCTTGTCTTGACTACCCTAGAGCCCTTGCATTTCCATATATATTTTAGGATCAGCCACTTTGGGTTTTTTATTTTTTAAAAAAGCTACCTGGTATTTTGATTGGGATTGCTTTGAGTCTATAGATCCATTTGAAGAGTTGAAATTTTAACAACATTGAGTCTTCCAATCCACGAACATGGTATCTTTCTCACAACTTATGTATTCTTTAAATTTCTCAGCAATGTTTTGTAGTTTCAGTGTACAGGTCTTACACATATTTGTTATATGTATCCCTAGGTATTTCATGTTTTCTGGTGCTATTTAAATGGTTTTGTGGCTGAGCACAGTAGCTCATGCCTGTAATCCCAGCACTTCGGGAGGCTAACCAGGCAGGTCACTTGAGGTCAGGAGTTCAAGACCAGCCTGGCCAACGTGGTGAAACCCTGTCTCTACTAAAAGTAAAAAATAACTGGATGTGGTGGTGTGCACCTGTAATCCCAGCTACTGGGGAGGCCGAAGCACAGGAATCACTTGAACCTAGGAGGCAGAGGTTGCAGGGAGCCGAGATTGCACCACCGCACTGCAGCCTGGGGCGACAGAGCGAGACTGTCTCAATCAATCAATCAATCAACCAATGGATTTTTTTAACTTCAATTTACAAATGTTTATTGCTAGGATATAAGCATTTTTAAGGATCTTGATGAATAACTGTACTTTATAATGGCCATACCAATTTACATATCCAACAAAATATGAGATTGCCTGTTTGACCATACTTCTGTAACTGATCTCATTTAAAAATTTGTTCCAAGTGAGGCAGACTGAAAAAATGGTTCTTTCAGTTTACTTTGAGAATTATAATCTTCTCTTCTTGGAGTGAGGGAGTATTGTTTGACCTCCAGCACAGAAAGTATGATGAATATGTCTTGGTTCACAGCACGTTATCATCATTGGCTTCTCATTTTATTCAGTTTATTTTAACTCATTCTCCATTATCCTCTCCCTTTCTTCTTTCATGGGCAACATTTACCTTGCCCTTTAGGTATTCATTCCAACGTGTTTTACATACCTTTTTGAACATTTCTAGATTCCACTTTTTATTTTCATGGAACACTGTACTTCTCAAACATTATGCATGGTAGATATATGTAGTCTTTTGCTTCTATCTGATGCATAGCACATTACTCTCCCCTTATGGGATACATTCCAAGACCCTCAGTGCGTGTCTGAAACAAGGATAGTACTGAACCCTATAGATCCTGTTTTTTCAATCCAACTGAGATAGCTACTAAGTAACTAATGGACAAGTGTAAGATTTCATCACACGACTCAGAATGCTGCAAAATATAAAGCTTTTGAAATGTTTATTTCCAGAATTTTCCATTTAATATTTTCAAACTGCAGTTGGCCACAGGTAACTGAAACAGCAAAAATCGAGACTGTGAATAAGTGGGGACTACTGTACTACATGTGTGCATCCACCATATTTTACCTATGTATTCCTCCAGTGATGAAGAACCTCAGGTTGGATCTGAGACTCTGCCATGAAAAACAATGTGATGAACATCCTCACATTTCCTCCTTTAGAGACCTATGTAAGACTTGAGGCCATATACCCAGGAACAATTTAAGATCTATATTCATTTAATTAAATTCGGCCAGGCTGCTCTCCAGAACGGCTCCACCACTCTATATTCTCACCAGCAGTGTATGAGGGTTCCTAACCCCCATCCCCACCAATACTTGGCATCATCCATCTTTCTCATTTTTCTTAGTCTACTGGGGATAAAGAGATACTTTATTGTTGCTCTAATCTTAATTCCTCTAATTACTGAGTTTGAGCGTACCTTTTCATGTTGTTAGCCTATTGTATTTCCTCTTTGAAATAACACCTGTTCATAATCTTGGCATTTTTCTATTAGGGCTCTTGTGTTTGTTTTGTTTTGTTTTCATTTGAAAAACAAACAAAACTCCTTACTTATTGTAGATACTAGTTCCTTATCAGATTTAGACAAGCAAATTGTACCCATTATCAAACAAAAATTTTCCCCCAGTATTTGTTCCTGTTATCTGTCATGGCAAAACAAACCACCCACAACCTTAGAAGCTTAAAACAAACCATTTTATTTGGCTCATGATTTTATGGGGCAGAAATTGGGAAGGGTACCACTGGGCAATTTATCTGATTTACGTAACAACTAGGGCAGCTGGGGCTGGAGGATCCATTTTCAAAATGGCTTCTTCACTTAGTGTTCTTTGGCCTCTTCCTTGGTGCTCTTTTGCCTCTACACTTGATGTCGCATCCTCCAGGGCTTCTTCACTTGCCTTTGGGTTTCTCACGACATAGTGATTTCAGGGTGATTACATTTCTAACATAGTGGTCAGCTTCCAAAAGGCAGGAAACCAAACTTGTCAGGTGAAATAAGAGCAATACCTGGAACTGGAACTTCGCTTCTACCACATAGTCTTGGTCAAAACAGTCGAAGGATCCACTCAGATTCAAGGAAGTGAAAAGACTCCACCTTCTGATGACAGAGTGACATTGTCACAATAGAGAAGAATATGTAAAACCGGGAGACACAGTTGTGGCCACCTTTGGTAAACACAATCTGCCACATTATTTATTGCCATTTTTATTTTTCCTTTTGTGAATTGCCCAGCCATGGCTGTGTCCTTCCATTTTTTTCTATTGATTTATAAAACTATAGTACATACCTCAAATCTTTTGCACGGATAAAAATTCTTTTTTCCAAGTTTTAATTTAGAATTCTTCTACCTCAAGTAGAAGAATATAATAAGAGTGTGTTTCATTTACTTTATATGCTTCCTTTTAAAAATCTGTTAGGATGAAACAATTACAGAATCCTATGTGTCTAAAAAATTAATATGATATTATATATATAAAGCCATTTCTCAAATATTTTAAAATTAACTCCATTACATTACAAATTCAAATTCTATCAGAAAGTAATTATAGCAAATGGTACACAAAAGCTAAAAATCACTGTCTTCATTTTAACCCTCTACTACAATGGGCCCTTTTCTCCCCTTATAAACTACATATAATCAATACCTTTGGTTAATAATTAAAAAAAAAAAAGACACAAGTTGGCTACTCTTTTACTACAACTTTATTGAAAACATGGCTCTCCCTACCAAAAATGAATTCTCCTTAAAAACAATTTCAGGTCGGGTGCTCACGCCTGTGATCCCAGCACATTGGCAGGCTGAGGCAGGCGGAACGCCTGAGGTCTGAAGTTCGAGACCAGCCTGGCCAACATAGCGAAACCCCGTATCTACTAAAAATACAAAAATTAGCTAGGCATGGTGGTGGGTGCCTGTAATCCCAGCTACTTGGGAGGCTGAGGCAGGAGAATCACTTGAACCCAGGAGGTGGAGGTTGCAGTGAGCCAAGATCAATCACACCACTGCACTCCAGCCTGGGCAACAGAGTGAGACTCTGTCTCAAAACAAAAAAACAAAAAAAATTTTCAAATCCAGACACATACATTTATTTCTGAGTTAAGAAAACAAGAAAGTGGTTTACTAAATAAAAAAAATTTTTTTAGATTGGTAAACACATATAGAACTGCTTTATTCGATTCTTTTATGTGAATTCAAGGATTTCTCCTTATACTGTCCTAATAAAATTTTCACATTATATTTAGTGTTGGGCAAGAAGTGCTTTTCAGATTTCTTCTGAAACGGCCAAATCATGCATCTCTCTTCATTGTCTAAAGACTGTTAATAACAGAAAAAGAAGCTACAGCTATACATCCCTGGATTTTTTTGCAGGCCAAATTCTGGAACTTTGTGAATTTGGTTTAAGTAGCTAGCTCATTTTTTCCCAAAAAAGAAATTCAATATTTATAATATTTTAATTATAAAAATGAAATATGACAAGAATGACTTATTAAAATCATGTTATGAATAATTTAGGTGAAAATGGTTTTAAGTTGAAGCAAATAATTTGAAAAATAATCCAAAATAAACAAAAATGTCATTTAAATTCTGGAACCCCACAAAGGCACACTGAGAGAGAAAACTGAACAAAAAGAAAAATAAGGAAGGCAAAGGACAAAGCAAAATGATTATTTATGATTTTTTTTGAGGCTTTAAGATACAGAATCCTTTAACTGGTAGGACATATGCATACGATCTTGCTTTATTTCTAATGGAAATGAATATCTTTTAATCTACATTCAGCATTTTGAAGTAAGTGTTGGTTTGCTCTGTCCTACCCATAAAAATCATCCAATACTCTGACTTCAAAAACAAAGGGCCCAGCAGGGCAGAGATAATATATTCTGTCCTGGAAATACATGTAGGAAGAATCAAAAAATAAAATTCATCATTAATAAGCATAGAAGTTTTAAAAATACCACTCCTCTTTCTCTCAGAAACCTTACTATCCTGTCAGGGTGAGGGGTGAATATACATTCCATGTTTAAGAGTACTGGAATCTAAAACCAAACGTACCAAACTTAAGTGTACAAACTACAATCAACAATTCTTCTTTTTCAAATAATATTAATGAAAAATAAAGATCAAATTCGGAATGGGTGATTTTGTTGTTTTATATGCAGTTTTACCCTTACAAATGTTCACAAATGCAGAAATGCATTAATAAGAACTGCTTAGGGTCATGTGTGGTGGCTCATGCCTGTAATCTCAGCCCTTTGGGAGGCAGGAGGATCACTTGGGGCAAGAAGTTTGACACCAGCCTGGACAACATAGTGAAAAACTGTCTCAAAAAAAAAAAAAAAAAAATTAGCAAGGTGTGGTGGAGCATGCCTGTAGTTCTAGCAACTCAGGAGGCTGAGGCAGGAGGATAGCTTGAGCCTGGGAGTTTGAGGTTATAGTAAGCTATGATCACACCACTGCACTCCAGCCTGGGTGACAGAGTAAGACCCTGTCTCCGAAAAAATAAAGAACTGCTTACTTTCAGCAATGTGAATAGTTATATGCGGGAAAACAAGAGATTAGAAAGAACCTGAGTAAAGGCCCCAAACAGATACACTCTGTTCCCTTCTTGGAGTCTCCAAATTTTGGCTACAGTCTAAAGTGAAAATTTTTTTGGTCATGTTCCAAATTCTATTATTTGGAAACAAGTTTCCATTTCTTTTTTGAATGAACACAAGAATTAAAGGCTTTCATTTTATAACACCTTAGTCAAGAAAGTTACCCTTTGGTGTTATGCCTCATTGAAAACAGTTTCGTTGAAACTGTGCAAACCCTGGGTTTCAAAAAGACACCTTTTGACGTATCTATCCAATATGTAAACACAACCTTATGAATCATGTTCCAGAAAACATAAGTAGATTTTATCACATTTTTTTCTGAAACATCTACTGTTGCCTTTGTATATTACACAAAACATTTCACACCAGCATCAGAATTGGAGTGATAAGGATGGGAAACAGAGTACCAAATAAATGATTAAATACCAAAATTCTTGGACACAAAAACCTCACCACTTTGTAGAGAGATGTGACTACTGGCAAATGTCTGGAAGGGCTCTATGCAAATGCAGAGATGAGTTTACCTCTAAACTTAACAAAGTATGTACCTTTCCACTCTCAAAGTCCATTCAAAGCACCCTCTAATGAACTATTTGTTCTGTTTAACTCAAGCCAGAGGTAACTTGTCAATTAAAAATTCATGTATCTTCTTTCAAGGCAAATGGGCACTGTGGCTGTGGTTCATTCTAAATGATTCTACACATCTACAAAGTCTAGCCATCCGGTCTTCCTAAGATACAAAACCAATTCACCAGAACAATAGTATTTGACCACATCACCAAACAGTAACAAATATGGACAATATGGATCATTTAAAAATAAATTTCTCAATCTTTTTTATTCAATTGTCAAGTTAGTTAACATTCTAAGACACACTTAGGTCAGGTTAGAGGGAAGGAAATACTTTCCTGAGATCTGACTAGCAACCCAACAATATTAGCCTATCAATCCATACCTGAAATCAGTTTCAACAGAATCACATGTACATACCCAGCCAGCTTTGCTGCTTTCTCTACCATTACTATACATATATTTTTTGAGATGCAGTCTCACTCTGTTGCCCAGGTTGGAGGGGTGGAGTACAGTGAAGTGATCTTGGCTCACTGCCGCCTCCACCTCCCAGGTTCAAGCCGATTCTCCTGCCTCAGCCTCCAGAGTAGCCGGACTACAGGCACCTGCCACAACACCCAGCTAATTTTTTTTTTTTTTTTGAGACAGGGTCTCACTCTGTTGCCCAGGCTGGAGTGCAGTGGCACAATCTCCGTTCACTGATATCTCCACCTCCTGGGTTCAAGTGATTCTCCCACCTCAGCCTTCTGAGTAGCTGAGATTATAGGCGTATGCCACCACACCCAGCTAAGTTTTTTGTATTTTTAGTAGAGATGGGGTTTCACCATGTTGGCCAGGCTGGTCTCAAACTCCTGACCTCAAGTGATCCCCTGGCCTTGGCCTCCCTAAGTGTTGGGATTACAGGCGTGAGCCACCATGCCCGGCCCCATTACTATATTCTAAGCAAACCCAGACAATAGGGGAGTTATAAAAACCTCATTCATCACAAGACACAAAGGGCTTTTTAATGATATATGAAAGTGGTTTATTTAGTTTTTATATGCACTAAAATACCAAGAGAAATGGAATACAATTTTTACTCTCTCTATAAATCATTTCTGTCACGTGGTGGCCCCTAAAACTAAAACTTGATAGCTGATTTCCAAAACCACTGTTGTACCTTATTTCAAATCTCCCACCTTACCAAACTTGAATGAAAAAATGTTTTAGATACCAGTTCTACTTGTGGGAAAAAGCTTTTAAATACTGCCTGAAAAATGGCTTTTCATGACCAGTTAGATTTCAAAACTTACAGACAATACCATGGAAATAAGGCGGAATTTATGGAGCAGTACATTGTGGCAGAAACAATGAGGTCCAATTCGTGTAGACAGACAAAACAGGTACTGCCATTCTTGGCTATCTAGTGTTATCCTGAGATTGTGATACACGACATTACACATCAGTACACGGTGCTTCATTTAGCCTCAAATGTTGAAACAGTACCCAATATCAAAGATCAGGGTCCCAACATGCAGAGAAACTCTGAGCCAAGAGTAAGGTAACACAGCTCAAAGCAAACCTAATTTCCATAAATAAACTCAAACAACTTCACAGCACCAGGGAAGCCTGGGGGAGCTGGCTCCCTAGAACTAAAGGTACCTGCAACCCTGGTGCTCGTTTTAAATTCAGTTTTGCACACATATCTTTCTACAAGCAATTGCAAAGCTCCCAAGATTTAGGAACACATCCAAGTTAATAAGAAGGCATTTCACAAGTAGGAACTGCCTGACACTGCCTTTCAGCATTAGCAAACGAGGGGAAAGTTCACCACATGCAAGGGAAAGCCAACCACACGATCATGGACACGTTCATAACTCCTGCAACTGCTCACACCCCACACCAGACAGACAACACCCAGGACACTGCTGTACATCTTACAAAATTCCAGTTCTTGCTTAAATCCCACCAGACCCAAGAAAAAGAGCCCAGTCCAACCCCAAATAGGGCCATGAGTACCAACAGCCATATGGACAGAGCCAAATGCGCTAAGAACAGTGGAGGATGCAAGCTACAAACCACAACACAGAAAGCACAACCCCATATGCCTAGGCGCCGGCCACCCAGATATTTCAAAGGCAGAATGCCAGACGACCAAGGTCCGGCCGGCTGGGAACCCTCACCGACCCTGCAGCCGCTACAGGCCCCTTGACCGCTATAACGACGGCAAATCCCAATGTTAACCCATCAGGCTGCTTGCCCACCTTCCAGGAACACAACTAACAGGCCCTTGGCAACCTGGGGGGCTGTTGGTGGCCTTCTAACGGGACCGACAGCCCCCCAAACCCTCCGAAAGGCAGAAACCCTCAACTCCCTGCCTCGGCGGCGGCCATCACGGCAAGAAAGCAGGCTTTTACGACAACTCCCACAATGCCCGCGGCCTACAACTCCCAGTGTGCACCGGGCGCCGCCGCGGTTAACCCTGTAGTGGCGCCGGGCTGGCGAGCCCTGCACCCTTTCCCCTCCCAACGGCCAATTGTTGCACCTACTTTCACCCTTTCAATCTGAAAGTAACTTCGGAAATTTTCTCAAACACCTATAGTTACGCTATCTAGCCGCCTTCCCTTATCACACAAACAACCTCAACTGCTCAGAAAATTATCCTTGACAGAGAAACATTTGTTAATCTCTAGAGCACTCCTCATAGTGTCAAATGCTTCCCATTTGAAAAGGGGACACTTAACTTCAATTAATCTTCCCCTTCGACTTTATCATTTTCCAACATTTTTCTAAGTTATTATACTCCAGAGATTCGTGTACTCAACACTATTAATTTAAAATCTGTTTTCTAACTTCTGGGAAGCAACAAGAGAGAAAGACTATCCTATAACTGCCCACAATGTTCTACATCTCTCCATTTTATAAGACAAATTTCCTCCAATATATTGTCTCAAAAAAATTATGCGACTCCAAGTAAGTCCTAATAAGAAATATTAAATATGGGCAATATATTTTTTCAATTTGAAGTTAGTTTTTTTTAGGGGAAAACCTGGGTTGTGTCAATATACTTTGGTTTCCCTTTCACTCTCTTGATAGATAATCAGAAATATAATAATGCTGCTTTATTACTTTTTAATTTTAAAATGCCAACAAGCAACAAGTAAAGAAACATTTTAATAAAATTTGAAAAATAAACTAAGAGTTCATTCTTTCAGGAGACTGCACAATTACATATTTTATTCATAAATGAACTCCTTCAAGGTTTTTCTCATTTTAATTAAAAATAAGAGTTTAAAAACGCATTTCTTTGAAATAGTTTGCCCATAATTTCAGTAAAGATTAACAATCACGTTTAAAGAACACTGTATCATCAATGTAAGTTCAATATCCTGTTTGTACATACAGTACAAACTGTAACATGCCCAGACGTATAACTGAGAGATAAAATAATTGTTTAGTATTTGATGCATACACTAAGGCAACAACTAGAATTCTCCCAAATTATCTGCTATTTTTCTCACATCCAAATATAAAATGAAATGTACATAATGTCTGATTTTTCCACAGAAACAATTTGCCATTTGAAAGGGCACTCAAAATGTATCATGAATTTCAAATCACAAAACTCAGAAATCCTAATACACATGCAAAAACCTAAAGCCTTGTTGGAAAGATACGTATTTAGTAAGACTCTACGAAATTATATTTTAAATGTGCCCCTTACTATTACATTTAGCTTATTAGTACATTTTTTATCTAGTAAACTATGATGAGAAAATACTTCATCATTTACTTCTTCACTCCTGTACAATATGTAGTTTCCTAAACAATTAAGACAAATGCCATATACCAAGATATAAAAAATTATATATTCATATATATTTGGAATTTTAGTTTATTATACTACTTTAGCATCTGAACATTTCTAATTCTCACCTAACTCTTTAGTTAGTATTTTGCTAGGCAAAGCTCTGTTTTTTTCCCCTCTCTTTTTTAATAGCTACCAGGTTGTAACATTTTAAAGCGTATTTTATATATTATTCTCTTGATGTTAAAATACATGATGATTCATAAGAAAGGCTCAAAAACAAGTCAGAAATGAAACTGATCTCATATATTTATTACATGCTTACAACTCTCTTCTCAGTACTATAAGATTATATTTTCCATTAGGAGATTAGTCATTTTTTTTCTTTTAACGGTTCAAAATATAAGAGGTAAAAACTGATATATTAAAGGGCTTTACGTAAAAATTACATTAGAAATAATTTTATGATCTTTTCAGTTTACCCACATCATTCTTTTAAAAATAACTTAGAAGTTTAGTATATTTTAATTAAGTAATTTAAGTAGGTCTTAATCTATATACTTAATATTGATGTAAATGTCTTTATAAGAAGAAAATAAACGTATTCTAGAAATGAACTCTTCAAATTTATACCAAAAAATTTAGTAATTTCCCTCAAGTTTTTAGATTCTATTTCACCACATGAATTTTTAAAGTATATTTTTTTAAAACCCTAAACTTTATACTAAGATTTAAAAAATATTTATACGTAACAGTATTAATATGTTTAAAATTAGGAAACATTTTGTATACTTTTAAGAATATATATATGTTAATAGAAGACAAACATTGCAATCTATTTCTTTTCCCAAATGTGGCATTGGTGACAAAGCTAGAATGTGCAAATTTGCATATTTACAACAGATTCTATAATTTCTGAAACTACTTGTTTTATTCTTTTAATTTCATAAAATACTTCAAAGCATTTAAAATGTTTGTTTAGACAATTTAATTGCACTTGTAATCTGCTTTTAAAAATCTGATTTTCATGTATGTATTTTATACTGTTCATGGAAGTAAACTGCACTAATAGAATTATTGCCAAAAATAGAATGAGTTGCAAATATTCTAATATGCTTAAAAAGTTAGTCTGTCTCCTTTTCTTATGTTATCAACGTAACACAATTACCAAACACTGAAAAGAGTTCACACACAAAGTACAGGTTCTTGCCTGATTAAACAAATTATTTATATTTACATTCTGACCCTACAAAAAAATATTTTCCCAGCATGTGAGTATATACCAAAGTTTAAGTTTGCCTGTTACTGCACAAATCTTAATTAACTTTAATTCACGGGCCTGCTTTTAAAACAATGACCAGTCTTTCAAATTTATCAAAATAGTTTATCACATTAGTTTACATCTGTGTTTAGGAATATTTTAGATGTCTGAAAATTCTCTTGTTTTTGATTTTGCTAAATATTTTTTAAAACTCTGTGCCAGAATCATAACTTTTATTTTAATTTGGTTATGTCTTAAATATTTTTAAAAGATGGATCATGGGAATCCTCTTATTCAGGCTATGAGAAAGTGCAAAAAAAAAGGGGTCTATCTCATTTTTTCCCCAACAAATTAATCTTTTTTAAATGAAAAATTTCTAACTACTTTTGCTTTATTTAAATTAAAAATCCTGCTTTCTATCATCTTCATGATGTTTTACATCAGTTAAGATAAGCAAAGTTTTAGTACATGATACTTCTTTCGTCTAATTGAAATGCTCTTTTCAACCCATGGATAAACAATAGAAAACGTTTCCTTACCTAAAGAAGAAAAGTTTCACCTTTAAAAGAATATCCAAAAAAATCTTCAAATTTCTTCAGGAGATGAAATTTTTGCTATTTTCCTATAGAAATAAAAAAAAAACAAGTAAATGATTATGATTACTTCTGTTCTGTAAAAAATCATGATGGACATATAGATATTTGTATTTTTGAGTCCTAATTTTATGTAGCAAGTCTGAAATATAATTAAATTAAATTAATGCTGCAATTAAAAACCCCATTTTGAATTTTATCACAGATAGTAGTTTCTGATATACTTAGTTTTTCTGCATTTTACCCTGCCACTGACATATTTTGGGGGTCTTATTTATGACTCAATAGTTTTAATACTTTCAATATATTTAAATAATTAACTAGCCTTATCTATTTTAAAAATTTCCTAATACGTAACAATTCTTATTTTATATATAGTTTCTATAGTCTAAGCTTCAAATAAACATATGAAAGAAAAAAACCTAAACCCTAGAATTTCTAAGTTTCGAAAGGCCTTTCTATCTTCAAATCAATTTTCTCGAACAGAGATATTTAAAACCCTACATACTCTAAGATGGAAATGCTGAATACTCAATTTAGGCTGAATTTTTAAAAACGATTATACTGCTTCTCCTTCTCCCTCTTTCTGCCCACAATTGTCTCTCCTTTTTAATGCAGGTTTACATTCATGAACTCACATGCCTCCTCTCCAAAGAAAAATTATTTTCTGCTTAGAAAATTTTACGATTTCTTACATATTCCCTTCATTCCCCATAAGGATCTACTACTTCAAACTTTAGAGGGGGGGAATGAGAATTAATTGTGCTGCTTTCCCCCCTCCCCACAGTGTTTTTCCTACACCAGTTTTCTAATTATTTCTTCTATGAATCCACCATTCCCCACTTTTTTTTTTAACAGACCAATAAAATGCCTAACATTCTTCTCCCCAGCATTTGCGGGCATATTCTGATTTTATTTTTGTTTTCATGTTTACTCACAGTTTAGTTAAGCTTATCTCTCCATACTCCAAACATAACCAATTTTCACTCCCTACTAGGTACTTGTGGACTTGCAATTTGCCAGACCCTGGCAATTTCTTGTTCTTCACCAGGGCATCCCGCTTAGGGTTCTCATACAGGTGAATAAAGTTGGAGAGCACAGCTGAGTGAGAACCACAAGAAAGAATGCCAACCGCAGACACCACCCCTCATTTCACGAAAAGTATCTTGCTCAGAACTGACCCTGGTGCTTCACAGCAACATAGAACGTATAAAATTCCTACGCACAGACACTAAAAAATTGCTTTCCCTTATGCCATTCTTGGCAACCTTTGGTTTCCTAAGCTAGTTTTTTTTTCTTTTTCTCTTTTTTTTCCCCTGAAGGATGTGACTTTTGTGGTACAAGTTTGCAAGTACTAAGCAGAGGTTCCTTCTATGGATAGAAGAGATGTCAACTCACAAGCCCAAGCAATTTCTAGGGCAGAAGCAACAGGACCTACTGTCTCCACCCAGACTAAAGGCTTGAGTGCTCCCTCTCATTTTGCCTTGTCAAAATGAGGGATTGTAACTAGGCTGTGCCTCAGTTTCTTCATCTCTAACTTGATTCCATTACCCAGCACAACAAGCAGATACTGAAGTGGGAGCAGCCAAGGGAAGCAGAACCAAAAGGCAAAAAGAAGAAAGACCTAAACTAAGATAGTATTCAGCCCTCAGCTCTACTCGTTTTCCTGAAGCCTTTCTCCCAGCAAGGTGGGCGGGCTGTGCTGTTAGGCAAGGTTGAAGCGTCCAATATGGAGAGCCTCTAATATCTCCACACCTTACAAAAGTGCAGATGAGAAAAAAGTGCAATGTTTTCCTTTTTAAATTAAAAACAATGACAAACTCAAAGCTTCTTTCTGAAGTACTTAAAGATGTGGTAGGTAAATAATGCTTTTTATAAAAAATAAAACACAAGTGGGTACAGAGCCATAAAAATCTTATCTTTGATTCACCCTCAGGGCTGTTGGCTTATTTTTCTCCAGGTAAACAGACACACTAGAGATGTGGACTTTCACAAGTGTCCTTATTCAGACCCGACACTATTGGAACTGGGGAGCTAGCACAGTGGGGAGCCCTTAAATCTTCGGGAAGACTCCCTCCAACCCAACCCTGTCTCGGGAAACTGTCAAGGAATGTAGCAAAGCATTTTTAGTGTTCTGAAAGAGGACTTCAGTCCCCTTCCCTGCTCAGAACTCCATGCCAAATTAATCTGACTCATTAGTCCTATTGAGACACACTGTTATTTAAAAGAAAGCATTAGGCATAAACTTATTTATAAGTAATTATTTAAAACACCACGATATATTAATCTTAAAAGAGTAAGGGATTAACATAAACTGCTTACTAGGTTCAACACTAGATGCAAATAGATCCTTCCTTTGCTGGAACCATCAATGCTGCCAAGCTCTCCCCCAAACTTCCCTTTCCGTTTAAGAAAACCAAGTTCCTAGAAATAATAAAATAAGAGTTTTCTTTTTCATCAACTTTTAAACATTAGCTACAAATCCATTCAAAAACTGTTTAGCATAAAATTAGATTATCTCTTTGCCCTTTCTGCCTCTTTCCCTTCCTCTTTTAATTAATTTGGGAAAATTCACTGCCTTACCCACTCTACTTTCCTACCTGGACATCACTCTAAAACTGAAGGAATGTCCGCTTTCCCTTCATCCTAACATGAAATCTCTCTTTAAACACACCACAAACTTCCCTGATTTCACTGTACTGAAATCCTGGCCAGATTTCACCAAACTCTATTCTCATAGAAAAGTAAAATGTAAAATGAGGGGGTTGTACCAGACAATCTCCAAGGTCCCATTTAGCACGAACATTCTATATGTGTCTATGATGATCCAGAGAAACTGGAATATCGCCATATAAGCACCCGAATTTGGACTTCATTTCTATATGTGTTACTGCTGCCTCTCTCAGTCTGCTTTCCCTCCCCCTCCCAGACACTGATGGTTTATTTAACAAAGCCCTCACTGAAAATCTGCATTCTGACAAATGCCACAGAGGCAGATCTACCCTTGACTCCACCAGAGAGCCTTCAAGTGCACAGAGGGCCATGGTAATAATTTGCTAATTATTACTCACTGGCTTGCCTAATGTTAACCACCTAAATATAACCCCTCCCCATCCACAATGGTATTTACATATCACTTTTTCTCTTACACATTATTGAAATTTCATAGCTTTAAAAACAGCCTGAAAAATACATGCACCTTCCTAGCTCATGGACACTGTGTTTCTATGAACTTGTTGCTGAATTACAAATTAACACACATTTTTCTGAACGAACAGTCTCCTATTAACTTTGCGTCTTCAACATAATTATTTCTTTCTCTAAAAAACCATTCTGTATCACTGATGATAACCCCATCCTTTCCATTAAGACCATGACAATCACTAGCACCTGTTTCTGACCCAATAGAGGATCTGTTAATACTACTGTAGCACATTCTTCTAAGAAAAACAATAGTGTCAGCCAGGCACGGTGGCTCACACCTGTAATCCCAGCACTTTGGGAGGCCAAGGCCTGCGGATCACCTGAGGTCAGGAGTTCGAGACCAGCCTGACCAACATGGTGAAATACCAGCTCTACTAAAAATACAAAAATTAGCTGGGCATGGTGGTGCATGCTTATAATCCCAGCTACTTGGGAGGCTGAGGCAGGAGAATCGCTGGAACCTGGGAGACAGAGGTTGCAGTGAGCCAAGATTGTGCCACTGCACTCCAGCCTGGGTGACAGAGGAAGACTCCGTCTCAAAAAAAAAAAAAAAAAAAAAGGAAAAACACCAGTGTCCACTTATCCAGTCACTACCATCATCAGTCTCACCCTCATTAGCTTTCACATTTACTGAGAGCTTTCTAGGTGATAGGCACTGTTCTAAGCACTGCATATTTAATACTACAACTTTATAATGCAGATCCTATTATCATCCTCATTTTATAGACAAGAAAATTGAGGTAAACAAAGGTTAAGCCATTTGCTCAACCTATATACTTAATGAGATCCAAGTTTGAACGGCATACATTTTGGGTACAGAGCTTGCCCACTTAATCACAATGATACACACTGCCTCCCAGATGAGGTGATTTCCATGTGCCCCTCCATCTCGAAAATTCTCTGATTATCGAGCACTTGATTACCTCAGAATGTCTTATCTCCTAATTGATGAATTAGGCATATTACGAATATCTTCAAAGCATGATGTAGGTTGAAAAAATTAAACAAACAAACAAAAAGAATATCTATAGAGTTGTGAAGATTAAAAAAATTTAATGTAAAGCACTCAAAACAGTTCCTGACACAGTAAAAATCTGAAGAAATGTCAGCAATTATTATTTAATCGGAGTCTCTTAATTTGCAGATGCAGACACTGAGGTCAGTAGTCAGCTAGCAAAAAAAAAAAATAGATCTGGACCCAGATGTAATATATCCTATTTCTGTTTTTTGGTTTTTTTAAAGAAGACCATTTATTCATGTAATGGTAACTCCAGAGATATGCCTAAATTTTAAGAATTTAATATATCCTCTATCTCATGTTTCTTAGTCCAGGACCTTAACTGTTGAACTACGCTCCTTCTTCTTTTGCTAAAAGGCAAACTCCAAGGAATCAAGAACTCTGGATTCGCTTGTCCTTTCCTCCTAGGACACAGCCCAGCTTTGCTACCAGTAAATCAACAGCAGCAGCAGTTTTGGAAGAGCAAGCCTACTAAAGGCTTCCGGTCTACTAAAACCATCTCCATGTTGAGAACAGGGTCAAATGGTAAGTTTAATACGGTGCAACATAGTTCTCACTAGAGGCTTGCTACTTTAAAATGAGCCCATTTAAAATTTATTATTTGAAAAATAAATAGGCATTCAGAGGGAAAGCTGTCCTTTCCTGTTTAAACAAAAGTGGGACTTTCAAGGGTTATATGGGTAATACTTATATTTTTAATATTTGGGCATGTACCTGTGTACAGCAAATAATCAAAAGACCTAAAGTCAACACCATTGAAGCTTGGCTCTGTATCCCCAGAATACTACATAGAAACAAGCCCTTCCCTATTTGAGGTATATTTCCTTTCTGTATCCTCATGGCAATACATAAACACACACATTTTGTGATAAACAAATGCTATCCCAACATATCCAAAAAGCATTGCATTACCTGGGTAGAACATAGCTACTATAGTCATAACTATTCAGAAGACAAAAGAAGCATTTTTAAGAAGCACATTAATCTGGTAATTCCAAAGATCATTCAAATCAAATCATCTTGGTATAGTTTATGTTTTCAAAACTTGTCTCATCCTCTTCAGACTTTCAGTTACTTTATACCATGATACTGGCTACTCTAACTTCTCTTTCAAGTTCCCATGCATGAGTCCAAGGTCCTCAAACCCTTTTGTGTTTGTAACTATCTTCAAGGTGCTCTCCTCCAACCCCTGGGTTCAGAACCCCAAACATTTCAGCACTTAGCTGAACAACTGATAATAAGATGTAATATGTAAATAAAAATTATTTTGTTTTCATTTTTTATGTCTCCTGTGCTTTTCTACAAACTCAATTCTATAATTTAAAATGCATTTTAAAAAATAAAATAAGTGGTATTATTGCACGGGATTTTCATTCTCTATTAGTTTATGTGTTACCATACACTAAGAACACTGAGTTTGCCTGTCAGTCTGGACAAATTGTAAATCCAGGCTCCCCTCTTGTGCATGCACAAAAAATATTATCTCAATAAGATTTTACCTTATTATTTATGTGTGGTATTTTTTAACATTACAATATTGGATCTAAAAGTTTTTTTCACTATTACTATGGAAATTTTCAAACAAACAAAAGTAGGAAGAATATAACAAGTATCAATGTATCTACATCATCTCTATTTCATAGTTATTAACATTTTGTCATCTTTTCTTCATCTGTTTTTTTTATATTTGCTGAGATAACTTTAAAGGAAATTGCACACACCATGGCACTTTACTCCCAAGTATTTCATCTTGCACAAGGACATTTTCCTACACAACCACAAAGGCATTATCACACCAACAAAGCTAACAGTTATTCTCTAATACCCAGGCCATATTCTAATTTTTTCCACTTGGAATCTAATTTTCTTAACAATATCCTGAAGTCTTTATTCTGTCATCAGTGACAGTACACACGCGTTCTTAAATAGAAGCCCTCTTTAAAGTGGCTAATTCCAACCAATTCTGTTATGGAATTAATATCCTCGCTGAACTGCTCCAAGCCCATCTTCTGTGGGACCACCTCATGTCATTCAATCCCACCCTCCTGGATGTTACTTTAAATCGAACACTGGAGAGAACTGGATACAAGATCCTGTGGAATTTCGAATAGATATTTTCTCTCAATAATCAGTGTGCATGGGGAGCAAAGAGAGTGGGAAAAGGAGACCACAATACTTAAACGTAGTCACACAGTTTAAAATGGGGTTGTTTTGCCTAAGAGTTCAGTACTGGTCTATGTAAACCAATCTATGCTATACGTAATGGTGTTAATTTTCTATAGAGTCAAATTCACTGAGGCTCAGAGGAAAAAAAATGCATTCTTCCTTTAATCATTTAGTTAATTCAGTAAACGTGAAATTATAGCAGTTTGTGGGGGTGGAAGAGATGGATTATTTGGACTTTTCCAGCGGTGAGAGGTAGAGGCATTGGTGGGAGGACTAGAGTTTTACCTGACTTAAATTTTAAGTCATGCTCAGCCATAGAGACTAGGGTAAAAGGTCCCTCATCCTTTGGTAGGGAAGAAGCAAAAGAAAAGAGAAAACAGGTGACCAATCTGAGGTTATTTTTTCTCTTTAATTTCATCTGCAAATTACCTGTTTTTAAAGAAATGCTAAAGTATCTTAAGGTATCTTATACATGTGTCTTTCTTTTTTTTTTTTTTTTTTTTTTTTTTTTTTTTTTGAGATGGAGTTTTTGCTCTTGTTGCCCAGGCTGGAGTGCAATGGTGTGATCTCAGCTCACGGCAACCTCCGCCTCCCGGGTTCAAGCGAGTCTCCTGCCTCACCCTCCCAAGTAGCTGGGATTACAGGCATGCGCCACCATGCCTGGGTAATTTTGCACTTTTAGTAGAGATGGGGTTTCTCCATGTTGGCCAGGCTGGTCTCGAACTCCTGATGTCAGGTGATACACCCACTTCGGCCTCACAAAGTGCTGGGATTACAAGTGTGAGCCACCGTGCCCAGCCACATTTGTCTTTCAAAAACTGATGTGGACAAGGGAAGATGGCCAAGAGTTTTATAATCTCTGAAACTTGAAGCTCTCTTGATAGCTACTCTTCCATACCATTTAGGGTGGGACCATTACGTGGAACAGCTAAAAACATTCTTTCTCAACCTCTCCCTTCAGTCATTCTCCTTCTCTCAGAATCCACAAGGCCATCTTTAAAATGTGTGCTATGTTGTTGTTTTTATTTTATTTTATTTTTACTTATTTTAATTTATTTTTTGAGACAAGGTCTCACTCTGTCACCCAGGCTGTAGTGCAGTGGCACTATCTCAGCTCACTGCAACCTCTGCCTCCTGGGTTCAAATGATTCTCCTGCCTCAGCCTCCCAAGTAGCTGAGACTACAGGTGCCTGCCACCGCACCCTGCTAATTTTTGTATTTTTAGTAGAGACGAGGTTTCAGCATGTTGGCCAGGCTGGTCTCAAACTCCTGACCTCAGGTGATCCTCCTGCCTTGGCCTCCCAAAGTGCTGGGATTACAGGCGGGAGCCAACGTGCCTGGCCTGTTGTCTTTAAATTGTGATTTTATTGATTTACATGTGACTGAGCTAGTTAAGGAAACACACATTTTTTCACTGAACCGAAACTGTATGGGAAAAGATAAAGATACCTCCTTTTAGATGAGAAATTACTTAGTGGGTACAACATACATTATGGGTGATGGTTACACTAAAAGCCCAGACTTCACCACTACATGATATATCCATGCAACAAAACTGCACTTGTATCCCTTAAATTTATATTTCAAAACCCCTCCTCTTTACATTATAACCAAAACATACCATATTATGCTTTTCTCTGTTTTTTTTCTTTTTAAATAAAGGAACTATAATAAAAAAGTATGAAGTAGAAAATATTTACTGATAGTATCAGAATTGAATGAAGCATGCCCATCCACTCTCAGCTATATGCCACTTCCTTACAAATCTCGTCTAAAAGACATGCCAACATGCCCAAATGTCCACTTACAAAAATATATGTGTAGAAATGTCTACATTGTACCTATGATAACTTACCTACATGAATCGTTTATAGAGTCAACATGAACTGCTTCCAAAAATGGGGCTAAAAAGCAGCATGGGCCACTGGAATCCAAAGACATTTCTCAATATTTTCCTTTAGTCACCAAGAACTTTCCAGAAAAATCAATAAATAAGTTAGTTTGTTGGCCACCTCCCCTTACCACTCTTCTAAATAAATCCTTTAAAGGAAAAAAAATGGCAAATACATAAGTAGGAAAGAAGAGCCATAAAGGATCCATGGTGATCTAAAAACTAGGAAATCCACACCCTTCCAATGACATCAGCTTTCTTTTAAAACGAAGTTCACAGGTTAAATAGTTCCATGCTGTGCCATCCTGTGCAGACTCTCCACTGTTCAGGAAACAGGATGTCAGGAGCTTCCCTTACTCATTTAAAAAATATCTCCCAATTAGCTTTACATGCCTAGTACTGGAAGCATTGGTCTTCACGTTGGAAGAGTCCTCAGAGATCATCTAATTCAATTCATTTACTCTATAGATGAAGACAAGAGAAGTAAAATGACTTACCAAGGCCACACGAAGTGTTGAATTGTTTATCTCCTTAAATAGATGACAAAGACCTCAAAAGAGGAAACTCCTAAATCGTAAACCAGGGTCGTGATAGAGAATAACGACCCAAACGAAGAGATTAGGATCTGCGCTTTCTGACAACTTTTTAGAAGAAAAATGTTTCGGACCATTTACCCCTCCTCCTCCCCCTCCCTCACTCACACACTCTGCTCAGTAGTAACCGACCAGCTGCCCCCAGAGCCCTCTCCAACCCAGGTGTGGGCCTGTGAAGAGGGATGAGAGGCCAAAGAGGAAACAGTGCGATAGGGGCAAAACGGAGGGTACCTGGTCCGTAGCCGAAGCCGCGATTCAGAACAAATGACCAACTCCCTGGAGAGTCAGCTCTCTATCAAATACCAATAGGGTATCAGAATCCATAGCCCATTGCAATGTGTAGCTGCAAGATACGTTTAGACCACAGCAGCTAAGAGTTTAATGGAGAACAATTCTTACAATGAAAGAAATGAAGGAGGGAGGAATGGAGGGATGGAGAGAGAGACAGAGGGAGAGAGAGAGAGAGACAGAGAGCGACAGACAGACAGAGAGAGAGAGACAGAGAGAGAGAGAGAGACAGAGAGAGAGAGAGAGACAGGCAGAGAGAGAGAGACACACACACACACAGAGAGAGAGAACACCTTTTATTTGTTCATGCAGCCGCCTCATGTAGGAACCTACTGTCTCTCAGCATTCCTGTTAAGTGTCTCCTTTTATAGGATTGGTCAGAAGGAGCTCAGCTGGTGCCTATTAGGATGGGACATGTTCTGGAAAAATTGGAAGATGCCTTTAGGAATTTTGAAGGGAAATGTTTGGAAGATCCTTTACTATCTCAGAGCTCTCTTATTAAATACTTATAAAGAGATGCCTGGGATCCTTTACTTTCTGCCCAACCTATATTTCTTCAAAAAATCTTAGTTTTCTTTTTAGGCCAAAATGTCCACCATCTGTTTTCTGAATGCACCAACCTTCAGTCTCCTTTGTAGTCCAAGCCATGTGTCCAAGAAACCAACAGCCCTGACTTTTGAAAGACAAAATTACATTTTTTTAAAAAAGAAATTATTGGTCGGGCGCTATGGCTCACGCCTGTAATCCCAGCACTTTGGGAAGCCAAGGCAGGCGGTTCACCTGAGGTCAGGAGTTCGAGACCAGCCTGACCAACATGGCAAAAACCCATCTCTACTAAAAATACCAAAATGGGCCAGGCGTGGTGGCGGACACCTGTAATCCCAGCTACTCCAGAGGCTGAGGCAGGAGAATTGCTTGAACCTGGGGGGTGGAGGCTGGAGAGAGCTGAGATTGTGCCATTGCACTCCAGCCTGGGCAACAAGAGCAAACCTCCATTTCAAAAAAAAAAAAAAAAGAAAGAAAAAAATTATTAAGCTATTAAGACCTTGCTTAAAGATCAATGTTTCAATAGAAGAATATTAATTAAAGCAGTAAATATCCAACCACTTGAACCTTCATCCTTTTGTACCCTTCATTACCAAGCCATCCAGCTAGGTTCTTAAAAGGAGATGAACTTTGTAGAAACAGCCAAGTCGAGGTGGCTGAATATCCAACCTTCCTCCACAGTATAATCTGTGGCAAGATACCTCACTGCTGGACATTATGACAAAAGTGGCCACCAGAGATACCTAGATATGCTTGTCCTGTTTTGGAGTACCCTCCAAGGTAGTATCCCCTACAAAGTCAGAGGCATGAGTAGCAAACAGAATGTAGGGCATTAATCTGAGTAAACAGAAAACAAAAGGGCACCCTACAAATCCCCGCTTTGAGTATAGCTGGGCCCCTTAGAATCTTGTCAATGATCATCCTGAAACACAGGTTGTCAAAGCTACAAGAAGACTTAGAGATCATCTAGTCCAATTTTCACTTTTTTTAATTGACAGGGATCCAGAGAAAGGAAATGATTTGCCCAGAGTCATACAACCAAAAGGCTGAAATTGGTCTCCCCATTCAATTCTTTTTTTCCATGGACTGAAATTTCACTTTTCCAAAATGCTTACCCATATGTTTACCTCATTTAATAGTATAAGGAACCCTGTAGGCCAGATAGAGTATTAACCCAATTTTCCAGACAAAGAAATTACTATAGAAGTTTACACCAAGAGTCACTGCCTGATCCAGAATCAAAGTAAGATCTCCTGATGCAGAATCAGATATTCTACCTATTGGTGTCTGGAAACAGTAATGTTTCTACTGATTCAGTATCAACATTTGCACTTTGTATATTATGATTTTTCTTTAGTATCTCAACAAATGAAACAAACACATGTTGTTTGGAGATCAAACTAAATACAAATAGTTACCTTGAAAAAATAATTTCAACACTGCATCCTCCCTACTTAACAGTTAAGGGGAATGTGTTGATTTATAAATTCCCTTCTGGACCTAACATCAGGTTTTGCTGTGGCTGGAAGTCCAACCCGGTGGGCTTTTTATTTTGTAGTGACAATTTGATACAAAAAAGAAGCTGCAATCACCAGGAATTCACCAAACAAAATGAATGCTAAACACTATTGAGCCTGTGGTCCAAGTACTATGTCCTTTGGGATACCTGAGGAGAACTTCACCAGACAAGCTCAATAAACTCCACGAATGGGACCATAGTGGGATTTTTAACCATCTGCCATTGGACAATTCCAGACTACGACCACAATCATCTGTGTTGGTTAGAGTCGCACAATATGTTTAAAGCTTAGAAGCAGGGAAAAATCAACAAATACAAAGGACAAACAAAAATGTAATAGTAGCTCTCTGAAGGTAAATTTAGAGATAATGAACCAGACTCACTCCTGTTATGAATAAAAATATCACAGGTGGCTACAATTTGAATAGCAGGTCCTTACAGGACCCCATTAGAATCATTATAATTTATCAAGAAGTCTGTCTAAGTTGTTCATTGCAAAGAAATCTAGCTGTTGCAAATAAGTTTGCCAGAATCAGCCGTTAACTAGACCCGTTTATATTCCAATGATATTCCTCTCTGTTTGTGGACAGAGAGGAATAAAGATGTTTCTTCAGATATAATCACCCTGTTTCCTAGAAAATGCACCTGGGGAAATCAACGTCCACATCCACCAAAATGGAAAAAAATTGGTAGGGATGGGATCATGTTTGGCCAAGTAACTGCTTTACATCAATTACAAACATAGATCCAGACATTGGTTGAAATGTGGTAATGAGATGAATGGTATGGATTATCAGTTAGGATGAGTGACATTCTTAAATGCTCATATCATATAGCCCATAACACTTTTGATTAAGCAATCAAATGCTGTTGCAAAAATCAACAATGCTTGTTTAAAAATTACATAGATAAACCTCTAAGCTTTTTGAAAAATTATTTTTTATAAAAATAATTTAATTTTATTAAATTATTAATTTAATAAAAATTGTATAGTTGACAAATAATAATTGTGAATATCTGTGGCATATACAATGTTATGTTTTGATATCTCAGAAGTTTTAAAGAGAGGTTTTGGATAGCTCTATCATTGGCATAATATCACAGTTTAGATAGAGCCACAAAACCAGAAGTATATGAATGTATGCTTCCATACATTTCTTCATTTCTCATTTCTTTAGCCATGGCTATAATGCAGGTTAAAACAGAAAACAAGATTAGAAAGCTAACACAGCTCTGCAGACAAAATCCAACCAAATCTGTATTAGTACACAATGTTTTTAAGTCAAAGTAACCTGAAAAATTGGGGGGTGAGGGTGTGTGTGAAGTGGTCTTCTTGTCCATTTTTATTAACATTTATATTTGTTCAACATCTTTTTGGGTAGCTGACTTATTTTCTACCTGTACATTGCTCATGTGAATGCTTGACAAATCTGGAGAATTAAAAATGCTTTAAAAGATTCTACTCAATAGTGACAGTGGAAAGTGATCAAGACCAGAAGGTTTTTTTTGGTTTTTGTTTTTGTTTGTAACATTTGGATAGCAAAAGTGACATAGTTGATAGTTGCCAAGTAAGAACTAATAATGGTGTCATTGAGAATGCTTAAATGAAATCATTTTTATTGGGGGTAAGTTACAAATAGAAATTTCTTCAGCAAAATGGGGTATCACTATTAAAAACAAGACATAGGAAACTGACCAAAAAAAAGAAAAAAAGAAAAAAGAAAAGAACCATTTCTGTTTATAAGAGGAAAGAAAGTTTCACTGAGATGGGGTCCAACTTCCCTAGCAATTAAAAAAAAAGTCATTACTTTGTAATATTTATTTTAAGTGGCATACTACAAAATATTTTAAGCCATAATTTTATATTCCTTATTGTATGGCATTTTGCAGAAATAATAATAATGCCATGAAGACAGAAACTTCCGGACCAATATTGAGAGTTTTCAAACATTATTATTATTTACAGTAAAAGTAGCAAAAAGAAAATTTTGCCAGTGCATTTGAATTCTCTTTGATAATACTATTTTAACGCAGATTAAATTTTTTTATAAGAGGCAAAATGAAAGCTTTTTAAAGATTTATCAGGATCTTAAGCATTGGCATTATTTCAGAATTCTTCAATCAAAATCTAAAGAAAGCAATACCATTTAAAAGAACTGAAAATATATTTTAGAAATAAAAACAATTTAATTTTTAAGCTTTCATTGATATTGGCAACTACTTTAAGAGACTAGAATACAGATTTTTTAATACTATGAAGTTTTTAAAATTTAATTTAAAATTACATGCTAATAGATCTAACATCACCATTAAAAAAGTTTTTAAATATCTAGTGAATGAATAATAGTAAGCAGTAATAAAACAGTAAATGCCATTTTAGTTTTTATCTGTAGCTCCTATTCAATAAGGTATCACTAGAAATTTTTTACCTAATCATCCTACTTTTATTTTAAATCAGAAGCATAAGTATTTTTTTCTTAAATGCAGTTCATTATTATCAAGTTACATTTAAAAAAAAATCAAGGACTAATACTTGAACATTTAGATGGCAAATTCAGGAACCAATAGGGCTTATTCTTAACATTTCTCTTAATGTCGTCATACTTGTATATTATTACTATAAAACCAATTTCTGTGCCTTCATAATGTCAACATGTCTAGATGAAAATTTTAAAAAATGAAAAGGGCTATGTTATCCGAGTGATGTCTAGCAACTGGATGTTTGCAAACGTCAGGTAGATAGAGCTGAGTCATGTAACCCTTCAGCACCTCAAAACTAAGCTGCCCCTCCTTAACTTTTAAAACTGTGAGATTAATTAAGTAAAGTAAATGTAACTATTTAGCTATCAGTTTGAAGGTTCTAAAACTGTATGAAAATGTCCTTTGCATTGATTCTTTTTGTGGGAGTTCCTGTTTTCTGTGTAATATCTTTTTTAAACCCATAAAATGCATAACATTTATTTCCATATTAATGTAAATATTTAGTAAGATATGATTATGAACTATATTTTGAGTTACAATTTGCATCAAAGTTGTAATCAGCTGCAGCTGTTTCATTTGCATAAGGGTTGAAATGGAAAGTTTGTAAAAAGTATTATTATTTTCCTTTGAAAACATTACTTAAGGTACTATAAGTCTCAGATAAAACAAAAATACTCCTTTTCCTGAAACCATTGTTTTAGCATCTATTAAAAAAAATGCAAAAAAAATTAATGTGCCATATAGTTTCTGTTTCTTGCTACTAAAACATTTATTTGTATGTAAAACCAAAAATGCATTATTTTTATTGGCATTTTCAAGACCAACAAGTGAATGTGTAACATGTTCTAGAATCTGTACTCTACATTTAGAATTATATACAAATGGAAATAAATAGAAGGTTTATATTCCAACTAAAGATACAAAAATCTGAACAACAGAATACCAAATTACTGAAATGGTTGGCATTCAAAGCAAATTTGTCATTCTGCTTTACAAATCTAAAAATAGCTTAACTAAAATATTTTTAAAAATTTTATATTTAGTTAAGATTGCTTTTCATTTTTAGCAAATGTTTTAAAATAGAATTTCTATCCAGAATGTATAATTTCCAATTGTCTTACAAGCAGATATAATACCGGGTTTTAAAAATCCAATTTAAAAAAAATTAAAAATAAAAAAGTCTTAAGCAATTAATACCATCTTAGTAACTCATTGCTTTTCGTGAAAATAAAACTTTTAACTAATAAAATTATTTCATCTTCCTTTTAATAATTCAAATACTAGTATTTCAAATATCAAGAATGTAAGCTGTTTTAAAAATAGAAGAGTTTTAAATGTTTACAGTAGTTTTATTATTAACTAGAAATATTTATGAATTAAAAATACTTCATATTAAAATTTAGAAATTGCCAAGAATTCCTTGTGAGAGAAAATAAAGAATCATGTTGGGTTTTAACAGTATCATATGTTAACTATTAGACCAAAGTTGTTTGTTTTGGTCTTTTTAACATTTTTATGAATTATTATAGACCCAGATATCAAGAGTAAGCTGACAATGAACTTCTATAGTTATTATTTTGCTTTCATCAAAATATTCCTACCTGGCAAAAATCTAAACAATGTAATTTACAGGGATAGCATACTTTTTATATAATTTGGTTGTTTCTTTTAAAATAAGGTTCAAATAAACATGTGATAAAATGTCTTATATGCTTAAAATATATTATATATGATTCTTTAAAAATGTTTTAGTCATATCTGCCTTTTAAAATAAATCAATTGCCAAATTATATTTGTTAATAATCAAAGTTTAATGTTTCAGATTATGTCAGAATTATCTATTGTTACTTTAATTCTGAAAATACAAAAAAATTGTTTTTAGTAATTGCTAAATAATTTTTTTACAATATTATTAGTTTAGCACTTAGTGATTATGACCAGTATGTTACCACAGGCTTTATAAAAGCCTTATGTTAAGAGTTGAAAATATTTAAATATGCCATCTTGAAGAGTTTCTCAAGTATTACAAAATTGTAATAAATGCTCATAAAAGTTAAATTTGGAGAAAATTTAATTTTTGATTTTGTTTTCTTATATTTTGTTAACCTATTTTCACAAGGTTTAGGCTTTTTTAAAACATAAAACAGCCATTTCATGTCTGATATTTGGAAACATTGTCTTAATAATATACTTGTTTGTAAAACTGCCCTTTAAATTTTGTCTGTACTTGAACATTTATGTAGAGCAGTATTAAAATTAATGTGATTCTGGTGAATGTATACCACAGATCCATATTTGAAGAACAAATGAGATAAATTCTAAGCTCCCTTTTTATAATCATTTAACTATTCCTGGTTTAAATATTATGCTTCTAATTTTCTGTTAGGACATATGACAGGCCTTGGCAGTAGTAATTTCTGGCATGAATGAATTTCAAATTTTATTTTAATTTCAATATCTGATATGTTTCATGGACTATTAACCTACTTGATTTTTACCTTGAAATTTGCTGCCCAGTTTAGTTTTATGTGAATATTTACTTTTTAAAGTTTTAAAAATATATTCTTAATGGGTTTTCAAAATGTTTTCAAAAGATCATCTATTTTAAGTTGACCAGATCAATATAATTACTTTTGAATTTCTGAACCTTTATATTTTCATAGCTTGATTGTTATTTTAATATCTATCAATGTCTACCCTAGTTTGTACTAGCTACACAGGTAACAATTTCTTTCTTTATTTAAATTATATAATTCATAAGAATATATAAATGCCATGTGAACTGAACTGCAAGGAATAACATCCAGTTTACAGATAGCTTAATGAGTCTCTTTTCTCTTCTGTTAAATCTTGCCATCTCATCTGAAAAAGAAAGGTACTTAGAAAGTTAGTCTTCAGAATTTATCTATTTATTTATTTATTGGACATAGGAGAGTCATTACTAATGTAACGTTTGCATATCTTATAAGAATAACTTTATATTTTCTTGAGAGGATTCTCCAAGAGACTTTCTTTTCCTTCAAATTATACACATTTCATTGAAGTTGAATGCACAGAAAAACAAAAGTTCATGAATTTTCTCCCTGACTCAAATCCTATGGCCCTCTTCAAACTCGCAGAGTGAAGTGCAATTATCTGGTTAATTGATCAGTGAGGACAAACAAGTCAGGTAGTTCAGGCTGCTCAAATCTTCTTTTTAGGTAGAAGATTTTTTTTTCCTTTGAATTATCTGAATAATTGCTTCAACTCTTCAGTTCAATTTGCATGTCTAGACAGGAACCTAGGCTGAACAAGGCTTGGAAGGACTATCGTTTTTGAAATTGCATTTTGTTTTTGTTTCTGTTTTTTTAAAAACTGCATTTTGAATTGTAATTCTTACTATATTCCACATGTAATCTCACTGATGGCTTGTATCTGAGGGCTTCCAGAAATCTTGTGACATTTTATGCAGTGGTGATCCGGAACTATGCATACATATTTTCAAACATACCAGGGTTTTACTTTTCTTTTTTAAAAAGCTCACCACCAATCTTCTTAATTTGGTATTTATAGGCAGGAAAATGTGAGTTTCTGCCTCTTTTTTTCCCTCGGGTTTTTATGAACAAATAAAAGCGTTTTACCCCCTTTATACAAAAATTTAAAGCCAGAAATAAAAATGTTTTGGAGCTTTTAAAAATACATTGCTGAATTACTATTTAAATGTAATTCTTTTTAGACAAGAAAGCTGAATGCAGAAATGGTTTAATCTGTTAAACATAAGATTTGTTCAATTATATTTTGCCGAAGTCTTTTTAAAAACTGCTGATCATTTCACAAGACAAAAAATCCCAGATTATCTTTTTAAAAATCATGTTGTTTGAGGAATATGAAAAAAAAAACAAAAAAAACAAACCTTTAATGCTTTGCTTATCATTCTTTCAAATGGCTAATGGCTAACTAGAAAGAGTTAAAAATATGATTGAATCAGAAGCTCTAATAAATGTTAGCTGATTTCTCCAACAGTTACTAAAGCTATACTGATAAAGGAAGACTTTCATGGAATCCTGCATTTTAAGTCATTTTAAATAAATTATTTTCTCTTTCTCCAGATTAAAACCTAGAAAACAAAGCTTCAGTCACAAGATCTAAAAACCATACACCATTTGAATTTTGTTAACCAATTGGGCTTAAAACATTACTTGAGCAACACTATTTTTCCTTTTTGTTGGTATTGTTATTGGTATTATTGAGGCCCACAAAATTGCTGCTGAAAAACTTCTTTTTGGCCTCATAAATGGGACCTGTTAATCATTAATCAAGTTGAGATTAAAAAAAAAGTTTTGATCATAAACCTTGTAGAACTGTAGTTGCCATCGCTATGTTAAAATTCATGTGGTTGCCTTTTGAAATTTTTTTTTAATAAGCCCTTTAGGTTTGGGCTTACCTCGATTATGTATTCTTATAATCCCCCACACAAAAAATTCCTAAGGGGATTAATTTCTTCATTTCTCACATGTTGATTCCTTATTCATGCCCTCTTTTCTCTTCAAAGTGCATAAACCAGTAAAATCAAGGGGACAGGAGGCTGGGCTAATAAATCTACAATATCATCTTTCCAAAAAATTGCAAATTCTTAAAGAGCAGAAATAAACTAAAAAAAAATGCAGATTCTATCAATTAGTTGTAGTTCTTTTCTTTATAAAAGCTGGTTACCTTCCTTATCACTTTATCTATTTATACCTCTTCTATTTATTCTAAAAGTAATTCTCAATACTCTGACTGATAAAATGAAAGTGAGACTCCAAAGTCCAACTGTTTTTTTAAGTAAAAAATTTATTTTATTTTATTTTATTTTATTTTTTGTAGAAATGGAGGTCTTGCTTTAATTGCCCACACTGGTTTTGAACTCCTGGCTTCAAGCAATCCTCCCACCTTAGCCTCCCAAAGTGAGACTTCAACTTTAAATAATAAAACCTATTATTGAGTAGTGGGCCACAGAGTGTCTAGGAAGTCAACAGGGATCAGTAGGGATCTAAAAGATACAACTCCTTATTCCGTACATGTGATGCAATTCCTTCAGCTCTGTCATCCCGTCTCTCTCCCCGGGGTAATCCATCTCTATATTACCCTCTTGAATGACAGAGCCCATGCAGCTTTATGAAACCACTTCAAATCGTTTAGGGTGCAAACCCTTTCCTATTTTTGGACAAAAGGGGAAAAGGCTGGTGCATCAGCTACATAGCCGATTCTGTGACTCAACCAAACCTGTGACAGGAGGCAGTTTAGTAACAACTCAGCAGATGCAGATCAGTTAAGATAAGCTATAAGGATTGAGACCATTCGGTGTGGATTTTTTAGTGCAGCCTCAATTTCAGAAAATGTCATTCTTTTGCTGTAAAAGTAAATGATTAAACATGCACTAAGTGTGATGCATGTTTTTAACTCTGAAAGACTTTTTCTATCAACAGACTTGTAATTTGGGAAAAAAGATATCTTTCAGGCCAAATATCTCCATTTCTAGTTGGAGAATTATTGTCACCAATAAGTTTACGAATTTGGAAAATATTTGTTTTTGTTTTTGTTTTGAGACAGGGTCTCACTCTGTCATCTGGGCTGGAGTGCAGTGGCACGATCATGGCTCACTGCAGCCTCAGTCTTCTGGGCTCAAGTGATCCACTTCAGCCTCCAGAGTAGCTGGGACCACAGGCACTTGCCAACTTGCCCAGCAAGCTTTTTTATTTTTTGTAGAGAGGGAGTTTCGCCATGTTGCCCAGGCTGGTCTTGAACTCCTGGGCTCAAGTGATCCTCCCACCTCGGCCTCCCAAAGTGCTGAGATTACAGGTGTGAGCCACTGTGCCCAGCTGAAAATATTTCTTTATAAGGGATATAAGCATGAAGTTCAAGTTTTCAGTCCCCAGCCTCCCAGAGGGGTTCAATGTCTGGTAACCACAGCATGGGTTTACATTTCATGTTGAGACATACTGAGTGACCACAGTCCCTTTGCTCTTGATCTACCTCTTATTTATATTCATTTCTGTCTACACAACCCTAAAATAATCAGTCAATTCAATCAATTCCATTAGTACTATGGGAACTAGGAAAAAGCATGTCAGTTGCTTGACTCTGTCCAGAGGCGTATTTGCACAAGAGACTCCATCTGGTTGGCCCATGCAGCCATAGCCTTCCTGCTGATGACTAAGGGGTTCTTGTTGACTCCCTGATGCAGCCAACCTTCATCCTTCTCTTCTACTTCATGCACTACCTGCTAACAGTAAAAGTAAAATTAACTTGATATTGTGCATGCTTTATTGTGGTGGTGATTTAAGGAACATTGTGTCTCCTTTTCATAGCCTCTGATCCTCTTATACCCTACAAGTGAACAATACTTTCTACATTATTGGTAACCTACATTATTGTTCCTGGGAGTTAAGGCTGAACTTCTGTGCAGATGTCTTTATAACTTAAGCAAATTAGCAAACCAGTGCAGCTCAGCTCAGAGGTAACAAATGGACCAGAGTTCTCGTCTTTTAGGCTGCTCAGCCTTCTAAATACGCAATCAATGTAAAATAAAGTGGTCATCCATCCTGCCTGATTTATGTAACATATCATATTTAGTATTTCAATGGGGTGCTGTCAAGAAAAATAAGGTATTCAGGAAATCCTATGTTGGTTTACACAGAACTAGTAAGCTCCGGTTTATAGGCATCTGAATGTAATTTTCCATGACCATGACACGTAACTGTTTCTTAGTTTTCTCTTTTCTCAAGTGATTTCATTATAACACCTTATACATGTATATGACTTTGGAGCTTTTGCAAACATTACTGTTTTGATTCTCAGTGTCCATAAATTATGTTATTATTAGCCCCTTTCAGAGTAGCTAAGAGATCGGACTCTGAAGTGAGACTGATGAGAACTCGGATCTTGTTTCTCTAATTTTCTCACTATGTAACACTGAGCATACTTTATAGTCTTTCTGAGCCTCAGTTTCCTCATCTATAAAATGGGGATGATAATAATATTTACTCCATAGGGTTATTGTGAGGTTTGAGTGAATAAAGGCTGAATATAGTGGTTGGTACGTAGTAAAGGCTTAATAAATGGTGGTGTTTAAAGAAAAGGTAAATGAAACTTACAGACATTGAGAGGCCTGCTCTTGATGCAGCAAAGGCCAGGATCCGGATTTGCTGACTACAAAGCCAATGATAAAGTCCTTTCACTTGGTTTGCAATGCAGCTGCTTTAAAGTGACTCAGCATTGTTTCTAACTACCTTTATACTGATCAAACACAAAAGCAGTTTTCCCTTTTAACCAGTGGACTTCAAAACCTCCCATGGATGCCTTCACAAAAGTCAGTGGACAACTGGGCCTTGTCCTAGTACAGGAAAAATGCAGCAAGGTTTGAAAAGCAAATAAAGGCTGAGAAAAAATATTCTACAAAGATGAGCTTCGGTAGTAACTCATTGCCCTCACAGGAAGATGTTCCAAGAAGCAAGTTGTTAAATGAGATGCAGTAAGGTCTCAAAGTCTCATTGACATATTTTAATCTGGACATTCTTAGTATACATGATCCAGCTATTCTGTTGGTTTGAAAGGAAAAGTGTGGCTGGGCATGGTGGCTCACACCTGTAATCCCAACACTCTGGGAGGCTGAGGTGGGCAGATCACCCAAAATCAGGAGTTTGAGACCAGCCTGGCCAACATGGTGAAACCCCATCTCTACTAAAAATACAAAAAAATTAGCCAGCCTTGGTGTCAGGTGCCTGTAATCCCCGCTACTCGGGAGGCTGAGGCAGGAGAATCGCTTGAACCTGGGAGGTGGATGTTTCAGTGAGCCAAGATCACGCCACTGCACTCCAGCCTGGGCAACAAGAAGGAGACTCCATCTCAAAAAAAAAAAAGAAAAGAAAAAGAAAAAGTGCATTGGCTTGAATGCATAAGTGCTCAAGTGCTCAGGAACTTCCAAAACATAGATACTAATCCACAAATATATATATGGATTATATATATATATGGATTTTACATATATATATAAAATATATATATATATTTTATATATATATATATCATATATATATATTTTATATATATATATATCATATATATATATATTTTATATATATATATATATCATATATATACTTTTTCCTGGCTGTTGAGAAAGCTTATAAGTTAAATTCATTTTGGAACTATGGTTCTTTGAGTTTTCCACTTAGGTTCTCTCCCTTGAGTTCTAAATAGGGTTGTTCTTAAAAAAGAAGTCTCTTGTTACTTCTGCACATCTTTGCTCCTTATGTGCCTTCTGAGTCACTTCAGTTTAATTTATTTACCCTTTGTCTGCCTTGAGTGCATGTCTGAGCCCTATTGACGTTCATGTGGAATATGTTACATTCAAAGACAATAAAACTGTGGTCCTTTATTTTTAACCTTGGAACCAATACCAATTCAGCTTAGAAGTTGTATTTCAGGCCCTTGGTCCCTAAACTATGAAGTTTCTGTTTGACTTCTAGTTCTGAAGTCCTCAGAAACTGATGATGATGTTTCATAATTTCAAGCTCAGCATCTTATGATATGGAATTTTGCAAGTAGTTTCTTAGTGGGAGGCATACCCTGACTTGTTTTGGGAAGAACTAAAAGGAGGGAAGACATGGGCTACAAATGTGGAAACTGAGCCAATATTTAACCAACCCTTCAGTAGGACATTTTTTGAGTTGGCCATTATTACCATGGGTGACTCTCAAAACAATAGCTCCCAAATATTTAAACAAATATGTAGAGCACAAGGTGGCTCAATTCCTTTGTTTGGTGAAATGTCAGTTGGACAATATCTTTCATATACAGAGTGTAAAAGAATATTTCTTGTTTTTATAGAAGGCGTAAGTTGTCAAGCACCATCCAAAATTCTTCTTGAAATACATAAAACAAAAACAGCATCAGGGTTTGAGATTCTTCTTCAACCAGGACAAGGAAAACAAAAAATTCTAACCCAGGATCTCTGAAGAAGACACGTATCTTTCATGAGTAAAACATAATGAATATAAATAAATAGAGGCAAAGCTATCTTGTTGTTATTAGTCTTAGAGGAAAATTCCCTGGAACTTATGCATTTCTTTAGATTCTTTCTTCAACAGGAGACTCCTTCCAAAAAGAAAAGAAAACAACAATTATATAGAATAATTGCAGAACTGTGGTGACCAGAGAAAAAAGACACCAAGTTTTTTGTTCTATAATAGGCCCAGGTAGATCTGTTCAAATCCAGGTCTTCCCAGTAAGTAAGATGTTACATTTCCAAATACAAACACCACCTATTTTGTTCATAAACTATAATGTCTAATGCAGTTTCCTTAGATATTACAAATCAAACAGGATCTTCATAATACATGGCTCAGTCCACGTAAAAAGATACTTAGGGAGATGATTCACTAATCACGAACCTTGCAGACGGTAGAGGGAACAGACAATGGTACCTCCTGTCTGCGAGGACATGAGATTTTATGACCTGGGATGATTCCTGTAGAACGGGCACTTGAAGGTCCACACTTGCTGCAAGGGGTGGATTCTGGCACTACTTATGACCCTGTTCACGGCTGTATTCCTGCTGTGTGCTGGGTGACTCAGGGGCTTGGTTTTGGCGTACACAGACTCTCCTCTGAATTTCAAAGGCAGTTTAGTTCGACAGCTACTGAATTGAGTAGTTTGTGACTCAGGGAACAACTGTGTGGTGGCCAAAGAGAAATGATCTTGCCATAATAATAGCCTGCAATCTGCTATCTCTTCTTTCCTGAAATCTCAAAGATCACAGGAAGAGCTCATCCTAAGGCTATCTCAACTCTCAGCTAAAGATGTGGAAACAAACATCCTAGAGACACTCCATGCCTCTAGTGTGGATCCGTATCCACCCTCCCAATCTTACCATCCCAAAGTCAGAAGCAGAACAAGGCTGAAAGTCTCCTGGTGTGAATTACTAATATTTCAGGGAGACAATGTTTTCAAACTCCAAAAGATGGGTCATCACAATCATGGTCATCTGGTTTCTCAAGCAGTTCAGACTAAGAAGCGAGGCACTGAAAAATCTCCCTGAGTCACTCATCAACTTTTGTCCATATTTGAAAGTCACTTGACCATCAAAAGACAGTACTGGTGACTGAAGCTGATGAATAGAAGATGCTAAAAGAGCCCAGTATGAAAAATCGGTGGACCAATAGAGTGTCCATCTCTTTAATTGCCAAGTATCTCTCACCAGCACCAAATCCCAGTGATGTCTAGTTTAACAGAACTTACCCCGGATTTTTTTTTCTTTTTCTTTTTTTTTTTTTTTTAATTTGAGATAGAGTCTTGTTCTGCCACCCAGGCTGGAGTGCAATGACGCAATCTTGGCTCACTGCAACCTCCACCTCCCGGGTTCAAGTAATTCTCCTGCCTCAGCCTCTCGAGTAGCTGGGATTACTGGCCCCCGCCACCATTCCCGGGTATTTTTTTTTTTTTTTTTTTTTTTTTTAGTTTGGGCACAGAGGAGTGGTGTGGGAGACAATAAGAAGATGGTTCTCTAATATGAAGGCAGCATAGAGGTTAAAAGTGGGGATTTTTTGGATGCAGATCACCTGGGATCAAATGCCAACTTCTGCCTATTGACCATGGACCTTGGGCAAGTTATGCCATCTCAGTTTTATAATCTGTAAAATGAAGATAAATCAGGCACCTGCCATAAAGTGTTGTTGTAAAGATTTAATAAATTAAAATATGTGAAGCACTTAGAACAATGCCTGGCATATGATGAGCATTCAATACTTTAGCTAATATTGTAAGAGTTTAAAATTTGTTTTAAGTTTTAAATGACTTATGCTGAATATAGTTTGTTTGTTTTTTTTTTGTTTTTTGTTTTTTTTTTAGATGGAGTCTCACTCTGTCGCCCCAGGCTGGAGTGCAGTGGCACTATCTTGGCCCACTGCAACCTCTGCCTCCCAGGTTCAAGTGATTCTCCTGCCTTAGCCTCCAGAGTAGCTGGGATGACAGCAGGCTGCCACACCCAGCCAATTTTGTTTTGCATTTTAGTAGAGACGGGGTTTCACCGTGTTGCCCAGGCTGGTCTTGAACTCCTGAGTTCAGGCAATCCACCTGCCTTGGCATCCCAAAATGCTGGTATTACAGGTGTGAGCCACCATGCCCAGCCTGCTGAATATAATTTTAAAAAGTAAAGGTTCAGACCTTTCCCGTTTGCCTTCTCTTCTTTTATATTTGCTTGATATCTCTTTTCCCCCTTCTCTTCATTTTTTTACACTCTCGCTCTCACTCACACAAAGATACAAAAACAAATAACCACACTTAAAGGAAAAGCATTAAACTAGAGTTTGTGAGCAACACTTTGAATTACAAACATTGCCTTGGCCATGCTCTTTGTCTATAAAATATATGTAACTTCACACCCCTTTTCAGAAATTTCTCATTTCTCAAAGGTAGATCTATAGCCATCTAAGAGAGAAGTATGAACTATTGAAAATAAATTATTCAGTTATACTAGAGACTTCCACTTTCAGCTGTGATGGAGTAATTAGCACCAGACTAGTCCTCCTTCTATAAACACATATAAAACTGAAGTAAAAGCTTTCACACTTTAGACAACAGTCAGGGGGAAAAAATGTGACCCCTGAGAAAAGGAAAACGCATTATGTCAGCCACATAATCACCTTGACATTTCTGCCTGGAAGCACCTTCTGTGGTGTAGAAATGGATAGCTTAAGCAGAGGACAATGATCTCTCAGAGCTGATGAGGTAGAGGTTGGAGTTTAAGGTTGCTGAGGTGGCTGGAATTTGTGTATTGGGCACCAGAGAGAAAGAGCTGTGCAGAGAGAGAGTTCCAGAAATATGCATAGAAGTCTTCTTGAATCTTTAGCTGAACACTAAATTGTGCATGCACAGGACAAGAATCTGTGAGCCCTAGCAGAGAATACATACTAAGAAACTGTGAGGTTCCAGAAATTACACAGGGTAGGAAGACATTGGAGTTCTGACCAGCCAGAAAAGAGAGAGCTCACTGAACATACTGGGCATTTAACTGAAATCCACAAAAGGCAGATCTTATGAATAGGCTATTCTAGTTCTAGAATAAAAGTTACTCTATACCCCACCTAAAAACTTTAAAAACAAACTTCAAAGGATCAAGGTAATTGTGAGTAAGTTAATCACCTGACAGAATAAAACTCAACGCTCTTCAAAGGAAGACAAATAAATCCAGTCTTGCAAATTGTAGAATCTACAATGTCTAGTGCATGATGAAAAAAATCACTGGCTATGCAAAGAAACAGAAAAAAATGTGACCCATAACCAAGGGGAGAAAAAGCAATAAAAAGAAACAGACCCAGAGATAACACAGTTGTTGGAATTAGTATTTAAGGACTTTAAAAGATGTCAAGAACTAAAGAAAAAACTAGACATAATAGGTGAAGAAATGAGAAATATGAGCACAGAAGAAGAAATTATAAACAGGATGAAATAAAAATTTTAAAAGTAAAAATTATGATATCTAAAATAAAAAAAATCTATTGAATGGATTTAACAGCAGCTTGGACACTGTAGAAAAGACCAAAGAAAATAAAGCACAGAAAGTTAAAAGTCCTAGGGAACTGTAGGATAATAAAAAATGGTCTCAGGAGAGAAAGAGAAATTGTGTCAGAAAAGTATATGAAGACCAAATGACCATTTCCCCCTACATTTTATGAAAAAGATCAACCCACAGATCTAAGAAACTTACAAACCTTAAGAAACAAAAACACAAACATGACACCAAGGCACATTGTAGTCACATTGCTGAAATCCAAATATACATAGAAAAATCTGAGAAACGGACAGAAGTGCTATGGGGGGAAGAAAAGAAAAATCTTGAAAATAACCAGGCACACATATACAGAGGAACAAAAATGTAATTATTGATGACTTTTTATCTGAAACAATGAAAGCCAGAAGACAATGGAATGACATTTTTAAAGTGCTGAAACGAAAAGAGAAAAACTTGTCATTGAAAATTCTATATCCAATGAAAATCTACTTCAAAAAATGAAGGCAAAATAAAGACTTTTAAAGATAGCCACAAGATGAGATAATTCATCACCAGCAGCCCTCTATTATAAGAAATGCTCAAGGAAGCCCTTTGGAGCTGAATAAAAACTGCATAAACAAAGGAGTGAAGAGCATCATAGAAATATGTGGATCTCCTTAAAAGTAATTGTGTAAAAGTGTGGCTCATAATATATGCAGAAGTAAAATATATAGAAAAATCACATTGTCAAATTCTTACAATTAAGGTAAATGGAATCACATAAATTCATTGAAGGCAGCTGGACATGGTGGCTGATGCCTGTAATCCCAGAACTTTGGGAGGCCGAGGTGGGCAGATCACCTGAGGTTAGGAGTTTGAGGCCAGCCTGACCAACATGGTGAAACTCCGGCTCTACTAAAAATACAAAAATTAGCCGGGCGTAGTGGTGGGCACCTGTAATCCCAGCTACTTGGGAGGCTGAGGCAGGGGAATCGCTTGAACCCAGGAGGCGGAGTTTGCAGTGAGCTAAGATCACGCCATTGAATTCTAGCCTGGGCAACAGAGTGAGACTCCATCTCAAAAAAAAAAAAATTCATGGAAGGCTATGATGAGTAAAACTGCAAATAATAATTCATAGGCCAAGTGGAAAAAATAAGAATAAAAATTAAAATAATAAAAATAAGAATAAAATAAGAAAGTTATCACTTTTCAATTGGTTTCCCTGCTTACATTTTTTACCTTTCTTCAATCCATCTTCCACTAGCAGCCAGAGATGTTTTTAAGCATAAGTCAGAGATATAACTCATGGTTTTTTTGTTGTTGTTGTTCGTTTGTTTTTTTTTGTTGTTGTTGTTTTGTTGTTTTTTTTTTTGAGACAGAGTTCCCCTCTGTTAGCCAGGCTGGAGTGCGATGATATGATCTTGACTCACTGCAACCTCTGCCTTTTAGGCTCAAGCAGTTTCCATACCTCAGCCTCCCGAGTAGCTGAGATTACAGGCATGCGCCACCATGTCTGGCTAATTTTTCTATTTTTAGTATATCTAGGGTTTCACCATGGTCTTGAACTCCTGGCTTCAAGTGATTTGCCCGCCTTGGCCTCCCAAAGTGTTGGGATTACAGGTGTGAGCCACTGTGCCCGGCCAAGAATATCATTCTTTTACTTGAAACCCTCCAATGGCTTTCTCATTGATCTGGAATTAAAACCAAATTCTTGACTGGGGCTAATAGGGGCCTAACAAACCTGGTTCCTGGGTACTTTTCTGAGCTCACTATACTTAGGCTACACTGGCCTACTGTCCCTCAAATATGCCAATCCTAGCTCTGATGCATGGTCTTGATGATTACTGGACACTCTTCTTCCAGATCTAGACATGGCCAACTCCATTTCTCACCCAGTTCCACAGCAAATGCCACCCCTTCTAAGAGGCCTCTCTTGACCACCCTATCTAAAGTAGCCACATACTCTGCCCTTCTTCTTAACACTCTTTCACTTTAGCCATTTTCATTTTCTTCATTCCCTAATGCAGTCTGTCATTTTCTTATGCATCATCTTCTTCCTTCATCCTTTACAGGCTCACGCCTGTAATCTCAGCACTTTGGGAGGCCGAGGTGGGTGAATTGCCTGAGCTCAGGAGTTAGAGACCAGCCTGGGCAACATGGTGAAACCCCATCTCTACTTTACCTCTCTTGTTCATGGTTGTCTCCTCCTTGTCTGGAGCAGTTCCTGGCATATATTAGACACTCATTATACCATTGTCAAATGAACAAATGAGCCCCACTCTGACAGACTATATATATCTTGCTTGAGTTGCTATTGAACCAGGCTGCTCCTGGGTTGGCCCAGACCAAACCCAGACTTTCCCACAGATCCCAATATACCTTTTAAAGCAAGAAAATGCAATTGTATTAAATATTATGTGCAATATATTTATTAAACTTCACCTAAGTACCCGCTCTGTGGATGCAAAGAATAAGATAAGATTACTACCCAGAAGGGCTCATAATTATAAAAACAGAGGAATAATAACTATTAGTTTTATAAAATACCCCAAATTATAAAATACATAAAATTTCATAAATACAGCTTTCAAAGTACTTTCCTATGAATTACATCATTTGATACCAAAGGAGTGACCATCTTTTCCTATCATCATTTTCAGCCAGAAAGGAGGCAAAGGAAAGAAGATAGGAGTACCCTGATACAGTAGAAAGAATGTTTGGAATTTCTTAAAAGACCTATACTCATCCCTTTCAAAAATAATGATAAGGAGAATAATAGTAATCACTACTTGCTGAGAACCTACTATAAGTCCAAGCAAGAGTAGATTATGCCTATAGTTCACTCAGAGTCAGTATACAATGATGTACCAGCTCAGTGACCTTGGGGAAGTAAACTAATCTCTTTAAATCTCAGTTTCTCATCTCTGAAATGGTGAAAATTTGCATGGTTGTTGTCAGAATCTGAGATAATGTATGATGGGTAGTTGGTATGTGACAGGAACAAAAAAATTCACTATTGTTTTTAATAATCACCCCACATCAGATCCTTTAGAGGCATCTTGACAACAAAGGCAACTGGTGGCTCCAGCCCCAGCTGTCACCTGCGCCTGACCAGAACTATTTTGGTTGCTGGGGAGATCTATATACTTGCTAAGCTAGAATCAGTGAGGCTCCAACCCAGTCTGGAAGTCTGCAGTTATGAAGGATTAAGATAAAAATCCAGCAGCTCTGCTAAACATAAATTTTATACAGTAAATTCTTAATTGTGTATTTTACTCACTTACAAATTAATGTCTGCTGCTACAGAACTGGCCCTGTGCAAGTGCTCATCAACCATTCTGGAATTGGGGAAAAGGAGGGCTTTGTAAAAGAAATGTCATTTGCACCGGACCTAGAAGGATGGGTAAAATTTACCTATGAAGTAATGAGATCACCTCTATGGGATGAGTAATTCAAAAGCACAGGATAATACAAAATATCTGGAATCATATCTACATATTTTTAAAGTAGATTTACTTTTCTGGAACTTCATTTTGTTGTTGTTATACCTTTTTAAAAATGATATTAAAATAATTTACATTCTGCGATCATCCACCAATAAAATATATCAAAGATTTTTGGGAATTACTTGAGGTGTCAGGAAGAAAACAGGCTGGATTCACGGTTTGACATACTATATACCAAATAGATAGTCTGCATGCAAATAATAGAAAATTAAATGCACCGGATTTTAGAAAAGTCTGAATTTCAAACTCTTAGAACATTGGACTTCCCTAATGAACTTCCAAGAAAATGTGCTCATGGTCTGCCAGGTGGCAGTCTCTGGAGTGCCAAAAGGATGGCTGCAAAAGGAAAAACACCATGTTCCTCTTGAAGATCTGATATATTCCCTGGGTATTATCTATAGATGAGAGATTGAGGAGTGCATGCATACTCAGTGTGTTCCTGCAGGTCCACACACACATTCCACTGATGGATACAGCAATGATTTTTTAAAAATGCCATTTTTGGGGGGCATTAATTTAAATATGCCCAAGAACAAAAGACTTCCCCTGCTGCTCATGGTTCCCTGCAAAGTATCTTGTACATCTTCTTTCATGAAGTGGAACCCATCTTTACTGAGTCCCTACCATCTACTAGTATTATATATATCCATGACAATGAGATAGGCATTATTATCTCCATTTTGCATATGGGGAAACTGAAATTCAGGCCATTCAATTGGTGTCAGAGCCAGAGTTTGAATCCATATTTTTCTGGCTCCCCTAAGCTTCCTTCTAAGTACCTTGACTCCTATTGAGCTAGTGGTCTTAAACCAAGACTCCTACTAAGCTAGTTGTCTAAAACCACAAATTGAGTAGCAGTCAGATACAGTACCTGGCATTCTGTCTGGACCCCTATCTGCTCACCACCCTGCCTTATTAAACAGTGATCATTAATCACCAATTACATGCCTAACATTGTTTCGGACTCCAGGACTATGTAGATGCATAAGATATAACTGTTTTAAAAAATCCTGTGATGTAGTAAGAAACTCATAGTTTTATGCTGGGTCTCTATGGTACCATTTTTTAAACTATATTTATATTTGAATCTACATAAGTAAACAATAATGGAATAATTCAAGTGACTAAAAGGGAAAAATACATTCAGAAAGAAATCCTTTAGGGAAAAGGGGTGGGAAAACCATATTCCAAATTTTTCTTCCCAGTAACTATTAGAAAACGTGACGCCCCTCATTTTATCCCGCCCTAACAGCCTTGCAGAAAAGAGCAGATGAAAACATGAATTAGGTAATCATTGGTATAGATTTAACCTTTCTGGATCTTGTTTTCCTTATGAGACTAATAATTTATACTCTAAGTCTATCTCAAAGTTGCTAATGAGGATCACATCAAACTCTCGATGATAGAAGCCATGTAGTACAAGCCTCTCATCTTACAAATGGGGAAACCAGTTCCAGAGAGGGAAAATGACTTGCTTCACCTGGCAGAGATAGTTAATGGCAGCTCTGGGATTAGAATCTATGGCTCTTTGCCAAGTTGGGGGTCCTCTTTCTTTACCAGACAGGGTGTAGGATCTGCCGGAGATTAAATATATGCACAGTGGCTCATGTCTCTAATCCCAGCACTTTGGGAAGATGAGGCAGGAGGATCACTTGAGCTCAGGAGTTGTAGACCATCCTGGGCAACATAACAAGACCCCCCACCCCATCTCTACAAATTAAAAAATTAGCCTGGCATGGTGGCGCACATCTATAATCCTAGTTACTTGGGAGGCTGAGATGGGAGGATTGCTTGAGCCTGGGAAGTTGAGGCTGCAGTGAACCATGACTGCACCACTGCACTCCAGCCTGGACAACAGAGTTAGACCCTATCTTTAAAATATTATATATAATTGTTTATATATTATATATATTTTATATTTTTATAAAATTATATCATATATAATATATGTACTAAATTATATTCATCATAGTTTACCTGTATAAAGATTTTTCACTGTTCTAAAAAGGAGATGTGCATGTTGGGTGTGGTGGCTCATGCCTGTAATTCTAGCACTTTGGGAGGCCGAGGTGGGCAGATCACTTGAGCCAAGGAGTTTGAGACCAGTCTGGACAACATGACGAAAATTGGTCCTAACAAAAAACACACATACAAAAAAAAAATCAACTGGGCATGGTGGTGCGCACCTATTGTAGTCCCAGCTACCAGGGAGGCTGAGGTGGGAGGATCATCTGAGCCCAAGGAGGTCGAGGCTGCAGTGAACTGTGACCACACCACTACACTACAGCCTGACAGAGTGAGGCCCTGTCTCAAAAAAAGAGGTTGGGGGGTTGTGCATATGTTTTCTCAATTTTGAGATTCTAAACCTCAGAGGGTCCCTATGAGGCAGCAAGGGGAGATACTATTATTCCCATTTGGAGGCCTTCGAAGAGCTTCACTACTTGGAATAAGTTTTCTGAAAAGCAATTTGGCAATAATTTAGTCTAAGGAATAATTAGGGATGCTCACAAAGATTTAGCTACAAATATTTTTATTGCTGCATTACCTACAATAGCCAAAAGATTTTAATTTGAAAATTTTCCAACAAGAAGGGATTGGTTAAATACATCATGGTATATGCATATATTGGAGTTCTACTCTAAAATTACATTGTAGTGAATAAAGATTACATGGAAGACTATTCTCAATTTAGTGAAAAATGCATAAATGAGCCTGTTTTTGTAAAACAAACAAACAAAATGCACAGGTGCACACAATAAGATGTTAGCTCTGGGTGGTAGGGTTATAGGTATTTTTCCTCTCTTTGATTAAGTGTACTTTCTAGTTTTTCTCCAAAGAAAGGGCATTGATTTTTAAATTAAGGAAAGGTTATTACTTTCCTTTTTTTTTTTTTTTGAGACAGAGTCTCACTCTGGTCACCCAGGATAGAGTGCAGTGGCATGATCACAGCTCACTGCAGCCTGGACCTCCTAAGCTCAAGTGATCCACCTCAGCCTCCCAGATAGCTGGGACTACAGGTGCATGCCAGCACACCTGACTAATTTTTTGTCTTTTTAGTAGAGATGGGGTTTCACCCTGTTGCCCAGGCTGGTCTTGACTGGGCTCAAGCAATCTGCCCGCCTCAGCCTCCCAAAGTATTGGGATTGCAGACGTGAGCCACCGCACCTGGCCTTATTTTTACTTTTAAAAAATGTATATATTCCTCTTGAAGGAACCATCACCTCATCTTCCTGATGGTCCATCTGTCAGCATGAACTTCAGTTAAAGTCCAGACAGGAGCTGTGCACTCAGGATGTACTGAAATGTGTAGGGTTTGTTTCCACTACATGGAACAGTCTCAGATCAGGGTGCTGTCTGAGTTCTCACAACTGCATCTTATAGCCTTTCTATCTACTATCTCAAAATCCGTTCTTCCGCCACCATCAATGTCACTCCTAACTTCTAACCCACAGCTTCTAATCTGCAGTGAGCCAAGAAAATTGATAATTAAAACTTAGAATAATTTATAAAAGAAAGGCATGTGAAAGTCATTGAGAAAGTATGTAGTACTATACAAATATATGATACAATGACCGTTATATGCCTTTTATATTTTTAATATGTGAATTTCTATTATTGTGCTTCAGTTTCCTCATCTGTGAAGTGGGTATATTATTAGTTCCTACCTCACATGGTTGTTGTGAAGATCAAGTAAGTTATTATTTGTAAGGGCATTTGGACCAGTATTTGGCACATATAAAATAGTGAGTGTCTGCTAAAGAACATACATTTAAAATATTAGGATAAAATAAAAGCACATGGGTTCTGAATCAGTGCTTGAGCGGCTTTTGTATGAGTAAAGTAAGTGCTTGAGCTTAACTGAATGGTCTATTTTCTTTTCTTGGAGACTTTGGTTTACTTTGTGGTTCTCGGGCATTTATACCAGGAGGTGCTACATGGTACACACACACACACACACACACACACACACACACACACTCAGGAGCACACGTGCCAGCACATCCACCATCTTCCCTCCTTTCTCTTTTCTCTCTTCCATGATCCCTGTCATAGTCAAAGATTCACAAAAGGAAGCAAGACAATTTAGGATACAATATCCTACTTAGAACATTTCTATAATGAAGCAAAAGGTCTCAACACAATAACAATTAAGATAATAATATATACTATATGGAGTATACTCCTATCTGAGCTAAGCACTTTACATATATTAATTCATTTAACTTCCACAACCATCATCTGAAGTAGGGACTACTGGGATTCCCATCTTGCGGATACAAAATGCAAGGCCTGGAGAAGCTAAATATCTTGCCCCAGATCACACAGACTGCTCACATTGACTCCCAATGCCATGCTGAAAAGGTATGTGTTTTCAAGTCATCTGATTTTTATGTGGGTGCCTGTAATTCTCTAGAAGGGGCACAGACAAGAATGAGTATTTATCGCTTGGCCTCACATTGGAAGCCTCTATTGATCCCAGTTAGACTTCCTCTCCCTTTCACATAGAGCACTGCCTATCCCAATTTGCTTAAAGAATCAATGGGGATATGGGAAACTTCTCCAGGGACTCCTGCTTAGAGCTCTGCACTAGAAGGGAACAGTCCTGTGTTTGAGTCCTGTCTCCTGATTCTTCATTGCTGGGTGAATGCAGTCATCAGATTTGAAGTCCTCAAGTGTCAAGCTCTTTGTATTCAAAGTAAAGACAATGACAGTTGAGCTTGTTTTGAGGGCCAAATGCACTAATGTTTGAGAAAGTATCTTATAAATCCTAATGAACATAGACAGGTAGGATGATTGTTTATTGATAAAAAAGTTCCCCTGAGATCCTCAGCTATAATCACATAGTAATCACCGACTCCACTTCCACAAAATGGCAGCCTTAGCTATGGCCCTGCCTGCAACTCAGGGAACCCTGAAGTAGGGCCACTTTAGGAGTGATGTTCCCAGGTTAAGATTCCACTAGGGTGCAGGTGAATTGCCCCCATATCTCAAAACACCTGGTCTGCGGAAAGGTGCTTGGATTGTAACGATATGAGTACATCAGGAAGAACTTCACTAAGTAGATTAAATTGATTAAATACTACTACACTACTCCTTTCATGAGAAGCCCCTTCATGGAGATAGTTACAAATAGACCAGGCCCTTCTACCTTGAATATTTTAGGAATTGACCTGACCAGAGGCAGATGTCAATGACCTTGAAGAGTCTTTCCTACTTGTGTCCTGCTAGGATATTGCAGCATTAGAGTTCTTTGCTCTGTGTTGCCAATAATCCTCATTTAGATACTCTGGGCTCCTCAGCCATTAGATCAGCTGTATTCACAATATGAAAGGCAACTCTTTAAGATTGTCTAATTTCTTTGCTGTATTTTCAAACACACATACTCCCAAAAGAACACATGCCCGCTTTTTATCTCAGAATGCAAGGAACTGTGGCACACAATTTCTCAGAAAAAGTCTGAAATTTTTACTTATAATGATAATAAATTATTTACGTTTATATAGCACTTTATATCCTCTGGTATACTCTGTTTTGTTAGATCTCAGAGTAGCTGCTGATACAGATAGGCAGTTATGGTTGATATTTTACAGAAGACAAAACAGAGACAAAGAGGTTGAGCAAGTTGCCTGAGACAACACAGCCTGTTTAGTAGCTGAGCTGATTCTTAATACAGGACTTTTTTTTTTTTTTTTTTTGAGATGGAGTTTTGCTCTTGTTGCCCAGGCTGGAGTGCAATGGCGTGATCTTGGCTCACCGCAACCTCCGCCTCCTGGGTTAAAGCGATTCTCCTGCCTCAGCCTCCCAAGTAGCTGGAGTTACAGTCATATGCCACCACACACGGCTAATTTTGTATTTTTAGTAGAGACGGGGTTTCTCCATGTTGGTCAGGCTGATCTCGAACTCCTGACCTCAGGCGATCCACCCACCTCGGCCTCCCAAAGCACTGGGATTACAGGCATGAGCCACTGCGCCCGGCCGATTCCAGAACTTTTTTCCGCCACTCAGAAAAAAATCCCCAGTCATTCCATGGACCACCTAAGACAGAAATGGGAAGGGAAGGGACAAAGAATTCCAGTCCAGTGCCCACATGGCTCTTTATCCTTCCAGTCCCCAGAAATCCCGGGGAATTATCTCTAGTTACCTAGACCTGCTTTTGCTGTAGCAAAACATTCTGCCCATTCTGACCACAGAAAGCCTGGCCAAGTATTACTCTTGCTACCTGGGAGTTTTCCATACATAGCAGCTCCCAACAACAAATCCTCATATCTTCTTGCAAAAAGGACGCTCTAACTCTAGGAAGCCTGTTACCACTCTGCCTTAAAACTCACAGAGTTAGCAGCCTGCTAAGGTTACAGAAGGGCAGTTGTAACTTGACTTGTAATAGATAGAAAATATAAAATTGTATCATTGTAGAGTATATAGTAACTACTAAGACATGATTGAAAAATTTGTCAATTTTAGGCAATTTTTAAATCACATTTAAGAGGTAGAAGGAAGGTCACATAACTATATTCAAAAACAGCAAGTTCAAGTTCTTATTGTGGTGTGAGCTAGTATGCATCCCAGATCCAAGGGACTTGTGTGGAATCACAGCATTAGACTAACTCATTAGAAGAATCCTGTACTTGATGCCAGTAATGAATTATGATGGAAACCTTAGCTTTAACTATTTTTCCCATTTTGTGTTTCAGTTTTTGACATCATTATTTTATTAACAACAGTAGCTGCCTTCAAATCACTTTTGTGGCCCTTAAAAAATAAAAGTACATTAAAAATCACAAAAACAAGCTAAAGCACACAATTTTCAGATAGGTCTACATTGACAAAATAAGAAAATTCCAACAATTAAATAAAATGAAACTTTCATCATATAAACCCACTAATGCTAGTGCAACATTGTCCTCCTTTATAAAATAAAGAATATCTAGCTTAACTGAAAATTATTTGCCCAGAAAACTTTGAGCATCACAAATTAAACAACTCTCAGCCAAAATAAATATCTAGTTATATACGATAAATTCTCAATCATTTGAAAGAAGAGAAATAAGAAATTATTGAATATTCATAATTATGTTTTATTTTTAAAGAATACATTTTGTTCAGGTACAGTGCATATTATAAGGTAAATATATCTGGGAATTAATAAGAAGAATGAACCATGTAGTTGAAATATTACAATCCAAAATAAGCCTATGTTACATAATGATGAATTTTAAACACAAAAGCTCCATTTCATTTATTTCAAATATTTCTCAAACAGCATCACAATTTTTAAATATTGGCCACAAAATTGTCAGGTTAGTACATCAGTAATATGTATTGTTCTGTATTAACAGATTATATCTACATTTTAAGCAGCAAATTTGGATTAAATTCTGATATAACTCTACCACTGAGCTAAGAATAAATATGGAAAAATACTGGTCTGATCCTTCAAAGGAATTTTTTATTAGAAACGAGATATTAAAATAAAGTTTTATGTAAACTTAATATAGCATAATTGGGGCACAGATTGTATGTGATCCAAGAACCAAAACCTCAATCAGCAAAAACCAAAAACAAAATAGAAACAAAAGAAGGTTTTATTTTTTAAGAGTGGCAGTGGAATTTCAAAATATAAATTAATAATTATTCCAAATTCATTTCTATAACCCATCACTTACAACATTTTTCTTCAAGTTAGCCAACAAATATGTGTGCTTTAGGAACCCCAGCACATACATGTCTCCTTCTGCATCAGTTCTTCTACTTAGAATGATTTTTTTCCAAATTAATGTAATTCCTTTATATTTTTGAGAAGAGAACAAAAAATGCAGAACCTCAACCAGGCAAAGTGCTTGGAAACCATACACAAAAAACAAATTACAACCTAAAGTTTTTTTTTAATAATGTGGTTAATAAAAATAAAATCACATTTATAGAGCACTTTTCATTCAAAAAGATTTCAAATTCACCAAACTAAGATTTGCTTCACTCATTACTGATGTATGTTCATGCCTGCAGAGAAAATATGGAATCTGATTAACAGCAAAAGTGCACTTCAGATATTACTGTCCTCTGAACCAAGAAATAAAAAATAAAAAATAAAGTCTCAGGAGAAAATATTAAATGGAGTCAATATGCAGTGGTACCTCCTTAAATTCACTCAACTAGTATTCTGCCAGTCTTGATGTGTGCAACTATTCTGCAACATTTTTCCAGTGTTGGAGCTGGAAAATGGAGCACAATCTCACATCCAGCCTCCCTGTGCCTGGAAAATAGCTTCCTGGAGGCTTTGATGATGAGAATCTTGTCTTTGAAATGAAACAAGCTCTCCAGGATTGCATCGTAACCCTGACCTTTCACACTAGTATTGAGCCTAAAGCCTAGGCCAGAGAGGAAATGATCACTTCTGCTTGACAGGGGGACACTCAGGCCCAGATTCAAACTTCTACCTCAATCCATGTTCCTGTGCTGTTTCCCATCCTCCTCTTGGTGCATAAATCCACAATTACAACAACTAAGATGATACAGCTGGATTACATACATTAATTCAAATAGCCTAGAGCTATTCCTCTTTTCCAGGCCTCGCCTATTGCCCTTAAATAGCATAAATCCCTTTCAAAATAAAAATATCTGAGGCCTGTTATTTATTTACCTGCTTATTTATTCAACAAAAATGTACTGAGTGCTGTTATGTGGCAGGAGCTGCTACAGGCAGTGAGGATATAGCAGTGGGGGGTAAAAAGGACCCCAAATTCCTGCTCTCATGGAGTTTACATTCTTACTCAAATTATTGTCTCCCAAGACTACACTGAGAACACTCCACAAATTAATGAGTTGTACAAAAGGACCAAATTTGTGTGCATACATTATTGGTACAATAGATTCACACTGTACCTTGATTCTAAAAGGTTCTTGTGTTTTTAAAGACATTACCTCCCACTCCCAAGCTGTTATTTCACAGAAGTGAAAATGGGGAACGTGGGGTGGGGTAGAAACTTTGTATTTATACATACTTGCATTATTTAACTGGTTACAATGAACATGTATTGATTTTATAACTAAATATAATTCCATAAAAAATTTTAAACTGTAGATCGGCTCCTCAATATTCCTGAGAGACTGAAGCAAGACAGATGGAAGTGAATGAACCCAGAGAAAGATCCAGAGTCAAGAGGGAAGAATAGCATTGCCTCATGGAAACTCCTTCCCCAAAACCTAGTGAAATAACAGCAAAGTTCACCAGCAGCCACTGACAAGGACAGGGGCATGGCCAAAGCTGTAAGCTCAAAAAGGGGCAGCTGACAAAAGAAATCCATTTTGGGGTGGGGCTGGGCAGCAGAATGGCAAGGTTCCCATCTGCTCCCTGACTCTTCAAAAGCTCTGGTGATAAGTCAAGCCAATCCTGAGAATTCTCACTGAACATTCTAAACCTGGTGAGAAGCAAACTGAGAGGATCTCTTAGTGTTTTTCTTCTTCACTGGGAAGCAGTGGAAATAACTGAACAGCTGCTTGAAAGAAACAGAGGAAGTATTCAAAGAAGCTGACTCTGGCAGAAGTGGAGACGCCAGCATCATGTCCTGAATGGGACATGAATCTGAAGCCAGAGGGTGTCTGTCCATCAAAAGGAGATTACCCCACCCAAACCAGACAGTGTGAACTCTGCTACAAAAGGAGAACTGAGCCTAAGCTGTCTAACAGACTGCCCTTGCTCTCAGGTGAGTCCTTCTTTTCCCTTTGCCCTCAGGCTACTTTAAAAAAAAAAAAAAAAAAAGCTCTTTAACTGTAGACCCCAAGGAAAAAACCAAATGATACTGTGAAATGGGAGTCAAGACATCACTAACACCATAAAAGTAAATAGAAAACATACTATGGATAGGACTACTAAAGCGTGATCAAGAAAAAAGAAATGGAATGACACCAATGCAAGTATATACAAGACACACACACACACACAAACGCAGCATGCAAAAGACACAGAAACAACCACCCTATAAAATATTCAAGAAACCGAAGAAAAAATTTTCACATGTGCCTTTAGCAAGAAAATAGCCTAATAAGAACATGAGTTCATAAGATGATATAACAACAGAATGAGATGAAAAAATAAATAGCAGCTTGCAGCTCTAAGGAAACAAATGGATGCCAGAATGTCATTAAAAATAAATAAATAAAGATAAATAAATAAAAAATAAAAATAAAAAAAGGACAGAATACACACAGTAAAATAAATTACAGTTATAGAATAAAGGATTGAAAAAAATATATGTATATGGAAAGGACTTAAATCAGGGAGAAGCCAATAGACCTGGGGGATAAAGTGATCAATAATAATAACAACCGGTATCTTTAAAGCAGAAAACTCAACACATAAAGTGAAAAAATATTAAAAGAACTAACACAAGAAAATTTTCCTAAAACAACAGCAACCTCTTAAATAGTCCTTATTACGTGCCATACACTGTTCTATGCAATTTACATATATTATATTAACGCAAATCATTCCAATAACTCTATGAGGTACATATTATAATTATTTATATTTTACATATAAATAAATTGAGGCATAAAGAGGTTAAGTAACTTGCTAAGATCTTACAGTTAATACTATTAAGCCAGGTAGAACTGAATCTGCCTATTGAAAAGTGCACCTTGGATTCTAGAAATACTGAACGTAAAGCTCATACACCAAAATATAATGTCAGAGATAAAGAAAAAAACTTTTCAGACTTAGTCAGAAAATGTAAATAATCTACAAAGGAAAATAATCACGCTGACAGCCTTTTCCACATGCTGGCAGCCTTCTCCGCAACATTCAACACCATGAATACAATGGATAAATAACTACAGAAATGAAGAGTGAAACAAGAATAGGATCCCTATTTTTAAAAAAGGCAGCATATATAAAATAATTCAATGAAACAGTACCAATGGGCTGTTTCAGGAAAAAAAAAAAGTGTTTACAATGAAATCCAGTCAATGAAACAATACATCTAAATAAAGAACTCAAGAATGAAGAAGATGTGGTAAAAGAATACAAGTAAAAGGAATGAATGCTAGACAATAGCTATAAAATATGGCCATATAAAAATAGAAATAATACAAAATTTGACAATGCACAAATAAAAATAATACAACTAAATATCAATAACAAAATAATGTGATGTAACAGTAAAAAATCAAAATGAGGGAAATGGAGGTGGGAAGAGAAAAAAGAGTATTGAGTTCTCAACTTGCATAGCTGGAAATAAATCAGTACTGCCGAACACTGAATAACCCAGGGTAAAGGATAATGACTACAACCTGTTCAGGTATTTCATAATCCCTTCTTAACATTAGAAGGGATATTTTAAGAAATTATATCTTCAATAAAAAAGAAATGTTTATTTGAGGTTTAATAATTCCTCCAATCCCTTTTCTTCTTTCAATTTAAGTGAAATTAAATGTAATAATTTTGTTTAAAAATAGCAGGTAGAGTATGATCCATTTTGAATAAAAGTAATAATATCTGAGTGTCTATATCCATCTATCCATTGTTCTGTCTGTGCCTAGGAAATTGTTAAAATCATAAACTATTTTTAAAAGCATAAACTATCTTTAAAAGTGAAAACAAGGAAGTGATTTTTATATAAATAAAGAAATAACCTTTTGACACATACAGGGGAAAAGCAGACACTGGAGACTACCAGAGGCAGGAGGGCAGAAGGAGGGAGAGGATCAGGAAAAATAACTAATGGGTACTAGGCTTATTTCCTGTGTGACAAAATAGTTTGTACAAAAAGCCCCCATGACACAAGTTTACCCATGTAACAAACCTGCACATGTACCCCTGAATTTAAAATAAAAACTAAAAAAGAAGAAATAAAGAATCATGGATTTGGGGAGAAGGGTGTGACCTTCAAAATCTCCTTATAGATGGTAATGAGAGAGAAAGAGAGAGATTAAGTCCTAAGGGTCGCATAGGCTATGGTGATCTGAGCTAATGTTCACTCCAGGCATTCTGATTTCCTATTAGGAATTCAAGCAGTGCAGAAGAGCATAAAAGAACGTTAGGAAAAAAATCACACCGAGTCCTGCCATCTAGAAATAACCATCATTACCATTAGGTGAACATCGTTCCAGAAACTTTTTATCTAGGTATAAGAATTAGTGGATAGATGGATAGATCGTTGAGCAGATAGCAATAATATTATAAAACGGAAGGAGAGTATATGTCTTATTTACTAACAGACAGATTCTATTTAACTCCTCAACTATGATATTGTCCAAAGTGATGTAAGAAATCGGTGGCAGAGTTGGCAACCAAACTCAGATTTTTAAATGTCTGGTTTAGGGTCCATATCCTAAAGGATACTTGCTTCTCTGACATACACACACCATTGGGCAGATGTGATGTGCAGATGTGGTATGACAGTGCCACCCCCACACAGGTACATATATGGCTGGCTTGCCTGGTGATCCTGTCTCATCCTGAGGTCTGACTGAGTCTTGTCTGCACCCGCATACCCCACTCTGACGTGGAAGGCACTGCACAGGCACATCAGAGCAGAGACCGGAGATGGATGAATGAGAAAAGTTTCAGAAGGCAGGGCAGTTGGAACCAAGAGGATTAAGAGAGGAAGAGGGCTTAGGGACAATGATGGGAATCCTAGGGGGCAGAAGGGGAAAAGTGACAGGCACAGAGCACAAGAAAACAAAGCAGGAAGAGAAGAGAGCTGCAGGATGTACAGAGTAAAATAAGGGTCTGGTTCCCACTCTGAGGCCCACAAAAAGATACTTTCCTATGGGCACATACTCGCGTGGACAGAAATGGGGATGCAAGAAGAGCGAATCAGCTTCACCGAGATCGAGTTTGGCAGGAAAAAAAAATACCCCAGCTCAAGAAACGGATTCACTAATAAAAGTGGGTCAAGAACAAGATTAAAAATCAGCTCTTTTCAGAGAGACCCGCATCTAACACACCTGGGGCAAGATGATACATAAACAGACACTTAACGGGTGCAGGATTCACTTGGGAAGAAGGGGTAGTATCTTCTCTGGGGAAGCAGTTGCAAAGAATCACAAGTGACCCAGGAAACCAGACACATAAAACACGTAACTCTGGGTGTCTGGAGGCCATTCTTTCACCCAAGCCATGAGCCTTTTCCACCCTAGGATGCACAATAACCTGGCTGCATTTTGGAGGGCACTGACCAGTACTTGGTACCCAGAGTTCTAGAGGGAACTGAGTAGATCACTCCTGGTCATATGAATGGTGTCATCATACTTGAATTTCTATCAAGCACTGTCACAACTCTCTTGACTCCCCTTGAAGTGATACAAAAAAGAAAAGCAGGAGGGGGCTGGGCGCGGTGGCTGATGCCTGTAATCCCAGCACTTTGGGAGGCCAAGGTGGGCAGATCACTTGAAGTCAGGAGTTCAAGACCAGCCTGGCCAACATAGTGAAACCCCGTCTCTACTAAAAATACAAAAATTAGCTGGTTGTGGTGGCACGTGCCTGTAGTTCCAGCTCCTCGGGAGGCTGAGGCAGGAACCTGGGAGGTGGAGGTTGCAGCGAGCCAAGATCGCACCACTGCACTACAGCCCGGGTGACAGAGCGAGACTTCGTTTCAAAACAAAAAACAACAAAACAAAACAAACCAAACAAACGAAAAAGCAGGAGGTCTTTCTTAATGACCATGACTAGTCAGAGCCACTTGCCAGCCCCATTTCCATTTTTCTTGCTCTTCCAAACCACTCTAATATTATCACCAGAGAGCAACTCCCTCAGTCTAAAACCTTCGGTGGCTCTCCTGTGCCTTCAAAAATTAGTCCAAAGTCCTTCGTTCAGCATTCAACTTCCTCTACAATCTGGCACCTAACTACCTTTGTGGCTTCCTTTTCCTCCTTATCCTTCCCATTTATCCAATGTTCCAATCACAATATATTCACCAACATTTCCAGAATATACCATGCACCCACCACTCCAGACCTTTACTGTGGCATTCTCATAGCCAGACATACCCTTAATTCATGATCTTTCTATCAAAATCCTACTCATCTTACAAGGCATGGTTCACATGCTCCTGACCCACTGACCACCCATGGGAATGAAGCATTCCTTCCTTTCAGTGCCACAGCACTCTGTTTTGACCTCTAGTTAGCACTTAATTCATTTTGCCTGGAATTCAGTGCTGTTTAAATCTGTCTTGACTTAAATCTGTCCTAATAGGTGGTAAGTGAATGAATGTTTATTGAACATCTACTGTAGGTGCCAGGCACTTCCACAGATATCATCTAATTTATCCTGTGTTGCTAATATGTGGCAAAGTGTTCACACATTTCAGGCGTTCATAAATGTTTGTTGTGTTATTCCACGAAGAGGAGAGAGACTGATGTCTGAACTTCTTCAGACGAGCAGTCACTAAGCTATGTCTCCTTTGGGGGACTTGATGAAAGAAATGAAAAAATGAGTCAGACTAATCAGCCCAGTTGGACAGCATGAGAAAAGGGTGACAGATATTTCGTCTTTCATAAGTCTGTCTCAGAAAAACCCTAAGTGGGGCATGGTGGCTCAGGCCTGTAATCCCAGCACTTTGAGAAGTCAAGGCAGGAGGATCGCTTGAGTTCAGGAGTTTGAGACCAGCCTGGGCAATAGCGATACCTTGTTTCTATAAATAACTAAAGAAAAAAAAATTAGCCAGGTATCATGGTGCATGTCTGTAGTCCCAGACACTGAGGAGGCTGAGGTGGGAGGATCACTTGAGCCCAGGAGATAGAGGCTGCAGTAAGCTGTGATCACACCACTGCACTCCAGCCTGGGCAACAGAGCGAGACCCTGTCTCAAAAGCAAAAGAGAATAACAAAAAAGAAGAAAAAAGAAAAAGGAAAATGCCCTAGCCAGAAAAGCACACCATCTTTTTTTTTCTGTTTGTTTTTCTTTACTCTACCCAGGAACTCAATACCCATCTCTGGAGTGAGGTCTCATCAGGGTGAACAGTTCTAACCCCAGACCAGCCACTAAATCACAGTTCTCTCCAAATTTTAGGCAAGATGGTGCCTCTCATGCTGCCTCAGTTTTCCTTATGTAAAACGGGGGGTTTGAGGCTGGTAGCAGTGGCTCACTCCTGTAATGCTGGGACTTTGGGAAGCTAAGGTGAGAGGATTGCCTGAGGCCAGGAGTTTCAGACCAGCCTGGCCAGCATAGTGAGACCTTTCCCCTATAAAAAACAAATCAAAACAACACAAAACAAAGAATGGGGAGTTTGGGCTGGATGGTCTTGAGGGTCCCTATCAGTGCTATCAAAATCCTAAGATTCTATGTTGAATGAGTGCAATCAAAATGACTTGAGAATGAACTCATTCTTCAGGCCAACTTGCAAACACCAAAACATGGAAGATAATGTAAACATGGCAATAGGACAGTAAATCTCTCCTCTCTTTCTCTCTCTCTCTCGCTCTGTGTGTGTATGTGTGTTCTGTGAATGTTTTCATGTACAATGGGGAGAGAGGTGGAAAGCTGTCAATCCATGAGCGTATATGTTCAAGAATTATTTTTCGTTTATTCAGATAAATACATAAATAGTAAAACCATTGCCTGGTTACTCCCCACCGGGGATTACCATTTTTTTTTGTTGGTGTTAATAAGAAATTAACAAAGGTTAATTTTAAATACATTAATCTTACAGCTGAAGATCACTTGAAAAATCCACAGACCTATAGAATCTAATGAGTAACATTAACAAGTACACTCTCTTCATTTACATCTAACACTGACTAGTCGTCCAGAGGATATTCTGTTGGATAAATAAATGAATAAATCAACAGTGTTGCATCAACTTCTGCAGGGGAGAGGGTGTGCATGTAACAGCTGATTTTACTCAGATAATCACTGAAAGTATATCACTTACCAGCTGATCTGAATTCAACTATTGTTTTCAAAACTATCTGTTAGACTGGGCTAAACCCTTTCCCAGACAGATTTAGGTGAAAAGATGCAACATATATACAAGACACATGCATATAAACATTTGCAACATAAACTCCACTTAAGACAGCTCCATGAAAATCCAAGAACCTTCAGCTTGAGGTCGGCGGAGCCTACCTCAGATCTGAAGGATACATGGAGCCCTTTGACTCTTCTGCTGTTATAGAAAACCAAGAATAAACAGGGGCTTCGGTGCTGCTAGTGTCAGGGTCAGTCTCACACCTTTATTTATAGTTAATATTTGTGCAGTTCAGATATTTGAAAATTTGTGCAGTTGTGGTATTTCACCAAGACCGTTTTACCCAAGGCCACATAATAATGGGCCTCAAATGTAGAAATACCACAGTGGTCCCAATAAAAAGGCTCTGACTACACAGGGATTATAAGTTTGCTACAAGTAAAAGGTGTTTGCTCTGCAGGAAAAAGAAATGTTTAAATAAGAAAAAGGAAAAAGAAAGAAGACAAAAAAAATCTTTTTTTGGTTGGGTACATTTTGGCAGGGTGGGGGCAAGGGAATGTGACATTCTGAAGGAAAGAAAACATCCAGAAAGAAAAAGAAAATGAAAAACAAACGACTAATGCACTCCACAGGGTAAAACGCATTTTTAATGCAAACACAGGAGGAGCATGAGAGCTCTTCAGAAATAAGAGACCAGCCAGGTAGTCAGATCATTAGCTCTTAGAAAGCCAAACTTAGCAGCCAGTCTACAAGGAGCAGCACAGCTTTGAGATCAATGTTGTTATAGCAATACAATTTTTAAAAGGAAGGAAAAAAAAAAAAGAGAAAAGAAAACCAAATCAGTTCATAAAATTTTGAGCAAAAAATTTAATAGAATATTTTAAAATTTTAATTTCCTCATAAAATATATAGTATTCTTTTAGGGTACTTTTTTTTCTATATTGAATGCTTTTCCTGAAATCAAATATGTATTTTCTATTTGCTGAGAATTTTCCCTAAAAGAATCTTTCCCTCCAAATCTGTATATTTTCAAATAGATTCAACCTTCTTATTTGTTTTTGCAGAAATTGCTATAATTTTTTTTCCTGAAAGAAGATCCTTCCCCAAAGTTGTATACTTCATTCAGGACATTTTTAAATGATTACTACTATTTCAAGGATTTTGTAACTATGGAGTAATTAAGATTTTAAAAAGTTAACTATCGTTATGACTCAGAAAATCCTTAATCCAATTATTAGGGTGAAGGATGCATTGACCGTTTCCCCTTTCAATCTTGTTCCTAGTCTGGAAAAAAATAAATATTTTTCAGAGAGTATTAATTTCTATATTTATCCAAATATGGTGGCAAATTTAACAGCAGTGAATTTTTAAATAAGCTTGATATTGATTAGAAATATTTCCTATGTATACATTTTGGGTTTATGCATGTGTTTTTCTGCAAGAAGAGAGTGGCACAGAAATTCATGTGATATTTATACTATATGTTTTAAACTTAGGTCAAACAGTCCTCTAAATTTACTTTCCCATAGTCAGATTTTTTCTTTCCTTTTTCTTTTTATATTTTAATTATTTTTCCTTTAATTGTCCTGGATTTTTTTTCTTTGTTGCTCACTAGCAATACCTTTTAATCACAAAATCATCAGTAAATAATGATGGTTACAGTAACATTAAAGGTTATAATTATATTTCTTACTGCTTTTCTTCTAAAGCTCTCAAGGAAGTTTACGAAGATAAAGTCAGTTCTTTCTCTTTTCACAGGATTTAGAAGCTTGAGAATTGCATTGTTTTTATGTGATACTGATGCTAAACCATTTTAGTTGGGATTTCCCTATACTTAAGGCTGGAGATGAAAATTTTATTTAAAGATATTTTGATTTAGCATTGTCAGACACAGATAACTGCACAGTTCCATAATCAATCTTTTTAAGGAGGCAAAAAAAAGTTCTGAGATTTAGTTCAGATTTGACGGTAACCTATTTTTGATTAAAAGACTATTCCATGTCAAAAAATATTGTCAATATTTAGTTTATTTATGTGGCAGATAGACTCCACTTTGATTTGAAATGAAACTTGGAGGAAATCATATCTTCTAACGCCCTGGTCAGCCTGAGCCACATGAGACCGTTCTAACATTAGGGTAGCTTCAGATACAAATGGCTTTACCTTCCAGGTGAGAAAGATGGCCTAGGGTCTTTGCTTGTGAGTATATGTGCATGTGCACATGTGTGTGCAAATATGTAAACAAAAGAAAGACCATGAAATTAACAGCATGTAGACAAATATTGAGCATACAATTTCGGCATTTTCATGACATCACTAAGCTAAGATGTTGGAATAAGCTCCCTATGTCTCTCTGTACCCTGTCCTCTCCAAGTTACTTCCTAGCTGGTAACATACTTCTCCCTCAACCAGTGAGGATCTTTTGAGAACACAGCCTCTCTCCTCTCTTCTCAGTAAATGTATCTTAGCCTCTAAGAGTGTGTGAGATCAAAAAAGGATCCTGACCCCCTTTAAGAGAAAGAAAAATTAGCAAGCATCAACTTCCCTTCCAGACTACCAGAAAACCTCCATTAAAAAAAAATGGCTCTATAAGCCATATTTTACCCATAAATTTGCATATTAACAGTCAACAGGAAGGATGGAAAAAGACCCGTGTATTCAAAAAGACTATACCCAGGTTGTGCCTGTCTGCTCAGAAAAATGGCAGGGAAAAGGATGTATGCAATAGTACAGTGAATTTCATTCTTGTAATCACTTCATGTCTCAGCTTCTTTTCCATGCTCACATAATATATTTAAACACACCAGGTGGGTGGTCACAATGCAAGGTATGAGAAACAATGAAGTATTTGAAAAAATATTCAGTGAAATTTTTGGAAAAAATTAATTTGGAGTAATTCTGGGACTCAGGTTTTTATACTGTCTTTTTTTAATATTTGATGATGTGAATTTGAATTACTTCTGAAAATTTCCATAAACTTTATTAATTCTCAAGTAAATGTCAGAATCTACTACTTTAATTTATTATAGGCCTTCCTGCATTAAAAAAACACACACACAAAATTTTGCCAAAAAGCAAAGCAGTAAATAAATAACAGTCACTATTTAATGTCATGTATAATCCCTTCATAAGTATAAATATTATAAATAAAACAACCTGTTTTGATGTGTTATATTAAGATCTATAAATTTTATAACCTATGAGCACATACAGAAAAAAAATTTGAGATGAAATCAACCTAGTGTTAAAACATAAACTATTAAAAATAAAATTAGTTTAAAAATGCTCTCAGTTTAAAATTGTATCTGGAAAAATATTTTAACTGAAAACTATATTTCTAACAAAAAATATTAACTCAAAAATATTCTTATTTTCAAATTAAGGAATGAATTTATGAATAGCAGAAGAAAGTGGTGCACTGCCCCCAAATAAACATATTAATGAATTATCATAAAACTCCCTATGGAAAGTTACATTTTCTTTGTGTCATATGAAAAGTTAATGTTTTATAGTCATAAATAAAATACCTTCTTAGATATTTTAGCTCTAATTAAATGATGATCTTTACTGGGATAAATTATCTTTAGTGTTTACAAGTTAACTATACAGAAAACAAATACAAAAAAAAAGAAACACAAAATTTCATTTTAAATCTCAGATTAGCTGAGAGGTAGTTCACAAAGAAACAAGATTTTAAATTATAAAATGAAAATAAAACTATATAGTTTATTTTAACAGGTTTTCCTTCTTTTAAAAAGATTTTCCTTTCAGAATTCTAAAGCATCACTAAAAAATAAACTCAAAAGCTAATAGCTAATCCTCAAAAAAGCAATAAGCTTGCATTTGTATTTTTAAAATCTCATTTGTTTGTTATTTAAAGTGATAGCCACTGTTTTCATGATTGCTTCATGTTTAAATGCAGAGATTTCTTGTGTAAAACTATGTAAGACAGGTTTTTTCAAGAGAAACTTCCTAAAGGATAACTTTGAGAGGAAAATATCTACGATTTAGAGAGTTTTACAAGCCTGCAAATATCTGAAAACACTAGATTAGACATCTATTTATATTATGGCCTAAAATGTTTGCTTAAATGTTTGTTTTATAAACAACACTGAGCAAATTTTAATTCAGTATACTATCAATAAAAATGTATTTCTTTAATATTTGTATTATAAATGACAGTTTCTGTGCTTCATTACCTATTTATTAAAAACATTTTTTAATTAGGCATAAGAGAATTCACTGGGGGGAAACTTTTCCTCTTTTATTTAAATATTATTTCATTTAAATGTGGTGTTGAGGTTCAGAGCTGGTAGAAATCTGAAAGATAAAGTTTGGAGGGCTATATCTAATTCACTCTTGGTTTTAAATTACTTGATAAGCTACTGACCCTTAATTAGCTGAAAAGTACAGAATTTTCCTGATAATTTCATTTAGGTTCATAGAACACCCACCTGTAGCAAGCATGTTTTCTGTCCTCTTTTTCTTATGCTTTGCCCAGTGCTCTTGGCCACAGATTTAAAAAAAAAAAAAAAAAAAAAAGTCGAGCTGGGTGCAGTGGCCTGTAATCCCAGCACTTTGGGAGGCTGAGGTGGGCAGATCACAAGGTCAGGAGATTGAGACCATCCTGGCTAACACGGTGAAACCTCGTCTCTACTAAAAATACAAAAAATTAGCCGGACATGGTGGCATGTACCTGTAGTCCCAGCTACTCAGGAGGCTAAGGCTAAGGCAGGAGAATTGCTTGAACCTGGGAGGCAGAGGTTGCAGTGACCCAAGATCGCAGCTCTCCGGCTTGGGTGACAGAGTAAGACTCTGTCTCAAAAAAAAAAAAAAAAAAAAATCACTCACTCCACTACAAAATAAATGGTAAAACTATTTCTTGTCTTGATTTTTTTTTTTTTTTTTTTTTGCTAAACTTAAAATCTGGGCCTTAAAGATGAGTTGACCCTGGGGATCATGGTTCCCCTACTGGTTAATGCCAGTTGAGGTATTAAAATTTTAAGGTGCAATGTCATTGCAATTTAACTGACCCAGAGTCTACTACTTAGAAGCCAGGAACCCTTGAGCGAGTTCCCCTTATGCGGTCATCATTGATTCAGCTCCAGACTCAGCCCCAGCCCAATTCACAACATCTGGAAAATCTTGGTAAGATTGGGACACTTGTGAAATTCCAAGAGTTTATTTAGACTCTTCTCTTATCTCATGACTCCTAGTCATTTTACATTCACTTTTCTCCTTCCTTATTCAAGGTTCAACTCCTCCAGCAACTCCTGGACTATATTTAGACCTGGATCTGCAGGAACTTGTCTAAATAATAATAACAGTTCATCTCACTTGAGTACATACTACATGCCTGATGCACTGGAATGTGTATTTACTGACAGCTCATTTCATCTTCCTAACGATCTTATGAAACAGATACTTTTAATATCCCCACTTTACAGATGAGGAAACTGGCTCAGAGTTGCTGAAGGGCGTGCAGCTGATAACTTGCTCAAGGGCATGCAGCTAATAAGGGCAGGACTAGGCAAAAAACCTAAATCTCACTGGTCTTCAAAACCCATTGTTCTTGACCAACAGGTTTCACTGCTTCCTTCCAATGCTGCCTTCATCATTCTTGCCTTAAACAGCTAAAAGGACAGATAGCAAGACCACTTTCTAGGCCACGTTTGACATATCCCTGAACCGTTTATTATAATTATTTTTAAAACGACAGAAAAAAGGAAAAGTCACCAAGTGGAAGCAATGCATAGACTGTGGGTTTAAATGTGGGAAAGTGGAAATGTAGAAAGGTACATGGGGAAGGCTCCAATTTCTATGAAAACTGAATAAAATAAATAAATAATAAACAAAAACAAAAATATTTTTTCCTTCTCTTTGGAATGGCCTCAGATGTGTTCAACAGGTTCAGGGGACAATTGGTGGCCCTGGTGTTTTCTCCTGGCATTACCCAGAAAATGTAGGGACCATATCACATTCTTCCTATAATCAGCCCTGCAGTTTGCAGCCAAGGCTTAAAAAGAAATGCCTGATAGGACAAGTTCAGTGGATCAAAAGGAGGAGAACAAAGATTTTGAGGCAGGAGTGTTTTAGGAGGAGACAAAAAGATTTATAAGATGTTAAAAGTAAAGTCAGAAGAAGGAAAGAATGAAGATTAAATATGCGGGAAAAGGAAAAAGAAAACATTATTTACGATAGCAAATAGTGTTACATATTCTTGCCCTTCTATTTTTCCTTATTTTTTTCCTTGGTGGAAATTGCCTAAACATTGAAAATTTAGGACTGGATATATGCTGAAAATAAAAGTATCCTAGGTGAATTGCTTTTTCTCCCCATCAAAATAATAATAATAATAATAATAATAATAAAGGCAAAAAGAGTGATTTGCAAAAACAATTGTAATTAAATTCAATTGATTTTAAAAGGGACGTGAAAGCAAGGAATTAAAAGGAGAATGAAACAAGAAAGAGATAATCTTCATGTAGGGACACATAAAGTAGAGAAAAAGATTTTTCTATCAACCCTTCTGATTTGCTCCCAGAGGGTAATCCTGGGCACTGGCAGGCCATGGAACAAATGGACAGATGCTTCCAGAAAAGATTATCTTTTATCTGTCACTCTAGGAATAGCTCTGGTCCTATAGCTGCTTATGCTATGATTTAAGCCTTGTATGACATTGCTATGTGTGTCAGACAGGAAAGAGAACACTATAATAATAATAATAATAATAATAATAGCTAATAATAATAATAGCTAACATTTTTTGAACACTGACTAGGCTCTTTACACATGCATAATCTCATTTAATCCTCACCAAAGCCTTATGGTGAAGGGTGTTATCATTATCCCCATTTTACAGATGAAGAAATCGAGAAGATAAAAAGTTTATATTTAGATGGATTTTCCTATACTTTAGCCTCAGCAGCAACAACTTGCTGCTTTCTTGCTTAAGCAGAAATTCACACACTTCATCCTGTCCTCCCACAATCTAACACAAAGACTTTACAAGTTCAGATTCCTACCTGGCTCTTTCAAAGATGGATCACTTCACTTCCAGGGTCCTCTCCTAGCAGTGACTTCCACTGGCTGTTCACCTGGGAGTGCTAAATAAGAGCATCTAACTCCCCACCTAAAGTCCAGTTTTTTTAGTAGCTGATCAGTTCTAAAATCAGTAAATGCCCCTTTGCCCTAAATGAAAAAGTTCTGGCCTTCCTCATTGCAAGTAAGAATTCTGAAGATGCTGAAAGCAGGGAAGAAAAATGCTCAGAAAGACTCAGAACTGGGGTGAAACCTTTGCACACAGACCTATCCATGTCTGTTTTGAGCCTTTCAGCCTCCCAATTTCTCCTTCACTAAAGATCTCAACAGAACTACCTGCTATAAAGCCCCTTGCTGTGCTACATGGAAGCAGCCAGTCTACCAACCCAACAGGGCCAGAAGTGGACTGGTCTTTCCTTCTCAATGAATCCCTGACCTGTCCAGCTATGATTGTGCCTGGTAGTCAAAAGCACCAGAGGAAATCCGTCTTTGCTGTGAGCCCTGGCATTGTGATCTTATACTGTCCAGCTCCAACACAAACCTCCCTTCCCTCCATGGAACCATCGACTTTACCAAGAATACTTAGCCTAAAAGATAGATTGACTCTTTGAAATTCTGCAGGACCAGGCTGAGATTAGTCATCAAAACTTCTCATCTGTTTCTGTCCTCAGCTCCACGTCTGCCTTGCCTCTCAGTTACGAGCTGCTGTTCAGCATTTATTCTAGCCACTTGCAGTATTAACTAAGTTCCAAATATTTATTCTCCAAAAATGGAGGACCAAAATCACAATAAAAATGCAACAAAGTGCTAATGGGGGAAAAAAAAGAACAACTAAAAACCAAGATTTGACCATGCAACCTAAGCTCAAACCTTCATATTGTAAAATGTAGGCCTTAGAGACTCAATGAAAAAAATTTTAACTTGGGGTCTATGGAACCTAGGGATGTCCTGAGCTCCCTGAAATTGTATATAAAATGCCTGGTTTTTTTTTTCCTTTTTGCTGGGGACAAGGTCCATAGCTTTAAACAGATTATCAAAGGAAGAATAATTTATTTATATCTCCAATGTCTAGAATAAGGCCTGATACATAGTGCAGAAACTCAATAAACATTTGTTGAACGAATGCATGAATGGAAGGGGTCTGACCTCCAAAGCACTTAATTTTATAGATGGAGATATTGAGGCCTAGAGAGGATACTATTGCTTCTTTAAGTTCATAAATGTGAGTAGTTGGGACTAGATAGAATTTGCTCTTTTAATTCTTTCCACCGCTTGTCAGCTTTGTTTTGCTTTTTAACCTATTTGTATCTTTCACCCCATCTCATTTTTCTTCCTCCCAATCTGTTGCTTTTTAAGCAGAGAAATGAATCTTATTTCCTATTTAGAAGTTGTCAGAAAGTGTATCTCTGAAATGGGAGGTGGGGGGAGCAAAGAGCAGGGAGAGACTGTGAAAAAGGCCACCAGAATAATTTATTTGTGATAGCATGCACAGCATGACTACTATTCCCATGTTCTGAAGACATGATTAATATGGCCTCGAAGTGGCTGATATTGGTAGAAATATGTAAAGCTGAAATAGTGGAGTTCAATCCAGGGTTTGGCAGTAAATCATGAGCTTAAAACTGACCAGGCCAAGCAGCTGTCCTACAAGCAGGTGATCTGCAGCATTCTAAAAAAATATCTTGGGGACAAGGATCAAACAGATCTTTACTGGGTTTGAAACCTCCTTATGAGGGCCTTCTTGCTTATAAAGGAGATCCTGGGTTTAACTACCCTCTTAACAGCTCTCAGTCAAGCCCCACAGGACAAGAAGGATGAGAATCAACTGCCACCCAGAGGAGAGAAATAAAAGACAGGGACCCATGCCTTACGGAACTGCTTCATGCTAGCAAATGTTTTGAAAGACACCAATACTAGGATTCTATGACACAGCAACTTTCTTGTGCTGATGACTTCCTCTGCAGACCAAGGTAACATGGAGGCTCTGAGGTCTAGGCCATGTCAGAGACAAGAGATGAGAGCCATACCTAACCTTCTCATGATGCCCCCAGAATGCTAATTGCAAACAGAAGAAACTTTCTGTAAACTCTTCTTTGAACCCTGGGGTGTCAGTCTTTTCAAAGGGAATCTGTTCTGTTGTCCTGGATTATGTTTATGGATTAGCTGTATTATGTGGTAGTGATAGCAAATGCTTAGTGGAAAAAAAAATACCCAGAGAACACAGTAAACAACTTGGGGTTGAGCCCCAGCTGTGTGACCTTGGTAAAATCACTTAACCTCTCTGAACCTGTTTGATTTATAAAATGAAGAGATTGGTCTCTCTCTGAATATACTCTATAGTTCTTTCCAGTTTTGGCATGCTACATAGTCTATCTAAATTTGAGGTTTAGTCTATCCATGGATTTTTTCAAACATAATTAGAAGAGATTACCTTTCAGGCAAGAAAATCACCACCCGACTCCCACCACCCCGCCTTATTATTTTCTTAGATTTTCTCACAGTGCAACTGAACTATCGGTTAAGGAGGGAGAAGGAAGATGTGAACCTCTTGGAATTAACAACAACCCTATTGCCCAAAGATAGATGCTGCAGACTTCAGGTCCTTATATTCAAAAGGGGAACTTAAAAGAAGTTAGGCTCATTTAACAATTTGATGGCCTCATCCATACTTTACATGGTGGAAATTATAGACGATTCCAGTCAATTTACGTATTATTTAAGCTCTACTCTTAAAATGTAAAAATTTCCAAAAATCCATGTAGCAGTCATTTAATTAACATAGCAAATAGATCTGTTGTATAAAGATCTGAAGATCTTCCACGTAATGTGCTTCTATTCTGCCATAAGCCTCGAGTTTCCCTCTAAAAATTTCTGGCAGCTTCCCACATTTGGCTCACATGACCTCCAAGGATTAGGCAGGTAGCTTGGTTTCTCCTTTCCTCACAAATCTGACAGCCCTGGGGTTTCAAAATTCTCTGCCAAGCTCTGAACCGAAATCCCCAATAAGAATCACAGTATGACTTTGAAGCTCAGAAAGGCAGCTAAACAAAAGCTCTATAGCAAGAGATTTTGCTGGTTAATAGGAAAAGTAAATGCATTTAGAGTTTAATGCCTTACCCTTCAAAAAAAATATCCAGAGGCTAAAATTTCTCCCATGCATCCTAGGCCGAACTCCAGTTAAGGAGACATAACAACGTTTGGTGTCCTCAGAGAAACTTCACATGGCAAATGACCCTTCAACTCTGCACATCCCTTGGGCCCCTGAGAGGCCTCAGATGGTCCAGGAAGTGGAGGTGGAGAAGGAAGAGTGGGCCCCATTGAATAGGGCCTACACCCCTCAGTACTGAGGGTTTGGAGGCTCCTGAACACACAGGCCCAAGTCCTGCTTAGGGGATGGGACAGGAAGTCCTATGCAGTCCTATGAAGTCCTATGCCTTATGCGGTAGGTACTGTGTCCTTCCTTGTAACCTCTGTGATGGGTGCCTTCCTTTGTCAAGGACTAAGCCTTTGAGGACAGTCTCCAATCACTGGATCTGTGGCTTCCCTGTATCTCATCATCAAGTGGGAAGTATGTGTGGAGGCCCCTTGGGTCTGCTCAGGCGAAGAAACCATGGGCTGACATCTTGGTACTCACCTGGGACTTCTAAGTTTATTCATCCAAGCTCTTCATCACCTGTGGCCTTTGAGAACTCCTCCTTCAGTGGCCACCCCTCATGCAGACCTCTGGGTGTCAGGACAGGTTTGACCACCTGAAAAGGCCAAAAGATAGGCAGGGTTACTCTGCTGTCTCAGAAGGAGAATGGGAGTGATTGGCGGCTGGGTCATTTCACATGAAATCAAGCAGTGGGAAGACTGAAGGAAAGGAAAAGGGTAGGGGGCACATCTGGGCCAAGAGCTACCAAGGCATGGATGCTGATTCAAGAGCAGAGCTTTCCAGAGATGCCCACAAAGCCTTCTAGTTTGAGAAGTCCCCAGGACAGAGAAGATGGCCCTGGTCTGAGATCATAGCAAGCCTTCCAAGCACATCTGAATCAACCCATGCTTCTGTCTTTGCCTCCAACCTGAGACAGGCAAGGCAGAGGGACTGAAAGCAACCACAGGTCCGGGAAAGAGGATAGAAGAGACAAGAGGGCCGATAAAGGGAGGAAATCTGGCTCCAGACTCTAGGAGTGGGGAAGAGGCAGGAGAGCAGATCACCCAGGGTGTGGTCAGAGTGAGCCTGAGAAAGACGGCATGCAAAACTGCTTTGCCTGGCCCAGCCACCTGCCTCTCCCCACTGGGGGCAGGTGACTTTGAGGGGACTCTGTGGCCCCTGAAACCCTTCCCTAGCTCCACAGATAACCCCTGGTCTTGATTTTTAACATAGGCAAAGTTAAGCTAGTTGGCTGGGCCCAGGGGACAAAGTTTCCCCAGCTGCCTTCCGAACACTTCTCACACCCCCGGAAGGAGTAGCCTGGGGTGAGGAGGGTTCCTGAGGTGCTGCTCCCTCTCCTATAGGGCCTCCAGAGGTTGGCATCACATGCAAGTGCCTGGAAGTTTCCATCAGGCCCCTGGTTCAAAAGGCGAGGTAGCTTTATTAAGTGGGATGCGCATCGGCAGTTTGAGGGTACATAGAGGCACCCCCCCCCACTTTGCCCTCCTTCCTTAGCAAAAGCAAAATGGGTAGAGAGGGAGAGATCAGCTCCCACTGGGCTCAGACTGACATAACCGCCCTAAGGAGGGAAGGAAAGACACCAAAAGCCACAAAAAGCCACCTATTTTCACTTATTGTGAAGGGAAGGGGGAAGGGGTCTCTTCCTTTGATCCCACCCGGAATGAGAGACCCCTTTCCGCAAGCTCCCAGCCCCGATCAAAAGTGAGCAGCCTCAGCCCCAGGCGTGCAGCCGCCCCAAGCAGCAGCTGCAGCAGCAGGAGCTTCTCCAAGGCAGCAACAGTTGTCTGGCTGAGGCGAGGCGAGGCGAGGCGAGGAGAGGACTCGCTCCGGTGCCGCACGACGCCGGGTTCGGCCGTTGCTCCTTGGGCCCTGGAGCCCTAGTCCCACACTTAGCCTCGGAGGGAGAAGTGAGGGGGCTAGGGTCGCAATAACCCTGAGCCGCCTGCGCTGCGGTGGCTCAACCTCTTCTGTGCAAGTTCACTTCTCTTGGGCCACCTCTCTCCCAAATCTGGTGAAGGTTCAGGCTTTGGGAGAGAGGAGGGCTTTCTGGCTGGGAAGAGGAGGGGTATGTAAGAAGCAAAAGACAAAAGAGGAGCTGAAGGGACACAGGGTGAAGCTATTATTAATCTAACGTGGTTCTTATGCCTCTCCCTCCGCAAAGCTATCGCTCCACAGACGGCCCCAGGTGAGAGGCAGGGAGGAAAATCCCCGGAGCTTTTGCTTTTTGCTCCATCTCCTTTGCAGATCTTAGGAACCTTTTTACTCTTTTAGAAAACGTATTCAGGGAGGGAAAATTTCCTTTATCTGGGGAGGAAAGCTCTGATTTAGCCTTAGAGCTTGGAGTGCTCGCCTTCCGTGCCTTCTCACAGTCTTAGCCATAAAAGATTGACTCTGTCCAGCACCCTCGGACTCTGCAGCCCTTTCCTAATTCTGGAGAGGGTAGAGTCCGGGTGTTCAACCAGCGGACAGGTTAATGACGGTGGGCGTTTAGTTTGTTGGAAGAACGGTGGTTGTGATACGGGGGAAATTCAGGCCCTCCCCGAAAACGTGAAGGTTCGCAGCCCTCGGGTCTTGAACTCCGGTGTCTCTAGACCCATCTTCTACCCATTTCTGTCCCTGTGGGCACTCATGTGTGTATGTGTGTCCTTCTGGCCCAGTCCCTAAGGGCAAGGGCGTCTAGCAGTGTTCCTAGCAGGCGAAGGGCGCGGGGAGCGTGGTGAAGGCCTGATTTGTGCCACTTGTGACCGAAGTGGTCAGGACTGCAATGAGTGGAGGGGGAGGAGGGGGACTCACAGACTCTCCCCTCTCCTGCAGCTTTGCCCCCCTCCCCAGGACCGGCGCCTGGAGAGGCCGGGATGGGGCTGCTGCTGCTGCTGCTGCTTCTGTTCCTGCTAAGCGTCTGAGTCGGGCACAACCGCATCTCTCCAAAGCTCCTTCTCTGCGGGGGCTTCCCCAGTTCTCGCCTGTTTTACCCCCTTCCGTGCTACTTAGTTTTGAAAAAGAGGAGATGTGGGAGACCCGAGGCTGCAAAACGCCCCAAATTAGGTTGGAAGCAGGCGCGGGAGGAAGAGACTCCGGGGATCGGGCGGTGCCTGGGTGTTTTCCCTCTTTTTCGGATCTACCCAATTCACCGCGGCTCGCCTCACCTCCGGGTCCCCCGCACCAGGACATAAGATACTAAGGGCCTCCAGCCCCTCCCTCAAGGGCTTCCCCACCCCCATATTGCAGAATCGGATCATTACGGTCAAAAATGACCACAAAATGTCCTAAACTGATTCATATTCCAGGTTCTGACTTGGCCTTAAGCTCAGATCCTTTTCTTTGCATTGAGTGAATGGGGTTATTCGTGGTGTGGGCGGGGGTTGGGGGGAAGACACAACTTCTGTAAACTTTTATTGCATTTTAGCTTCTTCTCACTTCTCCGAAAACACACACACCCCACCTGCTCCAGTTCCCCCTGTGATACAAAGTCTGTTAAAAAGTTGGGGGCGGGGGACTCGCTCGGAGGGAAGACAGGTGACCAAAGCCTCGGGCACCGCGGAAAGGACGGGGGAAAGGGCCGAATCTTCCGTGGAAAACGGGGAAAGGGCCGGGTAAGGCTCGGATGGAGCAGCTTCGGGAAGGTGCGGGCTTCGGCGATCGCTGGATGGCTGCCGTCTTCTCGACGAGTGCGCCCTCCGCAAATGCTTTTTGGGGTAAGGGCTTCCGGCTATTGAGTTATGTACAGCAAGCCCAGACCGCAAAAAGATTCGCGAAGGGCAGAATATGCCGGCTTCTTCGGTTCGCCGCCGCCTTCAGCCCAGGATGTCTCCGAACCCTGGAGCCGAACAGGCTGGGTCTCCCCAGCGCGTTCCATCGCGGCTCAGTCTCACCACTCCGCGCGCTGCCCGCCCCTCCGCGCCCCTGGACTCGTGTCTCCATTTCTCCAGACCGTCCGCGATCCCCCAACTCAGCCCCGAGAGAAGTGTGTGGAGGGCGAGAAGGGGACCGCAGAGGGGCACCCGGATCCCGGAGCCCAGCCTCCACCCCTTTCCTGTCGCCCCAGCACCCGGAGCCTCCCCGCCTGCCTGTCCTATCCCTCTATCTCCCTATCAGAGTTCCGCCAGCCCCGGCTGCAAGGTCGCGGATCTCTGAACAGGTACAGTTCGGATTCCCCCCGAATCCCCTCTTATCCCTCAGAGTCCCCCAGCCAAGGTTCCAGCCGTGACTACAGGCGCTGCGTAAAGAGAAAAACTCCCCCAGAGCACTAAATAAATACAGACGAGGCCGCCAGCTCATTGGTGCGGACTAAAATCGTCACCCACCAATCAGAAGAGAGCTCACATTTCCCCCTTTTTTTTCAGAAGGGGGAGGGAGAAAAAAATATTTCCATTTCTAATTATTCAACAAAACCTAGACTGGAACATGTTAAAATATTGTTGTTGCCAAAAAAAGCGGTTCAGGACCCCCTCCTCATTCCAGCCCAAGTGAGGGGGTAGCGCGATGTATTGGGAAAGAGAGGTTTAAGAGAGCGACCTCTCCCAACGGGACCCAAGCCAGAAGATCCAGACGAAAAATGACAAAGATGAACATAAAATAAACCCAAACTCCACACTAGTCATCCTATTTCTAGAAAATTGAGAATGTCTCAACACCCCCTTTCCCACCCAAAGTTCTGAATGCTCAACTAGGTGAAGCTCCTCCCTCCGCATCCTCCCCGAAACCGTCTCAGTATTGGGTGTTTAATGGCCCATTCGCCTCAGGTGCACTTTCAACTCTGCAGCCCACCCCCCCGCCCCCAACTCTCTACCCATTCTGCAGAATGCTAGGGGGAACAACAAGGGGCGAACCCGTCATTGACTGCCTGACCCCACAACGACGGGAGATTCCACCTTCTGCGGGAGGAAGAAAGGAGGGGAGGGAAGACTAGAGATGGGGAGAAAGGAGATCTCCTTCCCTCACTCTCCCTCCCTCCCTCTTCCTCCCTCCCTCTTCCTCCATCCCGCTCGGCCCCCTCCTCCATCCCATCCATCCAAACTTTGAGGGGTTGCCCTTCTTCGCAGTGCAGCGCCACCCTTCCCACATCCTCTCCTGCCCCTCCCCCCCCCCATTAGTACCTAAGCAGGGTGTGGGCTAAGGGACGTCCTGACTATCTCCCTCCCTAGCAGTATAGTCCCCCAGTGGGGGAAACCTCACCCAGGATGGGTTACTGCAAACATTGCAAGAACTTGGGGGGAAAGTTGCCATATTTGTTCTTTGGCACCCTGGAATCGACGTGCGGGCGGGCGCGCGCGCGCGCACACACACTCCCACCCTCGCCCAGCACGCCCGGAGAAAACGTCTCTCGACGGTGGAGGCACTGTCTTCAAGTCCCTGTCGACCCACCCCCTTCGCCCATCCATCACCCTCCTGCAGCTCCGCGACCCACTCACCCTCCCACGGCATCCCCTCGGCTCCGGGACTGACAGACGCAAGCACACACCCTCCGAGCGTCTGCGCGCCCGCCGCGCCAGAGGGGCTCCGCGGTCTGCGCCCGCCGCCGCCGCGGCGCGGGGCAACTGGGAAAAAAAAGTTCTGCTCAGACTACCCGTGAGCCGACCGACTACCAGTGAGCCGACCGACCACCAGCCGACCCGGGCGCCGACTCCCTGCTCCTTACCTCGGTCTGGGGGCCACGGGAGCGCGCCGGTCCCGTCCGCACTGCAGCCAGCTGGAAGCAGCCCCTCTCCTGCCGGCCCGCTCCCTCCGGCCCCTCCCCGCCCCCCACGGGTGTTTGCCCGGCGGCAAAGCGGGTTCTTCCAGGTAAGTATATAAGTTACTGTACTGTGTGGGAGGGTCACGATCTTGGTAATTGCGGCTTTCCGAGCTTAACCCCTGCGTTCCTGCCTTCCTCCAACTTGTTGAAGACTCGTCGCTTAGCGGGAGAGCGAGCAGGCGCGCCACTGCGAGCGCCGGCCGGGAGGGGGAGCGAGGTGCGCGGGGCAGAGAGGGGACAGCGAGACAGCAAGCGACGGAGTTCAAATGCCCCCCTGGCAGCGGTTTTCATTGGATAGGTCTTCCCCCCCACCCCCGTCCCCACTGATTTGGTGCCCCCCCGCCCCCCATCTCCCATGTAGGGGACGTCTCCAGGCGAAGTCACGATTCCTTCTCAGTTCGGAATGAACTGTGACTAGAGCCATGACGCAGCCAGCGCGCATTACTCACTTTTTGCAGTCACGACTTGGGAATCCGTGCTGGTTCCAACCAAAATTACACCGCTACCATTGAATTATTTAATAGGATCCAGTTCGGGGGGTAAACTTGTGCATTGTGCCAAGCAATGAGAAGGGGTGGGGAAGAATGGGGAGGTGGAAATGAGGCCATGGGGTGTCCCTCCGCCCCCTTCTTGACTCTTGGACACCTCCCCCCAACCACCGCTCCACGTGTTGCAAGTGCTTTATTGGCGCTACCACCACTCCCGCCCCGACCGCTCCCCCCACCCCTATTTCCTTTGCAATTGTGGCAGAATTTGTAAACACAACCACGCAACTTGCAGGGCTGAGAGGGGCGAGGCTTGGGAAAGGGAACCAGTAGGTCCCAGTGAATGACGAGGAGGCCGCGGGGTGGGCCGAGAGGCTGTGAGCAGCTTTGGTTTGAACTGAATTGTCAAGACAAAGTGTGGGTTGCAGCGTTATTTGTGTTATTCTGCACATCGGTAAAAGCCCTTGTTACTATTATGAGTTGAATATTCAGTCTCAGTCAGGGAACCTTCCGAGAGAGGGACGGCTTCTGAGCTAAACATAACTCACCCACCCTCTCATCCCCCGGCCCGGGCTGCACCCCTGTTACCCTGTATCGGGGTCAGGTCACTAAAGCCAGAGGCTGTTGACAGAAGGGAAGGGGTGAATGAAGCAGAGAGACCTGGTCTCTTCTCTGTCCTGAAGGCTAGCCCCACTAATACTTACCTCACCGTCCCGAGTTTATATTTTTTAATAAACATATAAAATATTCCTGCACGTACACAAATCTTACTGCAGACCTGCAAGAGTGCTTCATTTCTCCCACAGTCTACAGCCCATCCTCACGGGCCAGCTTGAGGATGTACTTTTATTCTCCCTCTCCTGGAGTTAATCAGCATGAATGTCTTTGTGTGCGCGTGATACTCATTCCCCCTCTGCCTCTGATAATCTTCCTCCCTCCTCACCTGTCTGGCCACAGATTCGGCCAAAGTGTCTGGAGCTGACTGCACTGAATCTCAGTCTGGGTCCAGCCCACAACCCCAGAGAGCTGATGGTATTCCCAATAACATTTGGCAACTTAGAGAACACCTCCTCCCCAATTTCCCTTCAGGCTGATTTAGACTCCTTTAGCTTTTGGCTTTAAGGCGCCCCGCGATGTTCCCTAGCTTGGATTCTCTGCGCATCGCACCAGCAACTCCTGTGCTTTGGCTTCTAATTCACTAATTCCACCAACTCACTTGGGGCTTCTATGACTAGCATGCGAAAAGGGGGGAATAATAAGAAAAATGCCACACCACACTACTTTACACACCTCCCGGGAATTACAGAATACGGGGGTATGGGGGGCATGAAGTGGGAGGGGACGAGGGTCCGAATAAAACAACCTATAGGCTCTTATTTTGAGTCACCATCACCGAGGAGAAATCTTTCAAACCCACTGGCGGGAAGGTGCGGGATCCTGGGAATGGAGACCCGGATAGTGCCTGGCCTCTGCAGGGAAAGCCGGTGAGCCACTGGCCTTCCATTCCTGAAACGCCGGGCCTTGGCTCATCCTCGAATCTAACACTTCGCTCCCCCTCCTTTAAATCTTTTTTCCTTTCCTTCCCACTCACCCCTCCTTCCCCCCAAAGCTCTCACCGAAGTCACGACTATCCCTTTGAACATCCTTAACCCTCTCGTCCCCGTATCCCTCTCCTGCATCCAGGGCGGGGCTAACCGCAGCTGGCGCCAACCCCGCCCCCTGGCGCACGGAACTGAACTCACTGAGGACCAAGGCATTTTCAGCACCTATCTTCCGTGGACAGCAACCGAGTCTTGGGCCAGCCCGAACCAGGGTCGCCGTCCTTAGTTCCCGGACCGGAACCAAAAGGGAGGTTTGTCAAAGGAGTAGAGATTTTTCCCTCTCTTTACCCAACCCCATCCATGCAATTTTGATCTATATTGCACAGTCTCCATTAATCTCTCAGAGATATGGCCCATTAAATCGTGTCTGGCCATCCTTTAAGACAGAGAAAATGGGGAGGGGAGGGGGCCATCGAGAAAACCGAGCTCAACAGCGCCGACCCATAACGCGAGAGAGAGTTGCAGCAGCTATTGATTCAGAGATTCGTCAGGGTGATTCCCGGCTCTGCAAGAATTCCCTCTCTCGGTTTCTTTGCATGCAGCCCCAAATTCATTATACACATACACACGCACACAGCTACACCCCTTACCCCCTAGTCAGTCCCACTATCCTCTTTAGAAGGGGCAAAAAAGGCAGCCAAAAAAGAACCCCGGAGCATGCACAAAGTAAGCGTCAGCTCATACTCACAGTCTGCGGCATGCACATGACATAATATTACTTACCCAAACGGGAACTCCTTAAGAGAGAGAAAGAGAAACATAGGGGGAGGAAAGAGAAAGTGGATGGAAAGAGGAGAGAGGAGAGGAAAAATCCAACAATTAATTTCCAGACATAGTTGTGGGGGGAGGAATGCGGTGATGTCCAGGTTTTCTTCCACCCGCGCTGGCTTTTTATCCCAGTACAGCCCTCGGTTTATTTCTGGAACACGATCAAACCCTGATGCTATTTTTAGCAAGTACTGAAAAAACCTCCACACACAAAGGCATTTCGCTGGAACCTTACTTCCAAAACATTAAATGTGCATTAAACGCCCCCTCCTCACTTTTTTTTCCTGCACCACCAGACTCACTTGCATAACTGCAGAAAATGTTTTTCAAATCAGAAAAATACCCAAATATTTCTTATATTCTCCCTCCCTCCCGTTAACTCCCATCTGTCTCTGCCTGTTGCAAGCTCCTCGCAGTCTCCCCGAGCAGAAGGCGTTGGAGTGGTTGTATTCTTAGAGCTGCATGTCTCCATTGATCAGATTCCCTACATGCTGAGGAAAGTAGGGGGTGGGGGGGCATAGCCCCTTCCCCAGAGGAGCTTCCCAGGAGAGCTCTAGAAGCGATTGCTATCCACGATGGAGATTCCCAGATGAGGAAAAAAAAAATCATCCATACCCTTCCCACGTTTCCCACCCACGCTCTGCAAAATCGCGTTGTGTTTGCAACACACCGCCTTTGGAAATGTATATTTTGAAAGCTGCATATGTGTGTCTGTGTGTGTGTTTTGCGTTCTAGTAATTCACTACGAGGGGGCTGGAGAAAATAGACTCATGAAGGCAGCGCGGAGCAGCCGCCTTGAGTCTCCTTTGCCAGCCTGCGTCAGTCATCAGCTACTGACGTCACGTGCAGATTCTCCTCTTTGGTGGGTCTGGTTCAGCTGAGAAGACGCTTCTGCTCGGAGACAGCGCTTTGTGTTCCACGCAGCCACTGAGCAGGCGAGGCGGCCGAGGCGGGCGCCACCCCAGGCTTGGGCTGGGCAGCTGCAGAGCAGGCTGCAGCCTAGTCTGCACCGGGCAAGCGGGGCCCCGAGGGGCGTGCCCAGCAGGACAGCCCCCTCCCCAAACTCTCCCAAGACGCCCAATGCAAACTCGGCCGTGCACACGCTCCCGCGCGCGTCCTTTCCCCGCCCTTTCTCATCTGGTCACTGTAGCATAGACAGCTATGGCTGTAACTCGGATTAATTCTGTGTGTTTGTCGGGCAGATAGCCCCGGCTCCTCGAGTGACGCAAATAACAGATTCTAAGGCTCCCGCTCTCTCCCTCCTGCTCTCTTTTTCTCCCTCCTTTTCCCTCTTCTGTTTCCTGCGCCCACGCATCCTGCCTGGTCTCCCACGGAATCAGCCAGTTATACAGCTTCCCAGAGAGCAATGATCCGAGTTACAGAGAGACGGACAGACTCCCAGAGCAGAAACAAATAAGCCTGCAATTAAATACACACATGCACACAACCCTTTGCAAATGGCCAGCAGCCATTTAGGGGCTCCCCTGTGTGGGGGAAAGGGGAGCTGATTCACAAATCCACCGCCCTCGAAGGCGTCAGTTCTGGCGGTGGGGAGCGCCCAGAGGGGAGTGTCCGGCTTGCTACTGCGGCTTTCCCCTCTGCTCTCCACCCGAAGAGGAAACTCACCTCTATAAATACCCAGATAGCAGGGTATTCTGGAATAAATAACTTTTGTTGAATGGTAGGAGGAGGAGAAAATTCAACAAAGACTGCAAATGCTTAGTCTCCAGCGACATTATCAGGACTTTTTAAGGCGAGGTGACGTTTACCCTTTCTCCCTCTCAAAGACCAGGATATCTTTTTTCTGCTTAAAATAATGTCCCTGAAAAATGAGCTCAATGGATTAGTGCTATTTTTAAACCAATCTGAATGGAGCTTGCTTCCTAAGGGTGAGGAAGGGTGTGCATGTGTGTGTGGATGTGTGTGTCTCAGGGTGTGTGGGGTGTGTCTGAATCTGAGGTTTTCAGCAGAAGAAATGCCACACCTCAGCATGACAAAGGGTTTCTTGATTGATGAGTGATGGAGGTGGGGAGAATTCTTGCAGATTGGAAGATCTGAACAAAACCACATGCACACAAATCACCCTCCTTAAATGCACACATATCCTAGATCCACTTGGATAACTTCTGCCCTGAGAGGGGGAAAACCAGAAAGCAGAGAGCTATTTACAATCATGGCTGGAGGAATGGCTGATCTTCTTTCTTAACCCTAATTATCGACCTTCCCTGCAATGGTTTCCTTTGATGCCAGTAAACACTTTTCCAGAGGTTATCACTTGGATTTGGGGCACAAGGCCTGGGAGAGAATGATCATGGGCCTCAGCTGTGTCATCTCCCTTTTCAGGATCTCCTACTCTTTGTAACTTGCCTGAGAGATTTGGGGTTAAGCTTAGCCCATCCACTACCCTCAATTCCTGTCTGTGGCTTTAGCTGTGCCTACTAAAGGGAGACAGAGGACGTCTGCTGTGTATGGAGGACACCCTCTGGCAGCCCATCAGCAGCTGTTTATTTTTAGCTCACGATTGCATACATGCATGCATGTGAGAATGTTGCTGCAGTTGGGAGGTGTGCAGTCAGGAGAAATATCAATGAGAGGGAGGCGGCCCTGGTTCTTGCACTGAAGATGACTTATCACATGGGGTCATCAAATGTGGCCAGATGGACAGGAGACGCCGGCAGTGTTTCAATAAAGTCTCCTTGGATTAATGAAAATGTCAGGCTAAACATGTTTTTAAAGGCACAGAGTAGGTATGTTTTTAGATATGAAATTAGGTATGTGTAAGCATAAATTCATGTGTGTGGGCACATTCACAGAAGCCACATGGTTTCTGTTTGGACTATTGAAACTATACAGAGCAGGGCACTTTAGAATGTAACTGCTTTCTATGCTGTATATAGTGGCTGAGTGTTATTGTGTCTGATGTTGAGATCAAGACAGATTCATTTAAAATCACTTAACAACTTTTAAGCAAACCCAGAATCTAGTCCTAACAAGTAAGGTAGCGTTGGAAATGGAAGAAATGCACATCAGAACTTTAAGGGCAGCAGCCAAAATTATGCTGGTGTAACGCCGGCTTCCTGGTGGATTCAATGTCTTTGCTCCTCCCTCCCAGAAGAGGGCGCCTCTCTGCCTTGTTTCTGTCTTGCTCCAGTAATCAAGACAGAGAGGGGCTTGGAAGCTCCGCAGAAACATCTGCAGAAAGTTAGACCTCCATAGCTAGCATCTCCATTTCCCCTACTCCTCAGTCAGGTCCTTTGGAGGATGTCTGGGCTGGAGCTGGTGAAATTGGCTTCCCGAGCTGTCTCATCATCCTGTACTAAGGGCTGTGGTGCCCAATTCCTGTCTGAGCAGTCAAGCTAAAGACCCTGCAAATGAATAGACTGATGTGGAACCTGTCCAAGGTGAAAACCGCCTTCTGCATTGCCAGCTCATTCCAGAGCATCCCAAGCATGAGGAGGACTCGTTCCCCCAATGCTCCCCCAGAGGGCTTGTGGGAGTAGGCTGCTTATCACGAAGCCCTTGAAAAGAACTGAGTCTCCTCTCTTTCAGGGTGAGCGAAGCCCAGAAACTCCTGCCTGCGTCGACTGTCTCCTCCCCAAGCACCACGAAAAATGCCAGTAGGTAATGTACTGGATTTGGAGAAGGAAAAACAGTCCAGCTCCCATGATATCAACCAAGGGAAGTCCCTCAGGGAGGAAGTCTAGGAAAAGGATTCCTCTTTTCCTAAAGGTGTCTTCATCAGGGAGCAGAACTATTTTGGCCTAAGGAAAAGAGGGAGAGAGAAGAAACCAATAGTTTTTCAGCTTCAACTATATGCCAGACACTGTGCCGGACACTTTTACATAAGAAGCTTTATTTAATCCTTAAGGCAATTCTCTAGGTGTCATTATGATAATGGTACCTACCCCTTAGGCTTGTTGAGCATAGAAATCACTCCCAAAACAGTTATTATTTTTCCCATTTGAAAGCTAGGGAAATGGAGACCATAACGTTTAAACAGCTTGTCTAAAAGTCTTAGAACTTGAAGTTACAAAACTAAGGATCAGATCAAATTCATATCTGTATGGCTCCAATACTCATGCCACATCACTCCATCATGTTGCCTCGATTCCAACCTCTGATCTTTAATATTCCAGGTCTATCCCCCAACATGTGGAGTTGGAGGTGTCTGGGACTTTCTCAGACATTTTCTGAATAACGAGACTGATCTATTCCTCCTAAGAAGCCTGTTAGCGAATAGATGCCCCCTGAATAAGGCTCTCTGCCTGTGAGAAGAGACCCCTCCATCCTATTTCAAGGAAAGCCCTAGCTGGTTTAGCCTCATCCAAAACTCAAGGGATTTGCCTGAAACCAACCAGTTTGTGGTGGAGATGCAGTGAACTTGACATTCATTCAGGCTGCTGCATCCAAGCATGCTTCCACTCACACCGAGGATGCCCCTGAGATGGTCCAGGGAAGAATTAGGAACTCCCTGGTCCAGTCTTCCAAGAAACCTTTCCTAAAGTAAGAACAGCAGAAAGTCTACATGCACCTTGAGTTAGCTAGTCATCCTAGTCCTCCGTCGCTCCTTCAGAAACTAGCATCTCTGATTATTTTTCTGATTCTGAAAACTTTATAGGCTGAGCCATTAGCACGGTGGGGGTAGATAGGCCACAGCATGCATAATTCAGGCTATTTCAAGATCCCCTCCCCTTGTTAAATACACATTTTCATCACTTACCCTGATCAAGAAGTATATTCGGTCTTGGAAAGCACTTCTTAGAAGCCAGCATATTTGGAGATTTGAGGGTGAAAGTTTTAAGGACCACTGGATGCTGGAGGAAAGTGACTGTAATTCCACCCCTTCCCCCTTTTTTTTTGGTTGCCATCAACAACTCAAAATAGTCTCAACAGTCTATTCACCTGAAAGTAACATTGTTCAACTTCAGAACAGTTGAGACAATATCTGCTTTTCGCACAACCCCATTATCGATGGGCAAACTCAAATGCCCTCCTCTCAGCCATTCTAACTGCTGGACACCTTGGAGAACCAGATGATAGGTTTTCCCATGCCTTGCTGATAAAAGGCACATTGGAGAGAATGAGAACCTAGAGAGTCACTCAGGAATACCTAGAGTTGGTTTCATGGTGAGGATCTCAGCAAAGACAGGGGAGCTAAAGCAAGCACATGATAGGGGGCTGAGGCTGGGGCAGGGATCAGGATTCCAGCACACTTGAGCTTAGCAGAGGCTAAATAGAAAGGTGTCAGGGGTTGGGAAGCATGGCCACAGAGAGAAAAGAACAATCTGCAGCATGTTTAGAGATACCTGCATAAGTTTAGCCTTAACCTTGTGGTTGAAGGACAGTTGTTTATCTACCTGAATTCAGCAGGCAGAGAGATAGCTCAATCACAAATTCATGGGTGTTGGGTAGGTCTGAATTAGCAGAACTTTTTATTCATTCACTATTAAAGCAGCCTTGCAATTAGCTGCTGATCTACTAAGCTTGGATCACTATATCTGGTAGGCCAAGAGTAAAGAATGGGGATTGTATTTCTTTAATTCCTAGTCTAATAAGTATAGGCTGGGGGACATAGAGGAATAATGGACTAACATATCTGCTGGATAGGCAAGATTTTTTGTACTTATTGGAGAGGCTATTAGTTAAATAATGAATTGGATCTGAATCTTGTCATGAGAAGAGAGACTTCAGTTCACATTTGAAAACCTGGTATCTTCCATCAGTGCTAGCTTACCTATAAAAGTAGAAAGAAAAGGGGAGGGGAGAAAATACACTTTCTAGGTATGGTGGGTTTTCAGAGAGCTACACTTTTTGTAGTAGTGATTGTCTTTGAGAAAGAGACAACAAATTCTGGTTTGGTCAATCCTCAGGATCTGTTTTGGTTTTATAGAGGTCTAAATTAACATTGTGAGGCTGGACTAACATCTATGTCTGGGCTAGGATCCCTGAAGAGCATTTGGGTAAAGAGGGACCAATAGAGGACAAATTTTAGGGCCTAACAGGGTGGATCTGACTCATCAGCACAGGGTTTATCAAAGCACTACAAACCACCCTAGACAGTGCGGGCAAATGCCACTTACCTCACCATCCAGGAACCTGTGGCTCAGGACCCATGAAGAAAAGCCTTGGGTCTCAAATGAAAATGCCCAGTATGAAGCCATTGCAATGTGGTTGAATGAAATGCAAATTTAATTGGAGAAAAAAATCTAGATGATTTCATCCTGTATTCAGGGACAATCCACTTCTGAGGATCTTTCTCTTTCTCCTCCCTAGCCCCCCTATATTCTAAATCTTAGTCCAGTCTTGAGTAAGCTGTTTCACTATATCTGACTGGGAGCAAGGTATTTCTAGTCTTTCCATGTGGTTTCAATTACATCACACTCAGATACACCCTGGGTCCCTTCATTGAGTGTGACTACTCTGGAAAAGTGTCTTGTAACTTCATTTTAGCAGAAAGTAGGATTTGCTATGGTTTTCCTGACAGGAGGCTGAGTGATGGACTGAATCTAGCATGAGGGAGGAATAGGAGAAAGAGAAATTAATGTTAACCCTCTGGACATAATTTGCCAAACAGAGACCAAAGCCACTGCCCATTAGAGGGCACTTTAGAGAAGGAGCTGAGTTGGTGGTGGATGGAGGAATGATGGTGGTCAATGAGGGGTTATTATGGCAAATGTTAATAGGAAGATGAACATGAACAGCAACATTGCAGAAAGCACGAGGTAAAGGATGAGGTGTGTCCTGGGTGTTTGAGGACTGCTTTGAAAACTCATCTGGTCTCCTCTTGGTCATTGACGCTCCTACAACAAGCAAGAGGAAAGGGACATGGTGTCAGCAATCCACATTCCATCACTCACAATTCCCTGGGAGTGTTCATTTCCAGGCTCTCCCCTCCCCTCCTTCGATGGGACCATTTTGGCTTTACTGGGGATGGGGGCAACATGGGGGCAGATGCTCAAAGCTACAGCTGGGCAAGGGGATGATCAGTCTTACCAGCAGGTGGCCAAATATGAATATACTCCAAATTGGCCTATCTGAACAGACTATTCATCAAGAAGTCACTTTTCTGGCAAAGTGGAGTTTGTGGTATTAGGAGGTCAAACCAGAAAGTGCTGCTTCCACCCATAGCTGAGGGCCAGGAGGTTACATTATGGATAAATCTTTTTAACCTAGCTGCTCTGTTTAGGACAATGACAACCAATTGCTCAGGAGACACTGCAGAAAGTCTGCCCTTGTTATTTCTGTGTTGTTATCAGCAAGTGCCATTCTGATACCATTATGACATCACTCTGTTTTTAGGGGAAGGGGCAACTAGTGGAAGGTCTCAAGTCAGGAGTGGGGAGCTGAGTGATGTCTGCTGTAGCCACTGTCCCACTGTGTAGATTTAGAGACACACTGGCAGTGAAATTGGAGACCCGAACCCCAGCCAAAGCAGGAATGGGACTCCTATTACTTACCCATATCTCAACTCCCCAGTAAGAACCAATGTGAAAATGCTTTGATTCTCCTGGGTGAGGTGAAATATTTATGGCTTCATGAGCTACAGGAGAACTGAAATAATATTTGGGATTCTCTCAGGGACCTAGATATCTCTAAAATGTGGACTGGTGAGAGACCAACAGTAATAAGATGAGTGGCTTATGTCATTCCCAATTCCCAAATGACTCAATATCAAGGAAGCTCAATTATGAACTAGCCCAAAACAGAGAGACTCAGGAAAGGATCTGGATGTAAAACAAGAAGGTAGCTTCACAGTCTTTATTTTATGTAATTAAAAAACCCATGCTAGACTCTGAGTTCCAACCAACACCAACCAAAAAGTCAGAACTTAAGCTGAGAGTGACAGTTCTGGTCTTGATTCTGCCATTTGCCCCTAAACAAAACCTGGAAACAGGCACTCAGTATCTTAAGTTCCCAACCTATAAAATGTGTGGGCACTATCTGCCCTACCTATCTCATGGAATTTTATTTTAAAAGTAGGCGTGAACATGTTCCACAAATTTTAAAAGGCCTCACTTCTGTCATGGAAACTCTTCTTAGTCACTGTGGTAGTTCCCTGCTTTCTTCAACTTGGGCATCACAGTGAGAGTGCAGATTGGACAAAGCCTTGCCATGTAATTAATTGCCTCGAGGGCTGAATTAAAAAAAAAACAAACAAACAGGAGGCTGGGTGCAGTGGCTCACGCCTGTAATCCTAGCACTTTGGGAGGCTGAGGCGGGTGGATCACTTGAGGTCAGAAGATCAAGACCAGCCTGGCCAACATGGTGAAACCCTTTCTCTACTAAAAATACAGAAAAAATTAACGAGGTGTGATGGTGCATGCCTGTAATTCTAGCTACTCGGGAGGCTGAGGTGGGAAGATTGCTTGAAACCAGGAGGTGGAGGTTGCAGTGAGCCAAGATCACACCACTGCACACTCCGTCCCGGGCAACAGAGTGAGAGTTCGTCTTAAATAAATAAATAAATAAATAAAATTAAAAGAATAAAAAAACAAACAGGGCTGAGATTCTATAGGACCTAGGAAGTTTATGGCGCAATCTCAGAGCCTCTTTATATTAGGTGATGAGATCAAGTGCCACTTCCAACCTCACATTGTCCGTTGACTCTTGCTTCTCTTGAGTTGTCACTCAGGAGAATCATAAGAATTATGAGGGTCACTAAGGGGGTCTATTAGTCTATGGTGATGCCAGGAACTTATTTAATCCCTTCAGGTCTCAGCTGCCTCATTTGTAAAATGCTGGTTTATGGTGAGTATTAAATGAAATAATGCACACAAAATGCTTAGCACTATCTTGGCACCCCCAAAACATTAGATGAAATTGTAAAAGAGGCAGAAGAAACCAGTATCTGCAGTTTCATCTTCCTTGGCACCTCAGGACACCTTTTCTCCTTGCTTCAAGGTGCCAGGATGCTCGGATGCTTTAACTTGATACCCACAAGGCAGGGCGGAATAACTGCGATGGATTTCTATCAAAGAGCCAGTAGAGGGAGCTCCAGAGTAAAACTGTTCTCTCTTGCACATTTCCTTCATTTCTCTATAGAACAAATCTCTGCCCAGAGGCCACAGGCTTTTTCTCCACTAGAAATATTTTACTTAGAGAAAACTGGAGACCTCAGCACAGGACCTGGACCCGGTTCTGCTTTCAGGTAATCCAGGTGTTTTTGAACTTTAGAGACATCTTGAGTCCCATGCCGAGGTTCAACTCTTGGGCTCCATTTGCAAGTTGGGCTAGAATGGATGGTTCTTATGGGGCTGGTCCCAGGAGATCGGAGGCTGAGGCTGGAGCTTAAAATTTTTCTGGCCCTTGGATTTTGAATGTGTTCTAGCTTTCCAGTCATTCTCTTCCCACAAATATCTAGAGTGACAGCCATTAAAGGACCTTATTATAAACTTTTTATAGAAGAGTCATGGAGCCCGGATAACCTTCCTCTCCCAAAAAAGATTTGCATCAGGATGGTTGTATATCCCACTTAACAGCAACAGGATGAGGGAAATTGTTCTTGCCTGCTCTCAGGAGCCTTTAAAAACACATTCTCTGATAAACTAAGTGATGGACACGGAATCCTTCTCACACAAAAGACCTAATATGACTGTTATAAAGGGAGCAAGACAGAGTCTACTGAAGCTCTGAACCAAGTTTTTCTGCAGTCCTTTCCCTGCTGAAATTCCTCAGGTTAACTAGTCGGCTAACCTATCGGGGCACAGATCTTATTATTATTATTTTTAAATGTTCTGGGGGCTGGGCGTGGTGGCTCACGCCTGCAATCCCAGCACTTTGGGAGGCCAAGGCAGGTGGATCATGAGGTCAGGAGTTCGAGACCAGCCTGGCCAATATGGTGAAACCCCGTCTCTAATAAAAATACAAAAATTAGCCGGGCGTGGCGGTGTGCGCCTGTAGTCACAGCTACTTGGGAGGCTGAGGTAGGAGAATTGCTTGAACCCGGGAGGAGGAGGTTGCAGTGAGCCAAGATTGCGCCACTGCACTCCAGCCTGGGTGACAGAGCAAGAATCCATCTAAAAAAAAAAAAAAGTTCTGGGTCACAGTTAATCAGTGCAATAGTAGGAGCCCCAAGAGATGACGGGAAATCTTCCTGGTCTTTCTTACAATTAACAATTGCTCACTGCCTGATTTTGATTAGCAGTGGCCTGGCTTCTTGTTAGGTACCCAAGAGGCTCTGTGTTCACCTACTTACAGGATGATACACAGTTCAGAAGGAACCCAGAATAAGACAAAGACTTGCCATTCAGGAAGGTTAAAAATATTTGATGAGAGCTCCTCACCCCTTTTCTGCTGGCAAGATATCAAGAGTAACAATAGCTAATATTTAATGAGCCCCATATTTATTAACCTCAGGTACTGTGCAAAGAGGTATGTATACATCATCCCACTCAATGCTAATGACAACTCAATGAAACAGTCCCTATTACAATTTCTACATTCAAGTTGAAAAACTGAGGCTTAGAGAGGTTAAATAATTTGTCCAAAGTCAAACATAGCTGTTAAGTGTAGAAACTGGTATTCGGAAATACAGAGCATCCCCTCTTTGGGCCCTGGCTGGGTTCTCCAGAACAGACAGAAGTGGAGTTCCATCCAACATTGAGAGAAGTTTCAAAGGGTCAGGGGAAACTGAGCAGTGGGGCACACCTTGTTAAGTCCCAATCAGGACCGATGGAAGAAGCATCTGGTGTTCCTTCTCATTCATTGTCTCATTTCCACAGGGCAAGTGCAAACTGTCTGAGGAGGAAAAAATTACTTCTAGGATGAAGCATTTTACCTCTTTTTCATTTTCTAAGATGATCTCTCAGATACCTTGCGAAGCCACGCAGAACAAAAGGGAGTCATTACATATTTGGAAAATGCATTGGACCTCATGATTTGGGAATGAGCTATAAGACTGACAGCTGGGACAGCTAATTTAAGAGTAGAATTCTTTAGGTCCTGTACCTTAAAGGAAAAGACAGTTTTCAGGAGCTGCCATTAAGAATAATCTGAGGGTAAGTAATGGATTTTTCTCAGTAGCTATAAGCCATAACTCCATCTACCCTTATTGTAACTATGCTAGGCTCTGTTCACCTACCTCTGGTTAAGGGTCAGTGTTGACTCACTGGGGTTTGGACCAGCTAGGGGAGGCAGAGGCTGTATAGCTCACATCACAGGATGCACCTCTCCTTAATTATAGATGACAAAGACCCTGCCTTCAATCCTCTAATTAGCTTGGCTGCTCCTATTCATCCTCCACTTCCTGAGGTCAGTGGAGGGAAGCTGTCCAGTGAGAAGGTGGACTTCTGATTACATGGAGGAGAAAACGTGAAGGCGCCACTTCCTCGAAGGGCCTGAGGACCACTGACTATAAGAAGAAAGACTCGCTGGGCATGGTGGCTCACGCCTGTAATCCCAGCACTTTGGGAGGCCAACGCAGGTGGATCACTTGAGGTCAGGAGTTCAAGACCAACCTGGCCAACATGGTGAAACCCCATCTCTACTAAAAATATAAAAACTAGCCAGGCTTGGTGGTGGGCACCTGTAATCCCAGCTACTTGGGAGGCTGAGGCAGGAGAATTGCTTGAACCCAGGAGACGGAGGTTGCAGCCAGCCGACACAGTGCCACTGTACTCCAGCCTTGGTGACAGAGTGAGAATCTGTCTCAAAAAAAAAAAAAAAAAAAGAAGAAGAAAGACTCAACCCGTTCTGCCTGTCCTCTAATCCTCATCCCTCATCTCTATCATCTCTAGAGCTATTACCAAATGTTTTCATTAATGGAATAACTTGCTGCTCTGGGCCACCAGTATTAGCAAATATATGGGTTCCAATTGGTTTAAAATAGTATATTAAATTACAAGTCAAAACAACTTTGATCTGGATTGTAACTCAAGAGAATTGTTAATGTTTTGAAAAGATCTGGGGCCCATGCATATGAAAGGTTCATTCTGGTTAGGGATTTGTGGTCCAATTTGCTTCCAAGCCCTGGTAGGAATGCATCAACCCCTCAGCAGTGACCAGCCTTCATCATGCTGCAACTTACACGATATAAGTGATTAAGCTTTAAAAAATCTGAGAGCTTATAAACTAGCAAGTTAATGTAGAGTAGGAAAAACCCTCTAGCTTTGGGGAAGTGGCTAAAGTAGGAGTTTTCAGGGAATGAAGTGGCTATTTTGATCTTCCCTTGTCCCTTATATCATTTCCCAAATCTATGCAAATATAGAGAAGTATGTAGAAGCAAATAACCTTTGTAGTGAATTGGAATCCTCAATCCTGCCCCAGACCTGAGGCTAGGATGAGGCTACTCCCTGCAGAGCAGGTCTTCTCTGGCTCTCTGGTTATTAATACTCAAGATGTGGTGGTCAGGGTAAGTCCTATAGTTCTAGGACCCATACACTCTAAAATAATCAGCCCATGGGCTCCTAATGGAATGAATTGGGCCAGGCACGGTGGTGCACACTTGTAATCCCAGCACTTTGGGAGGCCAAGGCAGGAGGATCACTTCAGTCTAGGAGCTTGAGAATAGCCTGGACAACATAGCAAAAAATAAAAATAGCCAGGCATGGTGGCGTGCACCTATCTTTCGAGGCTGTAGTGAGCGATGATTGTGCCATTGCATGCCAGCCTGGGTGACAGAGCAAGACCTCATCTCTAAAAAAAAAGAAAAAAAAAGAATGTATTGCAGTAAAACATAAAAGAAGGCTGTTCTTCTCACTAAATATTACTAATGACCACTGGGACTAAAACTCTCTGGATCTTATTTTTTAAAGACAGGATCTTGCTCTGTCACCCATGTTGGAGTGCAGTGGCACGATCATAGCTCACTGCAAGCTCGAATTCCCAGGCTCAAGCCATCCTCCTGCCTCAGCCTCCAGAGTAGCTGGGTCTACAGGCATGTACCACCATGCCTGGCTAATTAGAAAAAAAAATTTAGTAGAGATGAGTTCTTGCCTTGTTGCTCAGGCTGGTCTCGAACTCCTGGGCTCAAGCGATCCTCCCACCTTGGCCTCCCAAGGTGCTAGGATTACAGTGGTGAGCCACTGCATCTGGCCAAAATATGGATCTTAATAGATGGAACTTGTTCTTTCACGACTGGTACTTCCACACCAATTAACACATTCACATCAACTCATGGGTGAAAGAATTCTTAACAGAATGGGACACTGAGCAGATAAATTTGGAATAGGAAACAGAAGCCTATGGTGGCTTATTGTTCAGGCGAGGGCTTTATCATTGCATAACAACCCAGGATTGGTAAGGGTCCTACCCAAAGGAGAATGTGGACTTTTAAAAGCCTCTCTCATCTCTGGACTACGAGTGCTACAATGGCAAGCAGCATCCATGTTTTAGTTATCACTGGATCCTGAGAATCTAGTGTATGGCCTTCCATAATGGGCCATACAGAAGTTCGTGTTGAGTTCCCAATTTTAATAAGTCCGTAGGGGCTAGGTAAGGGATTACTTTCTTCTGTCCTCCACTAGGAGATGAAGTCATGGCAATACAAGACCTGGGTGAGGAGTAGATAGTGATACCTGCCTCCAGAGAATCACTGAGGGGCTCTCACAGCATTCAAGGAGGACTTGGAACATCTACTTCAGCTGAGGGAAGACTCAAGTCTTCCCTCTAGGCTTCTGTGAGTCAAATGCAGATGATCTTCTCCCACCCACACTTGAGGTCCAGATCTGTGCTATGCATTGACTGAGTCCCTTTCTCCTTACCTGAAGTTGGGAACTTCTGGGACAAAAGAGTTGAGTTCCTAGTTGAAGTGAAAGCTCCAGGGAAGTTGCCTAGGCCTGTCCCTTGCTTGGTAGGGCCAATGGCTTTCAGTAAAGTATAGGGAAGATAGACTTTACCTTGTGTATGTGGAAGAGTCTAAGAGGTCTCTGCTAATTTCAGAAAAGGAAGAATCTACCCAAGCAAGAAAAAGCATATGGTAGAAATGCCATCCCACACCATGCCTCATAAGATGTTCCCAAGTCATTTTTCTGATGCTTCCCTGGTCCAGAGGTATAATAGCTAAAATAATAATAAAAAATAAAAGTGATAGACATTTGGTATGTGCCAGGCACTGAGCCAAGCCTTGCAAATATCAACTCAATGAATCGTCACAATAACTTTTTGAGGTAGGTCCCCATTTTAAATGTCAAGAAACTGAGGCTTAGAGAGTTTAAATAACTTATCAAAAGTCACATAACCAACCACATATAAGAGCTAAGAAAGATTTGAATGCACGCCTTCTTGGCTGCAAAGCCTAAACTATCCACAGTTACACTGTACTCAGGATGCCATCCAGCCTATCAGAGACCTATGCCTACTCCTATTGCTGAGTGAGATGGGAAAGAGAAAAAGGCAGGATTTAAAAAAATTTTTAATATCTGCCTTTGTGCACACACATATTACAGAAACACATGTATCACTTACTTATCTAGAGTGCTTTAAAATGAGCCAACTCACTTCTGATTTCATTCTCAAAATAACTGTGTGGGGTAGCTATTATAATGTGAATACTCCCATTGTTTAGGTATGATAAGCAGTTTACGAAGAAGCGAAATAATTTGCCCAAGAGCATACATCCACATGGTTGCTTGAACCTATGTGGTTTGATGCCAAATTCATAGCTCTTTCACTATAACATAGTGCCACAATAATGAGACATACTCTGAGTCAGCTAACATTTATTAAACACCCACCATGGGTCAAGCACCGTGCTAGGCTCATTTGTAAACAGTCAATCATTATTCATTGATTGGTCTTCCAGTCCACTAACTGGACTGTCGCTGCAGCAGTCTCCAAGTCTAGTAAAGGTTTTATAAAATAATAAGCAAGAATAATTCTTTTTCTTTTTCTTTCTAGGTACTGTCAGTAGCCTAGACCAAGCTAAATATTTCTCAAAAAAAAAGGGTGTTTGTGTCACTTGAAGGAACAGGCTAGAAAGGAAAGCTATATTAAGCTTGAAAAACACAACTCTCAAAAACTCTCAAAGTCCCTCAACCAACGATGGAGGGTCCATAGTCTTCATTCTCTAGGTTGGATATATTTTTAATGCTATTTTATTTACAAACTAGTCCACCTCACATCTCTAAGATGCCCTCTAGCTTTGCTCCCTAGTAGGTGAGGAGCAAAAGGCAGTTGATGAAGGCAGGAAAAATACTCTTTTTATTGGGTCCATCAGGAATGTAGGCCCGTCTTCCTCTAGACCCTTTAAACATCAAGCCCTGCTTCTTCCACAGCAACATCAATTGAATTAATTGCTAAAGTAATTTCTGAGAACTTGTCATCCTGGGCCAGGAGACCCCTGGGCAGACCTCAGAGCAGTTGTGAGACAAACAAGAAGCAGCACTAAATAATTAGCACAATTATTCATGAATCAAACCAAATATATTTTATTACTTTCAGGTGGTGAAACCTAAGTACAGATCAGTCAGGGTATCTCCTGGATGGGACCAAGCTTGAAAGTGGTGGGTGGGGATTGGAACCCATGCTTCATCTGCAAGGCTTGGGCTCTAAGCCACGGCTTCAGTGAAGAGATCAGCAGATGAATTCTCCCCTCAAAGCTGTGATAGCGTCACCAGGAAGTGGTGGATTTTCACAGAGTGGGACTTGCTTAGAGGAGAAGAAAGTCCCAATGGGTCAAAAATGGAGGCCGTTCAAGTTTTTTTTTGCTGCGGATTCAATTATTCGCTTGACGAAGGAAGATGAGTAATAGGGTTCTCAGCCTGAAGTCTAGGTTACTTCTTACTTCCTCCCACCTGGATTGACTTCAGGAGCGTGCAACTTGTGTAGTTGCAGGGCCCTTGGCTCAGAAGAGCTCCATGGTTGGTTTAAGATTCTACTGTTATTGTCTTGAAATTCTTAAAAATTTTGTCTTTGAACCCGTGTTTTGTAAGTGAAGTCTATGGGATAATAGAGAATGTGTGTGCCCATCCATCGTTCCTGTCCCACAATGTTGGCAGTAGCCCATGCGTACAGAATTCCAGTGGGAGCTCAGTGAGACTCGGGGCAAGTAGAATGGAAAGTAAGCCTATGACTACACAGACGGGGGACACAGACAGTGCCCAGAGGTCATGCTTTCTGTTTGAACCAGATGCTTCAAATGCAGAAGGAAGGCAATAGAGTTCTAAGAAACACTAATGCCTAAGGGACCCTAAAGTAGCATTTCTTACTTATGTTCCTTCCCTGTATTTGCCAAACACCTATGCTGAAAATGTTGACACAGAAGGAAAGGTGAAGATAGAGCAATCCATAGCTATTTCTCCTCAACAGCAAGCTGAAGGTGGAGAGTGCTGGTACAAAGCGCTTGTATCAAGAAGTGAAATAAAAACACTGGAGTTCATTTTGTCAGCATCTCCATTGTTCTGGTAAGAATGAAATACCTATGCATATGCGACATATGAAATGTGAATTGTGTAATTTCAGTGATTCTACAAATGAGTTAAACGCTCTTGTGTTTACATTTACAACTGGCATCACACAATATAAAGATGAACGGTAAAATTCATGCTAAAAATTTAAAATTTTTATTTTTATTTAGCACCACATGAAAAACAGCAAATAAAAAACCACCATGACGATTCTAGAGAGAGATTGTGGAAGAAAGACAAAGGCATTATATTTAGGCACTTTCTTCCTGCTTTTTGAACAAGGGGCCCTACGTGTTCATTTTGTGCCAGGTTCCATGAATTCTATAACCAGTTCTGCCCCTGCCCTTAGGTTTCTTTTGAGAAACAGGGCAAGCACCAGGGCTCATCCAAGGTGATGAAGATAAAAGTCGGACTTCATTCTTGCCATAAATGAGTAGACACCTGCTTGCTGTAATGCTCTCCAACGTCGCGTGAAGGGGCAACTGACACTCCTGAATGAATATGAGGAAACCCAAGGCAAATTCAGGTTCACCACATACACTCAGGGACATCAGGTCCACCCCTAAACTGGATGAAGAACGTCTCAGCTGGCATCTTCGGACTTGACAGAGAGGAAGAAGGTCTGTTTCCTTGTGTATGTGGCTCATGAGCTGACGTGGGCTCTCGTGGGTTCTCATGTGGAGAGAACCCTGGGTACCCACATGCATACTGTTGTGGTTTTTGCACATATATGTGCATGTACACTGCACATACATGTCTGCATGTGACAAGTGCTTGGGCACCTGGTAGAACCTGAGAGAGGTGGTCTTTCCATGGATCTCCGGGGAAGGCTGATGGACATGAAATACTTTTTAGGTGCTATTCTTCTGGAACTTGGTCCCTAGAAGACCACAGCTCAGAGTAAAGAGAGATACTGACAGTCTTGGAGGACTGTGGAGAGCAGATGGCTATAATTCCAGGACCAGATTTTTTTTTCTTGTAACCACTTCCCCCACAGCATTTATATCAAAGGGAGACAAATACTTGTTGACTTAAGCAATAAACAGAAACAATTTCCTTCTGAGAAGTGCAACACAAAGAAACCTGATGCTTTCCGGGCTGTGGAAGACTCTCCATCCCCCTTCTTGGAGCAGGACCTTCAGTGATATGGACAGTGGGTGTCAGGCCAGCTGACCTGGTTTTACTTCACACCGGCAGATCCAGGGATGCAGCCACCATCCACTCTGCTTTATTTAGTGAGACAGCACTTCATACCAACAGCAGGCTTAATCACAGTCTATACCAACATTTCACTTCCCATTTCTATGTCTGTACTCCTTGCCTTTTGGTTATTTGGGGTGGGGGGTGGCAATAGCATGCTGATTCTATCTTCCAAGCACCCTCCCCAAATCTCCTACTTCCCTGCTGAAAACGATTCCCTTCTCATGTTAATTTGATGACCCAGCCAGCTGCACCCCTCCGCCCCCGCACCCCCAGCGCAAAAGAAAAAGCCACTACCTTACTCCTTCAGAATTACATCCCCGCTCAGATGGTCTTCTCAACTACCAGCCCAGTCCAAAGAACCCTCGTCATATTTCCAGGCTCATCTGAACCAGACATTCAAGTAGTGCCCCCACACGGATATTTAAGGACCATGGAGGAGGGGGTATTCCCTCCTCCCCCTGTGTTCCACCTCCCAGAAGTGGCTGCTCTTCAGAGTGGAGGTGATTCAGCTTTCCTAGAAGATGATTTGCAGGGGGAAAAAAATGTACAGTACTACAGCTGAGAGTGCTGCCTGCTTCCCTCGATGAAAAAAAAAATCCTGCTCTCAGACACATGGAATTCCCATTGATGAGGTTTGGCCAACACCAGGCGCTGGATTTTCCCCGTTAAACATAAAGCTCTGGGTGAAAGACGCGGGGGAGGGAGAAGGGATAATGATATCTTTTCAACCTTTTCAGACCTCTGGGGGATTTGAACTCTGGCCCCCAAGGTCAAATGGCTGATGTTCAAAAGCCCCCTCTCTCCACCCCTCCACCTCTCTTCCCCAAGCTCCTTCCTAACAAAGAATGACTCTCTTTGCTACACACAATAAAGCCCTGGTGGATTTACCCAGATTAAAAAACCCCTTGAAGTCCCTGTCAAAACTAATCTTCTCAGGAGAAACACTTGTTGATAACCACCTCGCTTTGTGCAGCAGCAGGGAGGAACTGGGAGGACCAGAACCCAACGGAAAAACTGGCCTGTGACCTCCCTATCGTCACATGGCCCCAAGCACCATACGATCTCTGACCTCATAGAACGCCCCTCCTTCCACGACACACAAGTATTCTGCAAGCCCCTGCCCCATTTAGCTTCTCCACCTCAGGCTCCCCCCCGTTACAGCACCAGCCCCTCAAAGCAGGAAGGCCAACCCTGTAAGTCCCCAGACTGACAGACCCTGGCTGAGCTCCAGCCGTTCCCTCCTTCTCTGCCGCCCCCGAGTTTTAACCCTTCACCCTGCAGGGCTCAGTATCTCTTGTCTTTCCTGCTGCAAACTTTGTCAGGAGCCTTTTCAGGCGGTTTTCCTCTACACAACCAGCCCTTAAGATATCATGCATAAAGATTTCCCTCTACAGGTGGTTGTGAGCTGTAGCAGTTTTTGCTCTTGCAACGGAAACATTTATTTTAAATTTCATTTTACCCACGAATAAGGTTTTAAACAAAAATTATTTTGCTTACACCCACTAAAGACTTAGCATTTTCTCCAAAAAGTGGGAGAACATTAAGTTCTCTATGCAAGACATATTACCGCTCCCATCACCACCACCATACCGTGATTCTTTCTCTCTCTGACTCTCCCCACTTTTCTCTGACTTCATGAAGCCTTTTTGGAACTAAATTTTCACGTGCAAAATAATTACAAGAATTAAGACACTCAGTGAATGAGAATCAATCCAAGATATGGCCAAGTGGCAGAAGCACATGCCCACTACAGAATACTTCTCCACCCTCCACCCCCAAACCACAGAACACTAGGGTGGGGGAAGCCAAGACGGCGTCCCCTACCCAGCTTAACAACAGAGGACTGTCTTCCAGCTGGCATGCCTCCTGCAAAAACCACACATACAAGACCCCAGGAAAGCCTGCCCAAGAAGTCTAGGCAATTTGTACAAAGATAATTGTTCAATGAAAAAGACAGTAATCATGGTCAGTCATACAAATCTACTCCTCCAAACATTCACCAACTGACATCATAAACTTTGCAAAAGCCAAACACAAGACAGTGCATGGTATAACCTACCTTGGCGAGCTCCTTCACTTTTTGTGCAAATGTTTTCCCCTCCGCATGCTTTACATAGATTTCTAGGGAAATTTGGAAGGACTGGTGAGGGGGTGGGGGAGGTGAGGGAATGAGGGTAATATAAACAAGGAAGCATTTTAAATGCACCACGCAAAAAGCTCGGGATTTCACGTTATGTGTCTGCACTCTTCCCAGAGCAAAGCAAAACAGTTCGCGTTCAGTGCCAGACTTGGAGGGAGAGGGAGAAGAGAGAGGGTGGGGGAGAGAGAGAGGGGGTGAGAGGGAGGGGGAGAGAGAAAAAGAGGGTGGGGGGATGCTGAAGGAGAGAGGGAGAAGAAGAGAAAGAAAGAGGAAATGAGAGAGGGATACAGGGAGAGGAGAGGGGAGGTGAGGGTAGAGGGAGGGAGGGAGGGAGAAGAAAGGAGGGGGAGAGCCAAAGGGAAGGAGGAGAAAGAGGAGGCAGCCCCCTCCCACGCTCCCACCCCCACACATTCAGGCACCTTCTGAGTAACTGATCAGAGCAAAGAACTCATCACCCACGTTTGAAAACCCAGTTTGGGACTAAGTCCCGATGCACACACGCTCGAGTCTATTTATAGACAGATCCTAATGATATGTATTGCATTCTGAACGTAAATGTGAAATGTGTGTGTGTGCACGGATTACATACGGTTCCTTTGACAGGTATGATTTTTTTTTTTTTTTTTTTTGCACTGCAGTGCGTCTGATTATATCTGTTTGGATTTTCTTCTTTCTTTTTTTGCATCTAGAAAGCATGCATCAATTTTGAAGGTGTTCGGGAAAAATGGTGGGGGTCTCAATGCTTACAAAACCCTGGCTTTTTTCCCCCTGCAAAGCTGGGATATTTGCAGAGTTGGGGCTGTTTGAAAAGGCTCCAGCCCTGGCTCGGTGTAGCACGCCCAGTTCCAGCAGTGTGTGCTATTGACCTGCATTGACGTCAGTGCGTCATTAGGTCTCCCTTAGAAACACTGACTTTCAAAAATAGTATCAAATTAATTCAGTTGGAGCCTGGTGAAGAAAGGATACTAGCTGGAATCAGCCATAAAACTCCAGAATTTTCAGCCCTAGATCTCTTCTTCTTTTTCTAGGAGCCAAATGGAAATCAGATTGTATGGAAAATGCCATTGATGGGATTTTTTTTTCCTTAAGAAAAGGGACCAAATTAGATTGCAAAACCCAGAACTGCCTCTGTTTTTTTTCTTTCCCTTCGTTTTTCTGATCTAAAAATAACCCCCTGCTTGAGCTGACTGCGGTATCTTTTGTGTTGCAGCTCTCTGTTTTTAGCAGTCTGGTCCCAGTGAAGGGTGGAACATAAGTACAGGTATTGATCTATTGATATTTGCAAAGCCAGGAATTAATTTTAATGAAACAGGTGGGCCCTATTGTGGTGGTGGGTAATAAAAAAGAGAAGGTGCCATGGGCTCCATTTATGCCATTCACACATTCCATTTCATTTTTTCCAATTCATTTTTTAAAGACATAATTCCCCGCCCCCCAACCATGTGTCTCATGTGGCTTCTGACCAGCACATGCAACCCCCATTCACACAAACATGAAGCACTAGTACATTCAAACTCAGCGAAGACAGTGCATTCATAAGCAAGGATTCTGGGATGTTCATTCCTTCTCACAGCTGCTTGGCAGAAAAGGCACAGCAGCCCACGAAAACAGGCTTAGGTTTCATCTGGGGGACCTAAGTATGCAATCTGATAATGATATTGTATTATTAAAATCTGCATTTATTTAAACATCTGCCTTTTATGGGGGGGGGACAACTGCCCTCTTCACTTAGCTAACAATACAGTTTTCATTGGTCCATTTCACAATTATACATTTTTATAAATACCTATGGATTATGTATGTGAATACAGAGTGCCTCCCCATGGAAGCAAAGTGGGTGAGATTCGCCACTTTCAAAGTATTTGTTGGAGAGGGGGTGGTTGGGGAATGTTGGATTTTTCTATTTTCAGAGGAGGCAATTTACAATAGTTTTGTAAAGTCTTCATTTCCCACATTTCTTGCTTCTCAGCCCTCCCTCCCTCACTTGCCCTCCTCAGATAGGTTCTCTTGGGCCTCCGGATGATAGAAGAATTTGGTTTCTCTGACCTATTCAGTCTTTGGCCTCTGCTGAGACTGTTAATGAGGGGACTATTTGGGGCCATCGTGTGCAGGGGCCCTCACAGAGGCCACTTGGATGACAAAAACTACGGGGGACCTTGAGTGGGGGAGAAGAGGAACCCAAAATGGATTTAAATCATATGATTTAAAATTAAGTGGCCCTTAACTTTTTTTTTTTTGATATGCTCATGAAGTCAGGTTTTCAATTGGTAACTACCCAGTCATTTTTGCTTATCACTACTTCCTAAACGAATGCGGCCCCTCCTTTCATTCCCCCAAATCTGGCTGGGAGATAGAAGAGAAGACGGTCTTATTAATCTCAACATTTCAGATAAAGGCAGAATATGAATAATTCTGCCTGACCAGGCTAGTAGGTCAGGGGAGTAGAGGTCAGAGAAAATCTAACCTGAGCTACCACTCATCTGCCCCTTGTTCAGCCCCACGGGCTAGTCAGGAGGCTCTGTGACTAGAGTTTATCTAAGGACAATTCTTGGTGTCTGGAGGAGCCGTCAACTGACGACAGACTGACCACATGCTTTTGCTTGTCTTTCCCCCGACTTTCTTCTCTGGGGCTTCAGGGAGGACAAGGCAATTGCCAACGGTTCATGCTGCTACGCAGCAGTGGCAGCAGCAAAAGGGAGGTGCTATGAGAAAACAGAGTATTCCCCTCCTCCCTCCTCAACCCAACACTTATAGACTTTGGTAAAGATACTGATCAGTGGATGCTTCCAGCCAGCCAGCCAGGCACCTGCAAACCACTACCCCGGCTTGCAGGGGCTCCCATGCACTCTTCATCACAAATACATTCATTCACAGAAACTTACAGTCATTCATGCACCTGCACACCACCACATTCATTCATATTTCAGCCACAACTGCAGCCACACATTTGCCTATAAAGGCTGGGTAAGTATGAAGAGCAGGAACATGCCTTTAGAACATGCCTTTATTCTGCCCCTCTCCCCTGACACACACACACACACACACACACACACACACACACACACACACACACACACACACACTTTGCCCTGCTTCCTTGCTCCAGGAGGTTTCAGCTCGGAAGCGTGCAAAATCCTGGTAGGAAGAAATTTCTGCCATTCACAGTCAAATCCCTAGACTGTATAAAAACCCCCTGACCTCGTGCATGATTAGATCACGGACAAGATGCCGAAGTGCTGGCAGAGCTGCAAATGCCTAGGTGGATGAGGGGGGCTGGTTCTTTTTCTGGCCTGGTTTTCCTCACTTGGCAGCCCAGTGAATAAAGACAGGGCCAAGGGAGGGGCTTGCAGTGTGGCCCAAGCCTGCACAATGCCCCACCTGGCCCGTTCAGATGTTGTCCTCAAGGGAGAGGTGAGAGTTGTGGTGAGCTGTGAGGTACTGCGGCAGCCAAGGCTTGGCATTCGAAGGCCTTGGGAATTCGTGTTAATCTGTACTGGTGCTGAGGATGGTAAGCGGGGGGGCTGTGCATTTGCCCTCCATATCCACGCTGCACTCACTCCACTCTGTTCTGAGAGGTTGACCTCTAGGGACTGCATTAACAGACTCTCCTGATCCCTGGTTCAGCCAATGGGGGCCCTGAGAGGGAAATCCAAAGATGGGAGGAAGGCATGGCAGGGTATTTATTCCCCACCTTCCTCCCTGCCAAGCTATGGGCTGTCTGTGGCTGTGTCCTTCTGTGAAAACCACAGCTTCTGTCAGGTGGCCCCCGAGCAGCTGCAGTTCCAGGTCTCTTCAAGTTCTGGACTAGTGTGAATACATTGAGACCCGTGATTCCCAGACTCTCTAGGTCTGTGGAACTCTTAACAGGACAACAGTCCATTTGCCTCAGTGGTGCCTACCGGCAACCTAAAAAAAAAAAAAAAATCTCCCATCAGAATGCTGGGTAAGTAGTGTTTATTGACATAAAACAAGGCTGTGGGGGCTTTTTCAGTTCAGAACATGAAATTAAAGAATAGATGCTGCTGGAGAGATTGCTCACTAGCAGGTAAGGAAAGCTCTGGAAGTGGGCCTTCCACTTAGCTGTTTACCAGCTTTGTGATCATGGGCAAATTACTTAATTTCTCTAAGCCTCAGTTTCCTCCTCTGTAAAATGAAAATAATAAGAATTATAATAAGCCCCTCCTCTTAGAACTGTAATGAGGACTGTAAGATAATGTATGTGAAACAGTGTAACACAGGTGCCCAGCACAAAAATAACCTGCAATAAATGCTAGCTATTTAAATATTAAGAGTATAAGTATGTATTCTATAAAATAACTACTTATGGGACATCTAGAACTTTCAAAGTTTTTAGACAATGGCCAACAATGTTTATTTTATTTTTTATTTTTATTATTATATTTTTTGAGACGGAGTCTCACTCTTATCACCCACGCTGAGTGCAGTGGTGTGATCTTGGCTCACTGCAACCTCTGCCTCCCGGGTTCAAGTGATTCTCCTCCCTCAGCCTCCCAAGTAGCTGGGATTACAGGTACTCGCCACGATGCCTGGCTAATTTTTGTATTTTTAGTAGAGACGGGGTTTCGCCGTGTTAGCCAGGCTGGTCTTGAACTCCTGACCTCAGGTGATCCACCCTCCTCGGCCTCGCAAAATGTTGGGATTACAGGCGTGAGCCACCGCGCCTGGCCAGATGTTCATTTTATAGCATGACCTGATGATACCCACAACAGAAAAAAGTAATAGTTATCCTTAAAACCTGCAATGCACTCTGCTATTTTCTCATTTGTTCTATGTCATCAAAAAATGTAGGTCACAACCCCTTAATGGCCTGAGATCCACAACTGGAGAAGCTGTGATCTGGTAGACTTGCCAGGGATCAATGTGATGAAGACTGAGTCATCTCTGGAGGTGACAGGATAGGTAAAGACCATTTCCTGATGTCTTTTAAACAGGTATAATTACATTAATGGGAGAAAAGCAGCTGGGGGTTTTCTCTGCAGAATCTGAAATTCAGACAAGCATTTGAGTGGACTTAGGTATAAGAAACTAGGACTTGGAAAAGGGGACTCAAATGTATAAAACATGGTGCTTGCCCTCAAAGAACGTATAGTTTAGTAGCAGAGCTTAGATTCATTCACTCCTTTATAAAACTGAGTACCTAGTATGTGTGACGAACGTTCTACATCAGTCAACAAGACAGGAGTTCCTGACATTACAAAGCTTAACTTCTTATGGTAGCGACAGGCAATAAACAAATAAATAACCAAATAAGTATAATATGGTTCAGACAGTGGTAATGGCTCTAGAGAAAAGGGGAGTGGAGAGTGTCTGGTAGAAGACATATTCTAGATAAGGTAGTCAGAGAATGCTTCTCTGAGAAAATATTTGACCCAAGACAGGAATGAAGCGAGGGAATGAGCCATGTAAATTCTAAAAGAAATGCACTTCATTTATAGGGACCAGCAAGTGCATAGACTCTGAGGAAGAAATAAGCTTGGAATAGTGTGGAAAGAGGAAGAAGGACAGAGTGACCAGAGCTTAGTGAGCAAAGCAGAGGGTGGTAGGTGTCTGAGAGGTAGACAGGGCCAGATAACGTAGGTCTTGACCTTCATACTAAGTCTTGAATAACATCTGAATGTGATGAGAAACCATTGTAGGGTTTTGAGCAGGAGAGTGACATAATCTATGTTTTAAAAGGATCACTCTGCTGCTCTGGAGAGAAGTGACTAAAGAGGGCGAGAAGGAAACAATGGGGCTGATCAGGAGGCCATCCCAGCAGTCCAGACAAGAGATGATGGTGGCGTGGAATAGGCTGACAGTGATGGAGGTGGTGAGAAGTGGTCCAATTAGCAGTATCTACTTTGAAGGATGATGTCTCTGCATATCCATAATACAACATGGAACGTGAGGTGCCAAGATAGAGTACACGATGTTGTGGAAACTCAGATGAAAATTACATCTGGCTGGGGGATGAGCTGGCACTTGAGCTGTGTTTTCAAGGATGAGTGGGCAGAAATGGTGAGGGAGGAGAGAACTTTCCAAAAAAAGGGAAAAGCATGCAATTGAAGGCAAAAAAGAGGGAAAGTAGAGGGCATATTCAGGGCCCAGAGGTAATTCGGTGGATATGGTGGGCCTGAAAGTGTAGAACAGGAATATAGCTGACCTGGTAGGTTTAGGATAAGTTATTATGGGCCTTGTGTGCCATGATAGCATTTGGGCAACGGAGAGCCACTGCATGTTTCTGAGGATGGTTTTATGTGATCAGCACTGAGCTTTACAAAGTTCTGGGTAACTGGGGCTGAAGGGGAACCTGGAAGCCTCTGCTTTGGGCCTCAGTAGACTCATTCGTCAAGCAGATCTTTGGCCTTCTCAGATCCTGCACCCTTTGTTCCAGCCAAACCAGCTTTCTTCCTGACCAGTGGACTAGCCAGAAACACTCCTTCCTCTCTGCCTTTGCTCATGCAGTTCTCAGCACCCAAAGCTCCTCTCCATTTATCCAGATCTTCCCCCTTCTTTGGCTCCTTGGCCTCTATCGCTCTCTCCTTTCTATCAAAGCACTTGTCTACACTTCTCACGTTGGCTCTTAACCTCACAGACCCACTGACATTTTGTTAAGTATTTCCAGAATATAGGCCTTCTCCCATGAGACAGAAATTCCTGTCGGTCAGGGACATCACCTGGCACTCCCTTTGTTCTCTCCACAGTGTCAGGCACTCAATAGCCATTAAACTGACCATTCCCATTCCTCATAAGTGAGTTTGGAAAGCCAAGGGTAGAAAGGCACTTGTCCAGACACACTGAAATCCAGACACAAAGCCAAAAGGACCCACTTCCTGCCTCCAACTCTCTTCCTATTACTCCACTTCCTGGCCATCCCAGCAATGAACACACTTAGGTTTTGCCTTCCTTGGAACTATCCTAAGGGGAATAACCCTTGCCTTGGGAATAGGATCCCTGTAAAAGTAAAAGCACCAAGTCTCTGATTTCCCTCAGGGAGACAGGGAATGGCCTGGGTCAGATTCCATCGGATTCCATGTCCTCCCCAGTCTGCCTCGCACCTTGCCCCTCCCCCAGTGCTCGGTATTTGGTTGGCGGGTGGCTTCCCCAGCTCCCTAATCCAGGCTGTCTGCCACACCCTATATGGCTTTTCATGGAGAGGGTTTACTTTAGGGGATTCTACTCTGGAGTGCTTGTCCCAGGCAGCCCTCCACCTCGACTTGGTAACCGCCCAATAGGTTCATTTTACCCACTTCCCAGATAGAACAGATTTATCAACGGAGGAATTGCAATAATTCACGCAGAGCTGGCTGATCGGGAGAAGAGAGTTTTATTATTACTCAAATCAGTCTCTCTGAAAATTCCAGACTAGTGTTTTTAAAGGATAATTTGATGGGTAGAGGGCCAGGGAGTGGGGAGTGCTGATTGGTTTGGTCAGAGACAAAATCACAGAGCCTCCAAGTGGTCCTCTTGCGCTAAGCAGATTCCTGGGTAGGGGCCACAGGACCAGCCAGCCAGTTTCTCAATCTGGGTGACGCCAGCTGATCCATCAACTGCAGGGTCTGAAAAATATCTTCAGCACCAATCTCAGGTTTTCCAATAGTGATGCTATCCCTAGGAGCAACTGGGGAGGCTTAGAATCTTGTGGCCTCCAGCTACATGACTCCTAAACCATAATCTCTAATCCTATGGCTAATTTGTTAATACTACAAAGGCAGTCTGTTCCCCAGGCAAGACGGGGGTTTGTATTGTGAAAGGGCTGTTACCATCTTTGTTTCAAAGTGAAACTGTAAGTTCCTCCCAAAGTTAGTTCAGCCTACGCCCAGGAATGAACAAGGGACAGCTTGGAGGTTACAAGCAAGATAGAGTCAGTTAGGTCAGATGCCCTTCACTGTAATAATTTTGTTATAATTTTTGCAAAGGCGGTTTCGATTTTGCCAGCTATTGGAAATAACAACTAGTAGAGACACAAGTTTGCAGACAGCAACAGGCTTTGTGGACTACCTCAGCACCTGACACCTTGCAGGCAAATGAGTCACTTAAGGACACATTGCAAAGGCACAGATAATGGGTTTCCTATTCTGTTGCTGGGGACACCCAATTTGGTGCTTGGCCTGTCCGGTGGTCTCCATCTCTCACTGCTGCTTTCCAAATGCTCTGCCTGCCATTTCTAGAAGGGGAAATGGGAGGCTGAGGGAATCAGTAAGGCACCCACCAAGGAACCATGAAGGACGCTGGATTCTTGCTCATGCCCTTAGCTGGGTGCTGAGCTGGGCCCAGGTTGCAGTAAAACAGGGCTCCTGACCCAAAGGTCACAGGCACAGTAATGGAGGCTGAACGGACCGCTGTGGGGACTCCACCCTTCAATTTCAAAAGCTCTTCCGCACCTCCCTCCCAAACTTAGGTTTAAATTTGAACCGCCTCATCCCTTGGGGAAGAACCCCCTTACTCTGCCTCCTCCTCCTCCCATGCGTGGAATGCAAGAGCACAGAGGGTAGGAATAGGAGACCTCCTTTTCTCAAATCCAGGAGAGCACAGAGCTCTGCACACCCGCATGCCCACTCAGCACCCCCAAGTCCCGGGCGGAGAACGGCCAGGGTACCAAGGCCTGGGACAGGGACGCGGCCGCCGAGGAAGACTTTCCCGCAGCCTCCACAAGCCAGCCGCCCCCGTCGCCACGGGCTCCCTCCCACGCGTGGAAGCCAAGCAGAAGCAGAGGCGGTGGCAGCGCCGCGCCTGCAGGTCACGCGGGCAGCACGAGGCCCTGCGCCCAGGGCACGTGAGGGGGCGGGGCCTGCACCCAGGATCCCCTCTCGCGGCTGCTTACGTAGCAGCGCGGCCCCGCCCCGCCCGCTCCCTCCCCGTGCCGCCCCGCCCCGCCCAGCATCACCTCTGCCCCCGCACCGCTGCGCACCGCCCTCGCCCCGAGAGCTCCCGCGCGGGGGCGAAGCCTCGGAGCCCAGGGAGCCCGAGCTGGGGGAAGAGAAGGGCGCGGGAGGGTGGGGCGGCGAGGAGAAGGAAGGTGGGGAGGAACCCTGCTTAGGCCGGAGGGGCGGGCGCCTAGGGCTGCGCGATGCCCCCCCCCCCCCCGGGGAAGCCCCCTCCCCAGTCTCTCTAGAGGCTGTCCCAGACGCGCCGGGTTTTTGTTCCCCTAGATTTAGAGCGAGGAGAAGCCAGGTTGCGGGATGTGGGGGGGAGGGGGGTGGTGCGGCTGGCTGTGAGGACCCTCCCGCCATCCACCCACGCGCGCGTGTTCTCCCGGCACTGACGGTGTCCTGCCCGCTCGACTGCTCCGGCTGCGCTCGTGACTCTGCTTCGTGCCGTCAGAATTCCGCAGCGTGTGCTCGGGGGTGGGGCGGGTGGCACCTGGCTGCCCCTTGAGCTTGTCCACCCGCGGGTCTGCCGGGTTGCCAGGCAACCCACTTACCTGCCCCCTCCCCCACCCTGCCCGGCTTCCGAGAGCCAGGTCGCTCCCGGCCCAGTCGCTGTGCCCTGCGATGCACCTCTCCGCGATTCAGTCCTGTGTCTCCATCCTGCACCTGGTTGTTTTCGAGGCATGGAAAGCGCCCATCTTCCCCTGGGCCTTGACACCCACGCCTCCCGAGTCCACCTGGGTGCTGACATGGAGGGCCGTAGTGCGGCTGCAGACAGACTGTCCACACGGCCCCATCCTGTACCCCTTCTTGGAACAGGGCAGTGGAAAAACAAACAGGAACTGTGCAGGAGGAGATGGAGCCCAAACACCAGCTCATTTCCACCCTTACCGTGTAGATCACCCAGCACGTGTCCGCCCCCGGGGTAAATATTGTGGTTTGCTTCCACTTAGCACCCAGAAGACCCACTCGCTGTCCCTGGTAACTGGGCAGCAAGGCTTGGCCCTGGGGCTCCCTCCCCTGGGATGCAGTGCTCCTGACGCAGGGTTCGAGATAAGGCAGTGTGTGTTGGACACACACGGAGAGAGAGGTAGGGTGAGAAAACAAATATTATGAAAAGCAAGACTACTCAGCCACGGAGTGCCCTCCCGGTGATTCCACACTGCCCTAGAGGGTATCTGCTCACTCCTCTGATGGAGGGACTGGGTGACAGGCACTTCGTCCCTCCTCCAGCCTGGGGTTGGGAGACAGACCTGTGGCCCTCTTCCAGGAGGCAGTCGCCTGGGCTGAGGTCTCACCAGGAGAGAGGCTGCAGGGCTGGACTTCTGAGCTCTGTGCTGAGAACTGTAGGCTGCAGCAGTAGAGGCTATGTAGGAGCATGACCTGGGGAGGCTTCAAAACTGCCTTGCAGACAAGATCCATCAGCCCCTAAGGAGAAGTCCGGGCAGATAGCTGCATTCCCCAGGTCCCTCCTAATGGATATGTTGAATCTGGTTGCCTGCAACATTAGGAATTTCAGGACGTCCTTCAGAAAACCCTGTAGTACCTTCCATGCCACACTGTCATCTCAGAATTCCTGTTACGACAGCTGTTTCATAAAGGTTAGCAACTTGTTTTTTGACTTGAGTTGATTTTGTCACCTAATGTCATCTTGAAGACAGGGATTTATGTGCAGAGAGCCTCAGGAGAGGGCGACACTCCTTGGGGAAGAAAGGACAGGGCAGAGCTTTAGGATTCTCTGGCCATTTATTCATTCCCATTTTTGAGGGCCTCCTGTGTTCCATGCCTTGTGCAAAGCACTGGGGGAACATAACAGAGATGACCTGGACTCTGATGTGGGGGAGAAGACAGTAAATGATTACATCACAGTGAGGTAATCGGTATAACTGGATTGCACATGAGGTGCAATGAGAACATAAGGGAAGAAGCTGCTGAAATCCACCCAGGTTAGTCTATCAGTCGGCGTGGGCTACAGGATGCTGCAGTAACAAATGACTCTAACATCTCAGTGACTAAAAACCAATAAAGCTTTTATCTTTCTGACATTCATGTCCACCAGATGTCTCCTGAGGTTCTGCCTTAAACTCTCTTCATTCTGGAACCAAGGGTAAAGGTGTAGTTCCTCCATGGTCTCTTGGCAGAGGGAAAATGAAAATGGTAGAGCCAAACAATGGCTTCTGCTGCAAAGTGGCATGTGTCACTCCTCTCAGGTTTCATTGGCTAAGGAAGTCATGTGATTAGGTCTGCTGTAAATGGAGCAAGAAGTATAATCCTTCCACAGGGTCAGGCCAGTGGGAAGGGGTGGTGAATATCTTGGCCCATAATACAGCCTGCTACAGAGTCCCAGAGGAAGTGATGCTTGGGTGATTGCAAAAGCGGATTAGAACTGGAGCAGAAAAGCAGATGAGGCAGGGAGGTTATTCCTGCAGAGGGAACCTTATGGGCCACATCATGGAGGTATAAAACTGCCTGGTACATTCAAGACAAGCCAGTCATCTCCCTAAGTCCATATAGTGTAGGGAAACGTTCTTTATCCACCCTCCCTTGCCATGTTTGAATCCCTTTTTAAGAGCTTGCCCTTGGCCCTGTTTCAAGAGTTGTCACAGGGAGAGGATGCTGGTTGTTGTACTTCTTCCCAGAGAAAATGGACCCAAGTTGCCCCAAAAGGCTTGTCCTCCATGAATACTGGAATATCTTTGGTGGAGATAATTTTTTAAAGGACAAAATAATTAACAGGTTCCCATGATATTCTAATCCTTGAGGCCTTAGAGACTTGCCAGTGTTGGGTTTGGATGGCTACGTATGGGGACTGGGGAATATGTGAGTGACTGCAGCAGGTGTCAAGTATTCTAAGATGTCAACCCATCTTCATGGAGAACTTTGAGGGGATGTCTCCGGAAGGTTCTGATGGCTGTCTGGGTCTCAGCAACCCAACCTGTCTCTCCTGGTGAGCCTTGCCAAGAAAGACCTCATTCCTACCCTCTTCACTTTCTGTCCTGCCTTAGGTATCAAAAGAGGGGCACTGCTTGACCAAGATGTTGTATTAGTCCATTCTCACACTGATATGAAGAAATATCCAAGACTGGGTAATTTATAAAGAAAAGAGGTTAAATTGACTCACAGTTCTGCAGGCCCAGGGAGGATTCAAGAAATTTACAACCATGGCGGAAGGTGAAGTAAGCATGTCCTTCTTCACGTGGCAGCAACAAGAAGCTCAGAGCAAAGGCGGTGAAAGCCCCTTATAAAGCCATCAGATCTTGTGAGAACTCACTCACTATCATGAGAACAGCGTGGAGGTAATCACCCCCATGATTCAATTACCTCTCATTGAGTCCCTCCCACGACCATGAGGGTTATGGGAACTACGATTCAAGATGAGATTTGGGTGGGAACACAGCCAAACCACATCAGAAACCTTGGTGGCAGACCATCCCTTCAAGTGCTGCTAAGTGGGAACAAATACGTGTTATTGATTCCTGGGCTATTAATTAAGCCTTTTTATAGTTGTTAGGCTTTTCCTTTATTATATTTTAAGGGCTAGGTGTGTACTTTTCCCTGTTTTGTATACGCTGGTTCTCTGGGTACAAGAGTTGCCCCAGAAAGATTTCTTAACGGGTTGGTTAGTTGAAAGGCAAGCGTTTTTTTTTTCCTTTTCTAACTTCTTTTTTTTTTAAATTTTATTATTATTGTATTTGTAACTTTCTACTTTTTTGATGTATTTATTTATTTATTTATTTTATTATTATTATACTTTAAGTTTTAGGGTAAATTTGCACAATGTGCACGTTAGTTACGTATGTATACATGTGCCATGCTGGTGTGCTGCACCCATTAACTCATCATTTAGCATTAGGTATATCTCGTAATGCTATCCCTCCCCCCTCACCCCACCCCACAAGCATTTTAAGAGAGTCGGGGATCTTTCAGCCTCAAGTGACTGAAAGTCCAGTCTAAGTGGCTTAAGTTAAGGTAATTTTTTTTTTCTTCAGGTCACACAACTGTGAAATTCATGGGGCAGAGTTAGCTTCAGGCATGGCTTCATATAGGGGCTTAAAATAGACACCTGGTTTTTCTCTTTCTCTCTATATCTAGGCTCTGCTTTCTTCTTGGCAAGCTCTATTCCCAGGTAGACTCCTTCAGTCTGGTTGTAAGATAGTTACAGAACTTCCAATCTTACACCCTCCTGGATTCAAGTCCACTAGGAGAGTCTTTGCCTCTTCCAGCATCCCTGGCAACAATTTCTTTGGACATGGGTCTCTCCTGAACCAGTTATGTTGGTCAGGGAACTGTGGTGCTCCATAAACTTAGTTCTAAGGCCCTGAGCCTGGGGTGGAGCCCTACCCAAAGTAAGGGACCAAGAGATTGACAGGAGGTGGTTTCCAGAGGGTATCCAGTGGTGGTGAAGAGAGGAAAGGTGCATGGAAGATGAGGGACAAAAACAGCAGATGTCCAATTCATGGACAAGTCTGTGCTAGTCAGCTGTTGCTACAGTAACGCTACATAACAAATTGCCCCAAGGCTCAGTGGCTTACAATAATAAGCATCAATTATTTTCTCACTCCTGTGTTTGTGGGGGTGGTTTGGGCATCTCTGCTTCAGGAGGCATGTTAGGTAAACTTGGTCCCAGGATGTGGGCCGGGTTCAGGTCTAGTCCATTTTCTCTCATCCTCCTTAAAAATGAGGCCACCTGGGGATGGCATGAATGGCATGAGCACACAGGAGGGAGCAGAAACACACCAGATGTCTGAAAGCCTAGACTCAGAACTGTTACACAGTTAGCTCTGGCCACATTCCTTTGGCTTGAACAAGTCGCACGGGCAAATCCAACACCCGTGGGGCTGAGAAATATACTGAAAAATAATCCAGTTTATCACAGTGTCACTAAAAGACCAGCAAATGATTGGAATGGGCTGATACAAATTTCTCAAACTCTGCCTGCCTCTGGCTTTATTCACAATTGTCCATGTAGACATGCATAAAAAGGCTCTGCTGAGTAAATCGCATATCAAGTTCTTTTGTCCGCCCTAATTTCCCCCTACACTGACCCCAGCCTTCAGGCTTCCTCTGTGCACCAGCTGTCTGTGATTCACTTCTCTTTGAAGCTGTGCAGGCTGGTTCAAGAGCTGTGGTTGGTGGGTGTTGATAAGAAGTGAAAGTCTACCTGTCTAGAATGTATTGGAAGGCATTCTTCCTGTATATGGGAGATTGGATAAGATGAGATTACTTCTTGAGCTCCTTCCCACTCTAAGATGTTCTGAGTCTGGATATCCTATGTCAAATTTTGACCATATGTAGTGTTTTTGTTTTGTTTTGTTTTGTTTTTTGATACGGAGTCTTTCTTTGTCGCTCAGGCTGAAGTGCAGTGGCATGATCACAGCTCACTGCAGCCTTCAACCCCTGGCCTCAAGCAGTCCTCCCGCCTTGGTCTCCCAAAGTGCTGGGATTACAGACTTGAGCCAGCATGCCCAGCCCATATGTAGTTATATTTTAGAATACAGGATTTTACCTGTGAATCTGGTCTCTTTGCCCCCAATTACCTTGATCTGTGATACAACATGGCATGAGACCAGTAAGTGCATATGCTCAGAAGACCACTCTTCTAGGCTCTGTGGGGGAACCCGTGAGGAGTAGGAATTTGAAGTCCAGCTTCTCAGGAGTCACATTGCTTTCTTTTTCTTTTTCTTTTTTTTCTTAGAGACTGGGTCTTGCTCTCTCACCCAGGCTGGAATGCAGTGATGTGATCATAGCTCACTGTGGCCTTGAACTCCTGGGCTGAAGCCATCCTCCTACCTCAGCCTTCTGAGTAGCTAGGCCTACAGGCATGTGTCACCACAGCTGGCTAATTTTTAATTTTTTTTGTAGATACAGGGGTCTTGTTATGTTGCCCAGGCTGTTTTTGAACTTCTGGCCTCAAGTGATCTTCCTGCCTCCGCCATCCAAAGTTCTGGGATTACAAGTGGGAGCCACCATGCCCAGCCCACATTTCTTTGTAATGCATGCCTCTGGACAGCTTCAGGTAAATGGATCTCCAAAGTAAGAAAGAACAACTTTATATTCTCTATTCCAGTGGCTCAAAGCCGTCAACATCAGGACACTCTGCTTAGTGTCTAACTTGATGCTTCACGACTACTGTTAAAGGCCATCCTTTCTCCTTTCTCCTTTTTACATCTTTTCGTATGGTGGAATCCATCTCTAATGTTGGTGTTGTGAAAACCTGTTCATTTTGTGGCTCCAGAAGAAAGAACTGGTATTGTTTCCCTTAATTTCACATCAACAGACAATTACTGAATGAGTGTGACAGTCGCCGTAAGTACTGCAGTGTTATGAGAATCACCACTGAGCCAGGCTGTCTGTGTTCCAATTCTGGCTCTGCTGCTTACTAGGTGTGTGACCTTGAACAACCTATTTAGCATCTCTTGTCCATCATCCTCTTGTCTATGAAATATGTTATAATAAGGCCTCTCTCATAGGGCTCTCATAAGGGGTAAATGAGTTAATGCTTATAAAGTGCTTAGAATAGTGTCTGGCACATAGGTGCTCAATAAATGTTGGCTATTATTATCCTTACTTTGAGATGAAAGACTAACCACTGTCCTCAAATAACTCAGACTCCAGGGAGGAAAATGGCACTTACCACACAGGGATGTAACTGCTCTCTTATTTAGGATGACAAGTGGATGTTGGGGGGTACAGGAACACAGTGAGAGGAAGTTACAAGAAGGTAGATTTTTTATTTACGACAAGATCTTCCTAAGAATTAGTGTTTATTGGCCAGGTGTGGTGGCTAATGCCTGTAATCTCAGCCCTTTGGGAGGCCGAACCCGGCAGATCATTTGAGCTCAGGAGTTTGAGACCAGCGTGGGCAACATGGTGAAACCTTGTCTCTACAAAAAACTCAAAAATTAGCTTGGTGTGGTGGCACCTGCCTGTGGTCCCAGCTTTTTGTTGGAGGATGAGGTGAGAGGATCGCTTGAGCCCAGCAGGAGGTCAAGGCTGCAGTGAGCTGTGATCATACCACTGCACTCCAGCCTGGGTGACAGAGTAAGACCCTATAAGACCCCGTCTCAGAAAAAAAAAAAAAAAGAAAAAGAAAAAAAGAAGTAGCATTTATCAAAATATTAGTAAGTAATTAGTTCCTCTGTCATCAGAAACATTCAGGCAAACCCTGAACACTCATATATCTAGAAGAACAGAGTTTATAAAGAGGTGGTCTATGGGTTGGTTCTCACCTGCAAAGGTGTTTGGTTTGGACTGCAATGTATTTTTTTTTTTGTTTTTATTTTTTGAGACAGAGTCTCGCTCTGTTGCCCAGGCTGGAGTGCAGTGGCCCAATCTTGACTCACTGCAACTTCCACCTCCTGGGTTCAAACGATTCTCCTGCTTCAGCCTCCCGAGTAGCTGGGACTATAGGTGCGTGCCACCACACCCAGCTAATTTTTTTTTTTTTTGTATTTTTAGTAGAGATGGGGTTTCACCATGTTAGCTAGGCTGGTCTCAATCTCCTGACCTCGTGATCCGCCCGCCTCGGCCTCCCAAAGTGCTGTGATTACAGGTGTGAGCCACTGCACCCGGCCGGTTGGACTGCAATGTATTTTTTAAAAGATTTTAATGAGTCGCCAACAGATTAGATTTTTTGCTTTAAAATTCTTGATTTTGGGTTTATTTTTGCAGAATTTGAAGATCTGGCCACACTGAACCTACATTATATGAATAATGGAGCTCAGCTGTGGCCACTCTTTGAAGACAGAACTCATTTTACATGTAGCTATGTCTTATGCCCTCTTCTAGAGTCTCTTCTCTCTCTTATAGGACTCAACTGGTGCCTCTGTGTTTTTAAATTTGTAGCACTGCCTAAGATTTGAACAGTGGCTGGGAGGCTTGATCAGATGACATTATTTCTAGGGTAATCTGATCCAATCTGATCTTTCCTTATTCTGAGAGCCTGGACTTGTGTTCTGGGATAGAGATCTGACTCGTGGCACAGAGCCATTCACTAAACAGTCCCTGCACACCTACTCCTTGCTAAGCGTTGTTATTCATACTAGAAACTCTAGAATACTAAGCTGGGCTTTAAGTGGTTATATATATGTATATATGCATGCACATAAATACAATGTGTGTGTAAAATATACATAACAATATCTATCATTTTAAAATGTACAATCCAGTGGTATTAAGCACATTCACAATATTGTACAGCCATCACCACTATCATTTCCAGAACTCTTCATCCCAAACAAACTCTACCCATTAAACAATAACTCTCTGTTTCCCCTTCCCCTCTGCTCCTGGTAACCCCCATTCTATTTTTTGTTTCTATGAATTTGCCTGTTCTAGGAACCTCATCTAAGAAGAATCATACAATGTTTGTCCTTTCATGTCTGACTGATTTTGTTTAGCATGATTTCTTCAAGATTCATCCAAGTCCTAGTATATGTCAGAATTTCCTTCCTGTTTAAGGCTGACTAGTATTTCACTGAATGGATATACCATATTTTAGCTTATCCATCCATTTTTCCATGAACACAAGTTGTTTCCACTGTTTAGCTATTGTGAAAAATGCTGCTATGAACATGTGTACACGTATTTATTTGAGTCCTGCCTTCAATTCTTTGGGGGTATACATCTCCTGTTATATTTTAATTCAAATTAAACAATAAATTTCCATCTTTTTTTTCTTCTGGAAGCTCTATGAGGCAATAAAGAGCACCTGGCACTTCCATTTTATAGATGCAGAAACTGAGTTAGCAGCTCTGCAAAGGAAACTAAAGCTGGAAGCTAGGTCCTTGGTGCATGGTCTTTCACACCAGACTGTAACATCCCTACGGACAAGGGTTGTGTCTGTTGCTGTCACTGATGCATCTCCAAGGACAAGTGACTAGAATGCAGTTGATGTGTTTTAAAAGCATAAATGAATATTTTTTTGTGCTTTACGTTCTAACAGAGGCTTTTGAAGAAACTACTGGTGTCTGTATTCCTCTCCTTTTCCACATCCCCTTTCTCTATTTATGAGACACCCCCACCCATGGGACTTGGGCAGACAAGCTGATCCTGAACCATGTCTTCAGTGATAACCACTTCAGGCCTGAGAAAGGTCTCTTTTCAAAGTGCTTCTGTTCACAGTCCCAGGAGTAACGTCTTATTCCCCATCTAGTGTATGGTTTCGTTCAGGCTTCACCCCGGAACTCACAGCAATTCAGGGATCACCTGGCTCCTGGCTGGTGTAAGAGATCTACTGGGGGTGCCTCTGGCATGGGGGGTTTGAGTATCTTTAGCCAGATTTTGTCCAGAAATGTCTAGTGTGCTGCTTGATTTCTGCCCCTCTTATCTCACAGTGCTGTGGTGTGGGGGATTGGGAGCCTCAACCCAAATTCCCTTTTGTTTCAAAATGGAGACAAATGAAATTTTAATGGAGTGGTGAAAATGCTGCCTTTGGTAAGCTGCACTCCTGCCTTAGCATCTGGTTTAGAAAATGGGGGCTCTAAAAGGAGTCCCTGCCCTCTTTTCCTTGGAGGAGCCTCGCTTCGGCTCTCAGAGGAGGTAAGGAGGTGTGGCTTACATCATCTGGGGTCCTTTGTCCACTGCTTCGTGTCTACATAACAACAAAAGCTGTCAATGATGGCACAAAGATGGAACGCAGAAGACACTGTGACTGTCTCATGGGGAGAGTCTGTGTAAGAAAGAAGGCAAGTGGTGGTGAGAAACACACCCAAGGCGTCCATCTCATTCTGCCCCCAGAGCAGTCTGGCTTATGGTTCAGCTTCACCAGGGAAATGTCTTTGACTCTAGTTTAGGAAGGAAGCGCTGAGACAAAAGGTTTGAGGGTGGTGAGGTGGGGTGGAGGTGAGCGTATGCAGGTCTGGCAAAAATAGAGAACTAAATCCATCTATCTATAGCCCGACTGAAGGCAAACAACCATCCCTCTCTCCTCTGAAAGTGAGCAGGGGAAGAGGACGAGGAGAGAGGCAGAGCGCAGGAGGTGGCTTCCCGCGGGCAGCAGAGGGTTAACCCCTCGGGCACCCAAGGACGTCAGAGCTGGTTCTTGTCTGTGGCTTGGATTGAGAGCTTTTATCCCTTGTTATTTTTCCTGATGTCTTTGCTTTTTATTGTGTTTGGATTTCAGGATTTGGCTTGTTATTTTTAATGTTTAATATATTTAGAGGGGAGAAAAAAAAATCCATCCTAGTGAAAGCACAGGAAACCAAGCAGGCCTGAAGGAAGGGTGCTGGGAAGGGGCCCTGGGTATCCCTTGTTCAGCTGAAGAGCAAGGCAGCCACCCTTACCTGGCCCCCTCCCATCCTACATTCTTCTGAGCCCTGAACACTGTAGCCTGGGCAATGGGGCTTCCTGCTTTGGAGACCTGTTCTCACCCACTAGTCTGTGATGGGGACCATCATCCATGGGTGCTCCTCTAAGATGCACCATTCTCCTGTACAACAGTCTGAGCATCTGCTGGGCTGGGAGGCAAGGAGATCCCAGTACCTGCATCCCTCCCTCCCCTGCAGACCCACTGGGCGAGGGCACGAAGGAGGAGGACACAGTCTCTCTGAAAGTGACGAAAAGGACGTGGAGCTGCCGCCGAGGAAGGCAGAGGAGATCAGGTTTGAGAAATGAGGGAAGAAGTAGTATGGGGTATTCAGCAACAATTTAGAACTTCTTAGACAGCTGTTTATAAGATATTTATAACAGGAAATTATATATATTAGAACATGGAGAGAGAGGGCACATTCAACCTATGGCCATATGGGTCAGGATGTTCCATAGCCAATAGGCTCCACATCAGAGTGGTTGGTCTGAAGCAAAAAGCACTGAGCACTAATGTCATGTGAGAGAAAGGTGAGGTGGTGCTTGAGTATGGTATCAGGGAGCCAGGTAAATGAGATGGAGATAAGGAGACAGAGCTAATTGAACCCCAGAATCCCAGAGATGAAGAAATGCATGAGGGTGTCTATTCCTGCATGAGGGGGTCTGCTCCTCAGAGCAAGAGCAAGAATTGTGTGGGCCTACTTCCCTGAGAGGCAGGATCCCGTGGGATTGCGTAGTTTGGGCCCTAGGGAGATACCTGGGGAATGGAGAGTATTTACCTCCCAATGGAACCTTGTAACTAGGAAGCCCTGGGAAGCCACAGGAATTGCAGGGGGTGAGTTGGGGGCTTGAAGGCAAGACCAAATAGCACTCGCATCTTACTCTTATATGGAGTAACTCTGACAGAGAAAGCAAACCACTGGGAGTGGTCAGCTAGTGTTAAAGGTCAGAGCCAGTACATTCAGAAAAACCTGAAGACTCCACCAAAAAATTGTTACAACAGATAAATTCAGTAAAGTTACAAGATACAAAATCAACCTACAAAAATCAGTGGCATTTCTATATGCCAACAGCGAACAATCTGAAAAAGAAATAAAATAATTCCATTTACAACAGCTACAAATAAAATAAAATAACTAGGAATAAACCTAACCAGAGAAGTGAAAGATCTCTACAATGAAAACTATAAAACATTGATGAAAGAAATTGAATAGGACACACAAAAAAACGAAAGATATTCCATATTCATGGACTGGAAGAATCAATATTGTTAAAATATCTATATTACCTAAAGCAATCTAAAGATTCATTGCAATCCTATCAAAATATCAATGACATTCTTCAAATAAATAGAAAAAATAATCCTAAAATGTATATGGAACAACAAAAGACCCGGAATAGCCAAAGCCATCTTAAGCAAAAAGAACAAAACTGTAGGAATCATATTACCTGACTTCAAATTATACTGCAAAATGAAAGTAATCAAAACAGCATGGTACTGGCATAAAAACAGGCACATAGGGCTGGGTGTGGTAGCTCACACCTGTAATCCCAGCACTTTGGGAGGCCGAGGCAGGCAGATCACTGGAGGCCAGAATTTCAAGACCAGCCTGGCCAACATGGTGAAACTCCGTCTCTACTAAAAATCCAAAAAAAATTAGCTGGACGTGGTGGTGCATGCGTGTAATCCCAGCTACTTGGGAGGCTGAGGCAGGAGAATGGCTTGAACCTGGGAGGTGGAGGCTGCAGTGAGCCGAGATTGTGCCACTGCACTCCAGCCTGAGCAACAGAGCAAGACTCTGTCTCAAAAAAAAAAACAAACAAAAAAAACAAACAACCAGACACATAGAACAATGGAACAGAATAGATAACCCAAAAATAATTCTACACATTTACTATCAACTCATTTTTGACAAAGGTGCCAAGAACATACATTGAGGGAAAGACAGTCTCTTTAATAAATAGTGCTGGGAAAACTGGAGATCCACATTCAGAAGAAAGAAACTAGACCCCTATCTTCCACTATAACAATCACATCAAAATGGATTAAAGACTTAAATATAAGACCTGAAACTGTGAAACTACTAGAAGAAAACATTGGGGAAACACTCCAGGACATCAGTCTTGGCAAAGATTTCTTGAGTAAGACCTCAAAAGCACAGGTAAGTGAAACAAAGATGGACAAATGGGATCACATCAAGCTAAAAAGCTTCTGCACAGCAATGGTAACAATCAACAACAACAAACAACAATCAGCAAAGGAGACAAACCACAGAATGGGAGAAAATATTTGCAAAATACCTATCTGACAAGGGATTAATAACCAGAATATATAAGGAGCTCAAACAACTAAGTAGGAAAAAAACAAATAATCTGATTTTAAAAATGGACAAAAGTTTTGAATAGACATTTCTCAGAAAAAGACATACAGATGGCCGATAGATATACGAAAAAAAATGCTCAAAATCGCTAATCATCAGGGAATTACAAACCAAAACTACAGTGAGATATATATCATTTCACCCCAGTTAAAATGGCTTTTATCCAAAAGACAGGCAATAATGAATGTCGGTGAGGATGTAGAGGAAGGGAAACCCTTGTCCTGTTGGCTGGAATGTAAATTAGTACAGCCACTATGGAGAACTGTATGGAGTTTCCTCAAAAAGCTGAAAATAGAGCTACCGTATGAACCAGCAATTCAATTGCTGGGCACATATCTAAAAGATAGGAAATCAGTATATGGAAGAGATATCTGCACTCCTGTGTTTATTGCAGCCACTATTCGCAATAGCTAAGACAGGGAAGCAACCTGAGTGTCCATCAACAGATGAATGGATAAAGAAATGTGGAACATATAAACACTGAAATAGTACTCAGCCATAAAAAGAATGAAATCCTGTCATTTGCAACAACAGGGATGGAACTGGAACATGTTAAGTAAGAAGCCAGGCACAGAAAAACAAATATCACATGTTCTCACTCATATGTGGGAGATAAAAAAAAAAAATTGAACTCATGGAGATAGAGAGTGGAATGATGGTTGCCCAGAGGCTGGGAAGGGTAGCAGGGAATAGATGATAAAGTGGAGATGCCTCATGGGTACAAAAATACAGTTAGATAGAATGAATACGATCTAGTATTTGGAAGCACCATAAGGTAATTAAAGTCAACAACAATTTATTATATTTTAAATGTTACCTAACAGAGTAGAATTGGAATATTCCTAACACAAAGAAGTAATAATGGCTCGGGGTGATGAATACCCCATTTACCCTAATTTCATCATTAAATGTTGTATGCCTGTATCACATGTACCCCATAAATATATACAACTATTATGTACTCGTAATAATTTAAAAAAATCAGAGCTGGGTCTTCTGAACAAAGACTTCCGTGATAACAAATGAACTTTCTACCAGGAAAAGAGTATATCCTGAGGGGGAGGTGGGGATAGTTTATGGCTACCAAAAAACTAGAAAGAATGAATAAGACCTACTATTTGATAGCACAATAGGGTGACTGTAGTCAATAATAACTTAATTTTATATTTTTAAATAACTCAAAGAATGTAATAGGATTGTTTGTAACTCAAAGGATAAATGTTTTAGGGGATGAATACCCCATTCTTCATGATGTGCTTATTTCACATTGTATGCCTGTATCAAAACGTCCATCTTATGAAGCCCATTAATAAATATACCTACTATGTACCCACAAAATAAAAATAATAATAATAAATCTTTTTTAAATGAGTACATCTGAAGGGGAACATGATGATGATGCTTGACAGGAAAATTTTTCACCTGATCAACATAACTAAAAACTGAAATTTGAGAGAAAGCAGAAAGGATGAATACCTGTCTTCCATGATAATTGGATATTGTTGAAAACAAGCCTGGCATCCCTGAAAAATAGAAGCAGCAGCAATAACGATATTTCTGTGGTCTTAGTGTGGGGCTGGACACCTTTACTTTCTCCTCTGGATCTTCGGGCCATCTACTGACTGGTCTGCCCCAGGCCCTGGAGGCTGATCTTTATGGATCCATCAAAGGGCTCTCAGGGCTTCTGGCTTTGATGGGGTTCAACCAATCAGAGTCAACCAGCAGGAGACTGGAAAGTGGGAGGAGAGTGAAGTCAGGATATTTATTTTCTGGCTGCCTCCCAGCTGGGTCTCCTTATGCTGGCTGCATCTCTCTTCTGAGACCACAGCTCCCATCATGTTGGGCTCTGCTGTGGCAACTCTTCTCAGTCTGGTATCTACCCCTCTTCTTCCACCTTCGGGTGTTGGCATAGTAACAGATCCCACTGTTGCTAGCTCCATCCCTTGCTGGTTTCCCTTAGCCCTGAACACACCACTTAACCAGTTCCTTTATTAAACTCTCTGCAGTTACCCATCTGAGAGTGCCGTCTGCCTCCGCCTGGACCCTGACCAATACAATAATCTAATAAATGATATAAAGTTGAAATTGTAACATGAGGCTGGTAGGAATGCAAAGTCTTCACCAAGACTTGGTTGGATGAGGCTTTTGACAAGAATTCTATGGTAGTAGGAATTCCCTTCATGCAAATAAATTGGTGTCATTGCAGTGGGTCAAAGAGTAAAACTAAGTTCATTCATTTATTTAAAGAAATATTTATTGAGTCTCTGCTGTATGCCATGCACACTACAGTAGGGACTGGGGAGTCACTGGGGGGCAAAATGGAAAAGGGTCCAACCTTATGGTATTTTCAGTCTGGTGAGAGAGAAAAGCATTAATCACATGATCACAAATATAAATATATAGGCAGAAACTATGACAAATCCTTGGTGAGATAACAAGTTTCCCTGAGAGGATCTAATAAGAGGCTAATAAAGGGTCAGAGAAAGCTGCTTTGAGAAACTGACAGTTGAGCTTAGCCCGGCAGAGGGCAAGGGGGGCAGAGCAAAGGTCTTGTAAGCAGAGGTTGAGCACATCCAAATTCTGAGGCTGGGAGGGTCTTACAGGCATCTAGTGAATCTAAGAGAGGCTTCTGCAAGTTGAAATTTGGTTTTAAGTGCAATAGGGAGGCATTGCTGAGTTTTGAGCAGGAGAGTAGCATGATTTAATGTAATGAAAGCTAGTGGAGGCACCATGGCGCATACTGGTGGGGAAGAAAAGAGAAACAAGGGATGTTGCTCTGGGAGTTCCCAACTCCTGGCCTGGCTTCCAGTGTTGTGCTACTGTCCTTTCCAGGAAGTCTTGAATCTAGCTGAGAGGCAAGAGGCCAGCTGGGCTCATTGGCACAGCCATTGGGTGCACTATTCTGTCATAAACATTGTAGTGGATTTAATTCTTGGCCTGATACGCTTTTTCAGAAAGACGAGAAAGCAGGAGGGGACCTGTTACTTGGGACCCAACTCTGATGAACAAAGAAGAAACTGGTGAAGTGGAAGTATCTGGAGGAAAAGGGGAAGTTCTAGGGAGAAAGGGACTTGTGATCTTGTGGTGCATGTGCGCATGTGTGTTTGTGTGTGTGTGCATGCGGGGTGTGTGTGTGTGAGAGAGCGGCAGAGAGAGACAGAAACAGAGAGAGAAACAGAGAGATATGCTAGAAAAGCAAAGCTTACAGACTTCAGGAAGAAAATAGGAGTTACTAGCTTCTGGCTAGTGATTCAAAGAAAGAAAGTGACTTTCAGGCACAGGAATCATTACTGTATGAGTTTGCTAGGGCTGCCATAACAAGGTGCCATAAACTGGGTGGCTTAAACAACATACAGTTATTGACTCACAGTTCTGGAACCTACAAGTCTGAAATCAAGCTGTAGGCAGGGTTGGCTCTTTCTGAGGGCTAGCAGGCCAGGGTCTGTTGAACGCGTCTCTCCTTGGTATATAGGTGGCTGCCTTCTCGCCTTCTCGCTGCCTTCTCACTGTGTCTCCCTGTTGTCTTGCCTCTGTGCGTGGGCTTGTGAGTACCTGCATGTCTGTCTCTGTGTCTACATTTTCCTTTTTTAAAAACTAAGAGCATTAATCTTATTGGATTAGGGCCCATCCTAATGGCTTCACTTTAACTTGATTACCTCCGTAAAAATCCTATTTCCAAATAAGGTCGCATTCTGAGTGAGGTCCTGGGGGCTAGGACTTGAACTTATCTGTTTTTAGGAGGCAGAATTCAACCCATAACAGCTAGCAAATGAAATCCAAGCAGAACTTAACCTATTCTTCCGTCAAACATGCATCAGGTGCCTATTCTGTACCAGGCACACTGTAAGTGTGGTTTTGGCCCTGAAGGAACACTGGACTTGTGGTAGAATACTGATATGCAAAACATGTAATGCAGGTTAACAAGTGCTGTGATAAGTCTTTCTACCTCTATGACACAGTAATAAATGAAAGCTTAATGTAAAATTAGAGCTAAGTTCAAGTATGCGAAACAGTGGTGGCACAAAGAAAGGGTGGTCAGCTCTACTCAAGGGAGTCATGTGCTGAGTCTCTAACATGACAAAGGAGCGGCCCAGGCAAAGAAGAGGAAGAGAGTTCCATTCAGAGGAGAATCCATGGAGTGGGTGAATGTGTCATGTTCTTGTGGGTAAAGGTAGAGCTTCAGGGTCATTGCAGAGAGATGAGGTTAGAGAAGCCAGATCATGAAGCACCTTGTATTTGGACTAGGAATGTGAACTTTATTCTGGAAGCCTTGCCAGACGTGTGTGGGGTAGGGTGTGTGTGTGTTCAGGGGGTGGGTAGTGGAGATCATCTAGGTAGCAGGATTTAAGGAAGGGAGTGATGTTATCAGATTTGACTTCCGTGTGGAGAATGAATTGAGGGGGTTGTGAAGGGACTCAGAGAAGCTAGTGAGTGGGCAGAAGCAGAGTACAGAGAGAGAACAGAGGGCTGGACCAGGACAGTAGGGATAGAGAGTACAGAAACTGTTGCAGAGTATTAGTGATAGAACTGAAATCTGTTAGTGACAATGTATTTATGAAGGACAAGGAAACAGGAAACTTAGGATGACTCCTGGCTATCTGGTTTTAGGGTCTGTGTGGACAGTGATGCCATTCACAAGAAAAGCACTTAAGGAGGAAGTGTAAATATTGGAGGAAGAGGAATTCTGATGTGGACATGTTGAGATTGAGATGTCTGTGGGAGATTGAGGTAGAAACGCATGCCAAAAGTTATTGGGCTTAAAGTAGACAGTTGTTAGATATACAGTCTGGAAGTCAGGGCAGAAATCCAGGTTAGAGATGTATACCTGGGAGTTGTCAGTAGTTGAAGTCATGGACTTGGATGAGGTTGGCTAGGGCGAACCATTAGAGTGGAAAAACCATGTAGGGCTCAGGAACAAAGCCTTGAGGAAAAGTGCATTCCTTGAGGAAAAGTTCAAGTGGGACAAGGAGCCTCCAAAGGATATAGAGCTGGGGTGTCCAATCTTTTGGCGTCGTGGGCCATATTGGAAGAAGAATAATTGTCTCAGTTCACACATAAAATACACTAACACTAATGATAGCTGATGACCTAAAAAAAAAAAAAAACAAAATCTCATAATGTTTTGAGAAATGTGTTGGGACGCATTCAAAGCCATCCTGGACTGCATGCAGCCCATAGGCTATGGGTTGGACAGAGACCAACCAGATGATTCTGGAGAATGTCCTGGGGAATGTGTTGTCATGATGGTTATGGAGGAGAGAGACAATGCTGTCCAGTGCCCCAGAGAGATTAGGTAAGGAAAGAGATGAAAAGAATCTTTGGATTTGGCCATAAGGTGTTCATTGGTTACTTCACCGAAGTCAATTTCAGTGGAAGGAGGGCAACAAAGGTTAAATTGCATGGACAGAGGAGTGAATGGAAGGGGAGGAAGTGGAGATTAATAGTATAGATGATTCTCATAGAAAGCTTGGCAGACCCTGGCTAGAGGGAAACAAAAGATTTAGTTTTTTTGCTTTTGTTTTTGTTTTTTGTGAGAAAAGCTTGGTGGTGTTCTATAATGAATGAACAGAATAACAAGAGTGAGAAGTTCAAGAAACAGGGGAAAAGGGGAAGATTTGTGGAGATGGAAAAAGATGGAATCCACAGCAGAGATGGATGGGTTACTCTTGTAAGAAAGAGATGGATGGGTTACTCTTATAGGAAAGATATAGAAGAGGAGGTGGGGGTGAGTCCAGAGACCTTACATGGATAGGCAGAAAGTTGAGAAGTTTCTTTTTTGTAAATTTATTTATTTATTTTACATATAGCTATAAACAACATTTTGAAACTTTTTTAATATTCAAAGATTGATTACAAACTTCATTAAATTCCCTTCCATTTAAACTGTAATTACAAATTTAATATGATTCTTTTCAATATACTTATTTTTTTTTGAGATGGAGTCTTTTTTTTATTTTTATTTATTTATTTATTTATTTTATTATTATTATACTTTAAGTTTTAGGGTACATGTGCACAATGTGCAGGTTAGTTACATATGTATACATGTGCCATGCTGGCGTGCTGCACCCATTAACTCGTCATTTAGCATTAGGTATATCTCCTAATGCTATCCCTCCCCCTCCCACCACCCCACAACAGTCCCCAGAGCGTGATGTTCTAAATAATCTTGTCTATGTTTTCCCCCCTAAAATGTGAGTAGTGAGTTCATCTCTGGGAAGTAAGATGAGAAATGGTTGGACGGTAGAGAAGAAAATTGATGGGGAGAAGAAACATTTGAAAGCGGGGTATATTAGAGTTCAGTTGCAAATAAGAGTCCATTCTAGCTATTATAAACAGAAGAGGACTTAATACAGTGAATTGGGTGCTTACAGAATCACTGGAAGGGCTAGAGGACCAAACTCTAAACTGAGACTCTAGGAATGAATCCAGGACATCTCATCACTGACCTCCCAGAGGAGTTGCTGCCTCTACCACAGTCAAGACACTGAAGAGTCTGGAAGCCAGTACTGGAACTGTTGAATCTGGGAACATTCTCATTAGCTGTGATATGGGAATCAGGAAGCTGTGACTGCAACTTTTGGATACAGAGGGAGGGTTTCAAATTCAAGTCTCTCCAGGTGTTTCTCATAGGCAGACCTAAGTAACAATTTAAACTCTATCTGCAAAGGACTCTGGGAAATTTTTAGATTTTTTTTAAATCTCTGCAGTATAGGAATACACAGTTTTATTTCCCTACTTAAATTCTAATAAAGCAACAACACCAGTAGCAACATGCTCCTACCTAATATAACTATCCTTTATTTCAAACACCCTCCCTTCTATGTAAGCATGTGTTCATCCATTGATTCATAGTAGGTGCCAGAAGTGGTGTTGATATGGATAGTAAATAGACAAGATCTGGAGTAACAGCTACAATTGAAATTACAATCGGATTGTTCTTACATAATCTTCCATCATTCTCCAAGTTCAAGATACATCTGCACAAGCCAAAGAGGTAAGTTAAATGAGCATATGATAGGTATCACTAGGGATTTTCTGGTAAACTGGCTCTTAGAAAAGGAAAAAAATACACCCTGATGTGTACTGTTTGCCAATTGCCATGGTGTAAACACTCCCACCATGGCTGATGTCAAACTACCAACATGACATCACTGAAAATGAAGTTGTGAGGCAGTGTTAAAAATCTCATGGTAACTATTCTCATGAGTAAGTGATAACAACGATAAAAATTCTCATGAGCCTGTACTAGCTGATTCCAGCCCACCGGTGGGTCATCGACCTTGCATTTTTCAAGTCGTCAGTGGTGGCACTAATCTCTGTTATTCTCCTAGAAATGTGACATTGGTTTTGATTTACTGCTTTGTTGGGAAGAAGATTCACTAGGAGTTTTCACTTGGTCCTTCCTATCTTGACAGTCTTTAATCAATAGGTCAGGAAGTCAGTGTGGAGAACCTGCCTATTACTGAGTATATATATTCCAACTATACATTCAGGACCTGGAGAGATAGCTACAGATGGGTATGCATCTATTTGGCCCAATATGAAATGGTTTGGGCCCAAAAGCCATTAGTTTCCTGACTCCCATTAATTCCCACTCAACCCAAGGCCAGGGACAAGCATCAGCTCAAAGCCAGTAATAAGCACTGAAAGTGTGGTATTTCTCTTTTCTCAGTGCAGAGTCACTCTACTAAATGACAATTCCCTTGGGGGAAAATTGGGAGGAAGATTTACAATATAAACTTGCACTGTCATATGCTACAGAGTACGCAGTATTTCTAGTCACCTGACTTTAGTGTGCGAATTTAGTGAAAAGTTATGACCCCCTGATTCTACAATCAAATAGGACCTTAATGCAATACCCTGTATATTTTAGTTTTTGGTATCCACGGTCAATTAGCCACCGGCACAGGTCTCTGTGTGTCAGTCTATTCTGACTACTACTCTGGCCCTGCTGTCTTGAATGTCCACTTCACTTGTGGTCTGTGTGTTACTACATAGTCAATGCTGGGATCTCATTATCCCCATTAAACTTCAGGAACACATGCAATGACAGTATCTCCATCATCATCCCCAGCATATATGCTATTTTGCAACTTAGCACCTTTGAAGGAGGCTGGTATTCTCCTCATCAAAGTGTTTGTCTCTGTCTAGATAAAGGGAGAGTCCTCTGGTCCCTCCCAGGAAATATACAGATGTAACTTGTTTTATTTTGCTTTGCTTTATTTCACTTTGCAGACATTGTGCTTTTACAAATGGAATGTTTGTGTCAACCCTGTGTCGAGCAATCTATCAGCAACATTTTTCCAACAGCATGTGCTCACTTCATGTCTCTGTGTCACATTTTGCTAATTCTCCCAATATTTCAAACTTCTCATTATTATTATATCTGTTATGGTGATCTGTGATCAGTGAGCTTTCATATTACTGTTGTAATTGTTTTGGGGCACCACGAACTGTGCCCATATAAGATGACGAACTTATTCGATAAGTGTTCTATGTGTTCTGATTGCTTCATCAATTGGCCATCTCTCTCCCTCTCCTCTGGCCTCCCTATTCCCTGAAGCACAACACAATTGAAATTTGGCCAGTTAATAAACCTGCGATGGCCTCTAGAACACTTGCATATCTCTCCCTTTAAATCAAAAGCTAGAGATAATTAAGCTTAGTGAGGAAGGCATGTTGAAGCCAAGATAGGCTAAAAACTAGGCTTCTTGTGCCAGTTAGCTAAGTTGTGAATGCAAAGGGAAAGCTTTTGAAGGAAATTTAAAGTTCTACTCCAGTTAACACACAAACAATGGGAAAGTGAAACAGCCTTATTGCTGACATGGAGAAAGTTCTAGTGGCCTGCATAGAAGATCAAACCAGCCACACAATTCGCTTAAGGCAAAACCTAATCCAGATCAAGGCTCTAACTCTCTTCAATTGTCTGAAGGCAGAGAGAGGTGAGGAAGTTGCAGAAGAAACGTTGGAAGCTAGCAGTGATTGGTTCATGAGATTTAAGGAAAAAAGCTGTATTCATAACATAAAAGTTAAGGGTTTGACAGCGAGTGATGATGCCGAACTACAGAAGCTCTGAAGCTCTGGAGCCAGGCATTGACTCCTTCTCTCTAGCTGTGAAACCCTGATATGGTTTGGATTTGCGTCCCTGCCCAAATCTCATGTCAAATTATAATCCCCAGTGTTGGAGGAGGGGCCTGGTGGAAGGTGATTGGATCATGGGATGGTTTAGAAGCTGCAGCAAGTTATCTAGCTAAGATCATGCATGAAAGTGGCTAACACTAAACAACAGATTTTCAATGGAGATGAAGCAGCCTTCTATTGGAAGAAGATACCATCTAGGGGCTTGTATTAGTCCATTCTTGCACTGCTACAAAGACATACCTAAAACTGGATAATTTGTGAAGAAAAGAAATTTGACTCACCATTCCACAGGCCGTACAGGAAGGATGGCTGGGGAAGCCTTAGGAAACTTACAATCATGGCGGAAGGCAAAGAGGAAGCAGGCACAACTTAAATAGGGGGAGGAGGAGGAAGAGAGCAAAGGGGGAGGTGCTACACACTTCTAAACAAGCAGATGTCTGGAGAACTCTGTCATGAGACAGCACTAGGAAAATGGTGCTAAACCATCAGAAACCATCCCCAAGATGCAATCACCTTCCACCAGGCCCCTCCTCCAACACTGGGGATTACAATTTGATATGAGATTTGGGCAGGGACACAAATCCAAACCATATCAGGGTTTCATAGCTAGAGAGAAGGAGTCAATGCCTGGCTTCAGAGCTTCAAAGAACAAGCTGACTCTCTTGTTAGGTGATAATGCAGCTGGTGACTTTAAGTTGAAGCCAATGCCCATTTATCATTCCAAAAATCCTAGGGTCCCTAAGAATTAGGCTAACTCCATCGCCATAAGCAAATCAACACAGGAACAGAAAACCAAATATCACATATTCTTATTTATAAGTGGGAGCCAAACATGGAGTACACATGGGCACAAAGAAGGGAACAATAGACCCTGGGACTGGCTTGAAGGTGGGGGGTGGCAGGGGGTGAGGGTTGTATGCTTGTAGTTAAAGCAAGGATAAGCCAGTCACATGTGATAGATTCAATATGTCTAGCTCCCTAAATCTTTGGAAGTCTTCTACATTATACATAGGAATATTTTGGTATCTCAGTTGCATTTGACTATTACAGAGTCCAGGTTTCAGTTTTATGCTCTTCTCTCCCTACCCAAGCATGGTTAGGACATATTCCTATGCCTATTCTCCAGTTTTTAAATTGGGATATAAATTTGCATGTTTTGGCATGTAAGCATTGTCTGGGTACAACTTTACAATTGGCTCCCTGTGCACAGAGATGGTTTCTAGTCATGGGTCTGGAGGATGTGTAAAGCAGTGGGGGTGGAGAATAGTCATAAAGTCTTCTACCAGGAAGCAGGACCATCTTCATCAGGTAGGATAAGAGGAATTGTTTCCACTGGTGAGAGAGCTTAGTAGAGTTAAGGATTAAGGGTCTTCAGAATTAACTGAGTTCCCCTAAATGTCACCATTCTAATCTTTGGGAATGGTCTTTCCTAATCATTGCTCTAATTTTCACATATGAAATCTGGTGAGGCTATGAATTCAATCTATGTTGTAAATCAGCAACCTATAAGATAAGAATCTGTGTCTAATTTTCAGCTACATCAGCTCACTAGCTCTAAGAGATAAGATATTATTTTAGGACAATCATAAGATGTTCTTTTAGGACAATTATAGGAAACCCCTGGTTCCTGGCTGTATTTTGAGCCATGAATTTAGAACCCTGAGCTTTTTATTATATTACTTTAAACTCTCCTGGATGGTTAGAAGTAGCTAGCCTACCTCATAGACCTCATATTCTTCATGACTGTTGAACTCTGCTATGGCTTTCACCATTTGATCTGCCAAAGCCATTTCTCTTTTTTTATTTTAATTACTTTTTATTGAAAACCGCACTGAACACTAAATGTCCGCCTTTCCAATAAACAAATTACAGTAATGGCAACTCACACTAAAACAAAATATACTTCTGTTAGACATTATTTTTCTGTTTGGGACAATTTTAAAGTTTTTCTTTTATCACAAAAACAGAATTGTACCTGCACAAAGGCTCAAAATAGGCCATCTTTTTAAACAGAAAGGCAATGATTCACAAAAGATTATGAATAGAACATGTAACTAGTTGATACAAATCTAATAGGATTTGTTAAAATAAGTCACATTTAATACATCTGAAGTGTTCTTGTATAAAATATCACATGAAGAAAAGAAGATTTTATCAAAGTCTAAAAAAGTGGGTTTGTTCATTATTCTTCTTGAACTCTTTTAGTTCAAGACTTTCCACTCAATAAAATAGCAGAGGATCTGAAACTGAGAAAATATATTTGAGTACAAATAGCTTGTGAAACTTAATATGTTTTTTTTCATCATCAGAGGGGTTTTACTGAACTTATAACCAACTTGCCTGCTCAGTATACAGTTCAGATGTGAGAGACGCTTCTCTGTACAGGAGCCTGTACTGTCTTCAATCCTATGCGTGCAGGTGTGTACCACAGGGAAAGAGTTTTCTCCCCATTTTGTAGTAATGTGATCTTCCTATTAGCTAGGTAACCAGCCCCTGTAGAATGAAGGGACTAGAGTCACAGCATGGGGATTTCCTCTTAATATTTTTTTGTTTTGATGTTTGAACTCTTGATGCAACATTCTAGAGCAGGGTGTTCAGGACCTGCTGTGCCCAAGGGACTGATAAAGGAGAAAGCTCTACTTATTCTTTGTGATTTGATACACAGATGAAAAACTTAACACATAATAACAGAAGTTGGTCATTAATAAATCACATCCTCATCTTTCCGCGCTTCTGTAAGCAGAGGACATCTTCAGCTTTCTAGCTCTTGCAGTTTTAACACTGCAGCATCAATGATGCATATGTCCAGAATCAGTTAAAAAGACCATCAGATTCTTTTTCTCTTAGTTCATCTATGTTTCACTGTCTCTCGGTCCCAAATGCATCTGAATGATTACTTTTCGGCATTCTCTGCTATTCCTCCTTGGGGTGCTCTCTATTGTCCCCGTGTTTTGTGGACTGGTTGGGAGAGGGCGCTTGGGAAGGATGTGCCACTGTCGGGAGGTTGTGAGTCACTGGGATGCCTCCAGGGATGATCCCTTCCACGGCTGCAGGAAGTCGCCTGGAGCCACACCCACGGTGCCTGGTGGATATCTGTATGTGGCACTATTGAGCTCAGGATGAATTGTTTGCTGGTCTACTGACCAAGGCGCTGATGTGACAAAGAATTCCTTGTTCACACAGTTTCTTAAGCTTTCTGGGATGCGACCTTTGATGGCTCGGCGGAACTCGGTGGCAGCTGCCTCCCTCATCTCCAGCGACACCTGCTCGCTATACCAGGTAGTGTGAGGAATGCAGATGAGATTTGGGGCATCTTTCAATGGACCCTGAGCAAAGCTGTCCCTCGTAATCCTGCCCTCCTTGAGGGCCTGTGCTAAGGCTTTCTCGCCCACCAGGCCACCAGGGGCTGCGTTCAGAAGGAATGCTCCCTGCCTCATCTGCTTTATAGTAAAGTCATTGATGAGGTGGTGGTTATGTTCATTGAGACTGCAGTGCGAGGAGACGCAGTAACTCTGATACAGCAAATCCTGCAGGGTGTAGACCCATTGAATGCCCAGGGACCGTTCTATCCCATCCTGCAAGTAGGGGTCATAAAATATGACGCTGAATCCAAAGGCCTTGGCTTGAAATGCAACTGCCTGCCTCGTGCGACCAAAGCTCATGAGACCCACAGCGTCTACCCACGGATGCGGACCACTCCCAAGGCCACCTCGAGGATTTGCTCCATGCTCTGAACCCACGTCCCTTCCCGCAGTGCCTGGCACACCCACGTGTTCCTCCGGTACAGATTGAGGATGTCGCAGACGGTGGAGTCGGCTGTCTCTTCCAGGGCTCCGGACGGGATGTTGCACACAACAATTCCGAGCTCGCGGCAGCCTTGATGTCCACGTTGTCGTTGCCACTGTCTATCCACACGATCACTCTCAGGGCCTTGAACTTTTCCAGGTCCTCCCTGGTGAGGGTGATGGTGTGGTACATCGTGGCGCCCACGGCTTCATTTAAAACCGTCTGGTGGATCTCCTGCGAGGACTGTGCGTCACAGAAGGCCATGGTGGCCAGGTTCTTCAGGATGGGCATCTCCACGGTGCAATCTCGGCAGTCCAGCAGCACCATCGGGGGTGGGAGTGCAGGGGTCCATTCATGATGCCTTCACAAATTCTGTCCAATCGCTGTCTCTTGACTTTGTGCTTATCCACAAGGGCCATTCCGTATGGAATTTTGCAATTATCAGTTCAAAAGGCAAAGCAGTCCTCTGAGAACTTATGGGAACTCGCAGGAGTCTGAGTGCCTGATGCCACTATGAACCCATTCGCTTGCAACGCAGTCACCATCACACAGTCAATCAAGGAACCTCACCACGACCCCAGGTCTGGAGTGCCTGCAGTCTGTAACGCCAGGGGGTAGAGGCAGCTCCGGCCCCGGGGAGCCAGGTCCCTGACCCTGCTCTGAGCCTCTGAAGCGAGCTGGGGACCCACCCAGGGGTTCCGCGTGGTCTTGAGGCCCCTCCCCTGCTGGGGGCCCCACGGACCAGAGGGGTGCCGGGCACCCGCTGGCGTGAAGCAGCATCCGGCTGGACCCCCGCCACTCCAGTCCCAGCTGGCCTGCCCAGCCCATTCCTTTAAAAAAACTACTCTATTCCATGTGACCACAGATGATACATTAGGACAAAAACTGCTCTATGAAGAGAGAATAACAGAACTCTAACATGAAGTATAGTGGCAAAGGAAACCAGAGAGCTAGATGGAATAATTCACAAAGGACTTTGATATGGTTTGGCTGTGTCCCCACCCAAATCTCAACTTGAATTGTAGTTCCCATAATCCCCACATGTGGTGGGAGGGAATTTAATCATGGGGGTGGTTACCCTCCATGCTGTTCCTCCTGATAGTGAGTTCTCATGAGATCGGAGGGTTTTATTAAGGGGCTTTTCCGTGTTTTGCTCAGCACTTCTCCTTCCTGCTGTCATGTGAAGAAGAACATGTTTGCTTCCCCTTCCACCATGATTGTAAGTTTCCTGAAGCCTCTCCAGCCATGCTGAACTGTGAGTCAATTAAATCTCTTTTCTTTATAAGTCTTGGATATTTCTTCACAGCAGCGTGAGAATGGACTAATACAGACTTTTAGAATAGAGATCTTTGTAGGCTAAGAAGGAAGCCTAGTGGAATGGAAGAGCTAGGAGTTGCAAAGATGACTAATAGTGAGACAGGAGGAGCAAGTTCTTAGAGGGACCCTAACTTCAAATGGGAAGAAGAGTTCAAATGCAGTAGTGATGCTGGGGAATGATCTGGGGACTAGATGGAAAAATATCCTGAAATCAGAGAATGAGCTCCAATGAGTGGATGGATGGGGAAAATGAAAGCTGGGTCATTGTATAAGATATCGGAAAATCAGGAGCCTGAGATCTCAGGGTCAGAGCAGCCCTGAAGGATGACAAGGTCCAGGTGTGGCCTCACCTCTGGCTGGCTGAAGTGCTGAGGTGATCTGAGAACTGTAAGCTGATAAGTTATCAGCCTGGATGTGAAAAGGTGAGAGCAGGGCAAAGTGTGGGGATGGATCTCATGAGTGATCTGGTGTGCACAGTCTGGAGGAAGGTTGGGGTTGGAAGGAATCCTGTGGGCTGGCAGACAACACAGAGGAATTAGGGTGTGCAGGTTGGACATCAGAGGATGAGCTGGTTTTATGAGGAGGACATGCTGGTAGAGGGACCTGGAAGTAGCTATAGGAAGCCAAGAAGTACCCCGATCTTTCTAACCTTCTGCACTGGGGCAAAGGGTGACCTTTGTTAGTGAGCTTTGTGAGCAAATGAACTCAATGAGGAACTAAACGAAAAACACTTAGTGCAGTGCCAGCCACACAGTCCACACCCAGTGAGTGTCAGCTCGGATGGTTGTTAAAGAAAGGGATCAGTGGAAGGACTAAAAGATGGGCTGATAGGGATGACAGAGAGAGGGGCAGGTCTCCAGGTGATGAGGGGACAGGAAGGAGCAGCACCAGAAGTAGTGTCTTCCATCACAGGACTGATGAAGGCCTCTCTCCTCCCTTCCCTCCCCTCCCCTTCCTTCCCCTTCCCTTCCTAAGAGCTTTATCAAGACATAATGCACATAGCATACAATTTACCCATTGAAACTGTACAACTCAATGGTTTTTAGTGTATTAGCACAATTATGCAACCATCACTACAATTGATTATAAAACATCATCACTTCAAAAAAACCCCATCCCAACAATCCTGTATCCTTCAGCCATCTCCCCTAATCCTAGGAAACCACAAACCTACTTTCTATCTCTCTGTCTATTTTGGACATTTCACATCAATGGAATTCAAATGCACAGTAAGCAATTTTTTTCTTTTTTCTTTCTTTCTTTCTTTTTTTTTTGAGACGGAGTCTCACTCTGTCACCCAGGCTGGAGTGCAGTGGCGCGATCTTGGCTCACTACAAGCTCCGCCTCCTGGGTTCACGCCATTCTCCTGCCTCAACCTCCCAAGTAGCTAGAACTACAGGCGCCTGCCACCAAGCCTGGCTAATTTTTTGTATTTTTAGTAGAGATGGGGTTTCACCGTGTTAGCCAGGATGGTCTGGATCTCCTGACCTCATGATCCTCCTGCCTCGGCCTCCCAAAGTGCTGGGATTACAGGCGTGAGCCACCGTGCCTGGCCTCTTTTTATTTTGAGACAGAGTTCACTCTTGCTGCCCAGGCTGGAGTGCAACAGCGCAATCTAGGCTCACTGCAACGTCCACCTCCTGGGTTCAAGTGATTCTCCTGCCTCAGCCTCCTGAGAAGCTGGGATTACAGGCATGCACCACAATGCCTGGCTAATTTTGTATTTTTAGTAGAGACAGGGTTTCTCCATGTTGGTCAGGCTGGTTTCAAACTCCCAACCTCAGGTGATCCACCTGCCTCAGCCTCCCAAAGTGCTGGGATTACAGGTGTGAGCAACCACGCCCAGTGCAAATTTTCTCTTAAATCACTTTTTAACTGGAATAATACTTCAATGCAAGGGAATGAAGCACTAATGGTGCACTCTCAGGCACTAGCAACAGGGATGTGCATTGGGAGTGGCAAGGAGACAAGATTTGGAGACTCAAATGTTGCTTCCTCTATGCATAAGCTATCCTCCTTGTTTCTCCTCTTGAAATGTGCTTAGAAGGGAAAATATCAAAAGCCAACCAGCCACAGAATCCTGGAGAAGGCCAGTGAGTCACTGCAGTGGCTGAGGCCTTGCTGAGCATTGCACAAAGGCAAGGCTGGGGAATCTCTGCCCTTGGGGATTCCCTCTTGAGGGGGAGACCACTATGTGAAGGCACGTGGGTGGGGGAAGAGACCCAACAGTGCTGATGGGAAGCCGGCAGCTGGGGTGGAGAGATCGTGATGGTGGAGCCCACAGCACTTATTATTATTATTAAGGGAAAGGATCACAGGGATGGACAGAAAACTATGCAAGGGACTGCACAGAGGTCATCCGGAGGCCCTGACCTGTGCTTTAGTCTCCCCAGCCCCTCCATGGGACACAGTAACCTGTCCAGGGAGGGGTCAGGGCTCACCTGTGTTTCTCAAAGAGTGGGCGTAGACCGAGCAGCTCCTGAGATGACGTTGTGTGACGCACCCCATGACAGCCCCTAAATAACATTAAATCACCCACTAAAAATAGTTCATTCTTTTTAAATTCTCTTTCAGACCTTTCAAATAAAAGAGAAATGATCAACTCGGTGCCTGCATGTTTCTAATATCTCACTAACATTTGCTCATTTATTTTTTATTTTTATTTTTGGGACAGGGTCTCACTTGTCATCCAGGCTGGAGTGCAGTGACATAGTCTTGGCTCACTGCAGCCACAACCTCCTGAGTTCAAGCCATCCTTTCACCTCAGCCTCCCAAGTAGCCGGGACCACAGGCATGCACCACCATGCCCAGCTAATTTTTTTGTAGAGATGGGGTTTCACCATCTTGCCCTGGTTGATCTCGAACTTACGGGCTCAAGCAACTGGCCTGCCTTTGCCTCCGAAAGTGCTAGGATTACAGGTGTAAGCTACCATGCCTGGATCATTTCTTTTTTAAATGAAGAGAGTGGGTCTTGGAATCAGGGTCAGCCGCAGCAATGCTATTGCCCTAGAATTTAATAACACTGTTTTGTGAGTGTATTTTATGTGTGAAGTGAGTGTATTTTATGCATAAGTTGGTCTTCCATTACTGGTAGTGATATAAAGTTTCCATCTTACATACTTTTTTTTTAACACCTTTTTCAGTGAGTCAGTGTAAAGGAAAATATGAGTTACATAACAGTGGGTGGGATATATATATATGGCAAAAATGGGGATGGTGGTCCATGAAATGACCAAGGCAGGTGAAAACTGAGCTAGAAGAATGGTCTGGTCTATGTCAGCTCAGCTGGTCTATGACTCAGTGCTTCAGAATATGAGAAATGCCATTGAGATCAGCCTGAAAGTCTTCTGACTTTGAGTCAGCCATGGACCCCAGGTTGAGGGATGGCTTCCCCAATGCCTGGACTTCCCTCCTTGTTGCTGTCACCTCACTGCACTGTAATGGGCAATTTACTTGTCTCTCTCACCAGACATGGAACCAGATAGCTATCTTGTTTTCTTATGTCCCCAGCACCCAGCATAGTGCCTGGCACAAAGAATCCTCGGTAATTATTTACCGAGTGTAACAAATGAATGAATGAATGGGTGTCTTCCAGGTTATTGCCCCTAATACACTGCATAGTTACCCTGAATATGCTTATTCATTCACTGTAATGCTTACTAAGCAGCTACTTTGTGCCAGATGCCCTGCCCTTAATGGCTTTATTTTCAGTCAACAATCCAATTATTTTGCACAGCGATAGTCAAGATAATGTCAGTGGTGGGGAGACCTGAGGTTGGATCCTGCCTCTGACACTCAATATCTGGGGTGCCTTGGACCATTTACCTTCTTGAGTAAGCGTGTCCTCGTGTGTAAAGTGATTTTATAATATTAACTTGTAGGATGGTCCTGTGTCACTTCAGTGAATGCTGTTGCATGAATGAGAGTGTCAGAGTGAGTGAATGCATGAAGGAATGAATGACAGACAATGGCCCAGATCAGGTAGGACACAGCCTGGCTCCTCTCCCACGGCCAGGAAATCCAGGACAGGTACAAGAAATCCTAAGCCTTGAGCTCTGTTTAACCAGGCAAAAATGGAGCAAACTGGTGAAAAAGGAGAAAGCTAGGATAATTCTCTCCTACAGCGGACCCTGAGGCTGTGGCTGCACCCGAGCCGGAGCTCTTGAGCAGGTGAGCCATGAAACAGACTAGCTGTTCCCTGGACTGCTGAACGTCCCACTGCTGTGAGTACCCCTCCTTTTCAGGGATGTGGACTATGTGATGTTGGCATGGTGACCAGTTAGCCAGTCCCCCCACACCCGTCCTCTGCATCCTGAGGTGACAAAGAGGCCCTGAGGAGTAGAATGAGCCCCTGACAGCTCCCCAGGCTCACAAATGGTAGGGAGAGCCGGGTCCAAGAATGGAGGAGCCTGGCACTAAACTCTCCTCATGTGAACAATGGAGCTGTTGCCCTGGCAACCAAGCAGGCCTCTCCCTGGGCCTCAAGGCCGAGTCTGGGAAGAGGTGTCCTAAGAAAGGGAGGTGGGAACGGAGGGGGGCGTGCCTGTTCTCATAACTGTCTGCCCAGCATGCAAGGGCAGCAGGAGGCCCCTTTCCAGGGAAGACGATCAGAGTCTCTGTTGGCCCATTCTCCAGAGCCACTGGGGGAGACCGGGGTGTGGACACCTCACTGCAGCATCTGATGAGGACTTCCCCTCATGCCTACCCCTCCTCCCTGGCCTCCTGAGGGCTAGTTCAGGGGCAGGAGCTGTGAGATGACGACATGGGGACTGACGGGAGGCATGACAGGTCTAACCCTGGGGTTGTCCCGGAAACTCTGCAATGTGTGTGGATCCTGTAGGTGCAGGTGGGGCATGTAGAGCTGGGGGTGGCCAGAGTAGGGCTGCATTCTCCAAGCCTGAGGGCAGACCCTTGCTCTGAGAGGCCCCAGGGGTTTTGTTAAAGTGCCAGCTTCTGGAGCAAGACAGTCCCGGCTTCAGCTCTTGACTCCATCACTCTGGCTGCATGACCTGGGGAAGTCATTTCATTCCTCGGGGTCTCAGTTTCCTTGGCTGTAAAGCAGGAATAATACCAGTCATAGTATGGTGGCGTTGAATGAAGAGGACAGCCCCTGTCAACACAGTGTTGGGTAGGATAGCTCAGTGTGCATTCACTTCCTCTCCTCAGCCTCCCCAGATCTCTCATTTCTCCCTCTAGGCACCTGTGGCTCGTAACCGTGGAGAGATTGCCCTGGCCCCAGTTTGCACATAAACTGCCCAGCTACCCCATCAACACAAACTCCCTTCATTCTCCCTGATAGTCTCCCCAGTTTCTTGTTAACCTCCTGAGGAAGATGGCCTCTGAGGGCCCCGGGCAGGACGTGAAGGCACTGGGCGGGACATACCCAGATCGTGGTGCTGGAGTTTGTCTTTGAGAAGTGGTAGTTACAGGTGTCCTTTGCCTGTCAGAATTTTCTCATTTTCCCCTTTGAACCTGGGTTGCTTTTGCCATAAACTAAAAAAAAAAAAAAGAAAGAAAGAAAAGAAACAGTTAAGAGGGGTTGCAGTACACCTTGAAAAAGGCCTGGGTGCTCAGAGGCATTGGGGCTGACCGTTCAGGGCCCCAAGGGTGTCCTGGTCTTATGCCTGGATAGAAGCAGGTGGCTGGGGTAGAATCTGACTCAGCTGGTGGCCACCTGAGCCCTGCACCCCCACGCCTTGCCCCCTCCACAGTCAGCGCTCAACACTCTGGTCAGGGAGCCTGCGTGGGTGTTAGGGGGATGAAGGCAAAGGGACACCATCACAGCCAGACTCCTGGTCCTTTAGAACAAATGGGTCCCTCTTGTGGCTGCTCTCAGACAGGCTGGCGGGGAGGGGCACATGGTGCCTGAACGAAGAGGCACCAAAGACTCTGAAGCTGCTCTGGCCTGGCCCTTCTGTGCCAAAAGGAAAGATCATTCCTGGCCTGACCCCCTGAGTTGAATTGGAACTGCAAGGCTCTTTCCTGACTCTTCCCAAGCAAGAACCTTATTGAGGTTGAAATGTAGCCATTCTGAGAAGCCACGCTACGTGCAGGCTGCACTGCCAAGCTGAGAGGGGGCCCTGGGGAGGAGATGGCCACAGGGATCTTGCCCACAAAGTAATAATCTCAGAGAGAAGAAGATCATACAAGTAGTTCACGTACTATTTCTGGAGAATCTGTTAGGTCATAGCCCTGGGCTGGGCTCATTGTGGGGGTGTGTGGGCAGAAACTAAGAAAACCATACTTGTTCTTGAGCGCCTTAAATCTAGTTTGTGTGCTCATTCCAAACAGAGATTCTTACCTTGGATCCTTGGATTGGCTTCACGGGGTCCATGGGCTTCCTCAAATTATATGCAAAATATGAGCTCATAAGCATTTTTCTGGAAAGAGGGTCAGTGCTTTCATCAGATTATTAAAGGATTCAAAAGAATAAGAACCACAGCTAAAGTAAATGAGATCAGAATGTTCTCATCCAGTGGCACATGGGCCCTTTCAAAACAGTCACCTTGGGAGTGGGTAGATGTGCTCACAAAATATCATCTTTCCTTCCATCAGGGGCTCCTGTAGGCTGTCCATGGGGACAGCTTTAAAGCTATGAAAGAATTTCGGCTTATTTATTCCTGACCACATTTCATTTTGTCCCCAGAATGACCGAGCTTGATCACCCACCTTAGTTACCAGCTTTGGATCCAAATGACTGTTAGCTGTTTCCAAAAATTCCATCTACCTTAACAAGGCAAAGATTTGTCACCCTCAAGAGTATTCAAACGAACATGATGGCATAACTGCAGGATTTCCCGAAACTGCCTTCAGAACACAGAGTGGGAAAAGAGTATATCCCAGCATGTGTACTCCATGTAGTCTTTTGAGAATGACTAGAGTCTGATAGGTCAGTAAAAAGATGGCTGGGTGCGGTGGCTCATGCCTGTAATCCCAGCACTTTGGGAGACCGAGGTGGGCAGATCACGAGGTCAGGAGTTCGAGACCAGCCTGACCAACATGGTGAAACCCCGTCTCTACTAAAAATACAAAAAATTAGCCAGGCATGGTGGCAGGTGCCTGTAATCTCAGCAACTCGGGAGGCTGAGGCAGGAGAATCACTTGAACCTTGGAGTCGGAGGTTACAGTGAGCTGAGACCGTGCCACAGCACTCCAGCCTGGCCAACAGAGTGAGACTATGTCTCAAAAAAAAAAAAAAACAGTCAACCAGGTAACTTTATAAACGATGAATTGTAAACATAACAGATTAACTAGCGATACCCAGAAAATGAGAAGAAGGGTCAAAAAATGTGTAGAGGAAGTCAGAGAACAGAAAGGTCATGGAGGCCAGGAATGTGCTGTCATTTATACAGCATTCAAGAGATGTTTATTGATATATACTTAGGACCGAAACAGGAGCTCCCAGTAGAATAGAGGAGACAGACACACAAATAACCAGCTATAGAGCCATGCAGAATATGTTATAACAGAGGGAGGTGCAAGGCACTAAGTTCACTGAGGGAGTGACACCCCAAAAGTTCACTCAATGTGGCATGAAATTCACCCCAAAGTGACAAATCCTTGAAGAGTTGTAGAGTGAACGGAGAGCACAAAGCAAATGTTCTCTTTATCTGGCCCACTGAAGGCAAAACTTGGAAGAAGGCTGTGGTAGGTTGTGTGAATGGTCCCAGTTCTTTTCTCCTCTCTGTAGCCTTGTCCATTGCCAGGTAACTTTGCAGTGCTCTCCCACCCTGGGCAGGTTGGAATTCCCTGCCCAGGAAGTGGGATATTAGCAAACATGTGAGAGAAGCAGGATCTTTAAAAGGAGCTCACGTGATTCGGCCTGTTCTCTAGCACCTCTGCCATTGCCATAAGAAGAATATTCTGGCGACTCATGAGCCCAAGGCAAGAGAATCACTTGAGTCAGGAGTTTAAGAATGGTCTGGGCAACACAGCAATAGCTTTTTCTAAAAAAAAAAAGAAAATTAACTAAAAAAGAACATTGAGGGCTTCTTCACTGATCATAGGAAGAGAATGAGAGATATGCAGAGTAGAGTTGTCCCAACCAAGGTGTCCTAGCCAAGCCCAGCCTAGAGAGGAACCTCTAAGCAACCTCAAGATGCCAGAGTGACCCTAGTAAAATCAGCAGAACCCCTGACCCTCATTAAAGCCCAGACTTGATCGGCATACTCCTTGTCAACCCAAAGAAAGGCAAGACATAGTGAAAAAAAGCTGTTGTTGTAAGTCACTGAGTTTTGGGGTAGTTTGTTACACAGTGAAAGCTAACTGATACAAAGATCCCTTTAACAGAGTTTTCAGTAAAGTTCCCACTGTCGAGTTATCTAAAAGACGAGGCACTTTGTGAATTTCATAAAATAGATTCTTTCATCATTCAGTGACTATTCCTGAGAACCTGCATCTACTTAGCATGCTCAAGGTGCTATGGCAATTAAAATGGCCACAGAAGCTTGAAGTCCAGTTGAGGAGATGATATAGGATATAAATACGGAGAAGGTAGAATGTGATTAAGGTGTCACAAGAGAGATCAGAGGAGGAACTAAGAGAGTTGGAGCGATTTCTTTCAAGAGAGAGGTGATCAGGAATGCTAGGATTTTAATAGGCAGTGGAGAAAAGAATGGCTATTTCCCACAGGAGACTTTGAAAGCCAGGACACGGCGTTCAGGTCTTATTTCTTAGGCAGGTCACTCTCACTTGGCTGGCTAGACAGCTTCTTCCAGAAGCAGTATACTCCCAGGCAAGAGAGTCTCCTTCCAAAAGGACGTGAAATATAGATTACATCACAAGCCTCAGAGAAAGTGCTCCATCAGTTATTCACTCACCCCACAAACCTTTACTGAACACCGTGCCGGGCACCATGGACTCAACGATGGCTAGAAGCCAGCCCTGGCCTTGGAGGTACTGGGAGGTGAGGGAGAGGGATAGAAACACACAAGCACATTGTTACAGCCACGTGACAGGTGCTACAGCCTAAGTGAAAGCAAGGCATTGTGGGAACCCACAGGAGAGAGTGCTCCACCCCGCTTGATGAGGGCAAAAAGGCTTCCTAGAGAAGGTGACACAAAAGCTGAGGCTGTGAGTCTTGGTGAATGGGGAAACATTTCCCAGGCAGACACAGGGAGAGGGATCGGGGGAGAAGATACTGGTATTTTCTAGAATTCCATCCTTGGCCTTGTTTCTTTTCACCCTATTCACTCTTGTTCCACTATCTTCTTAGTCTCATGGCTTCAAATGTCTTCTAGATTGTGGATGACTCCTCAAGCTCAGTGAAGTCTCCTCAGAGGTTCAGAGCTACATCAGCTGCCTCCCAGACTTCACTGCATGGGGGTTCCACAGCAGTTCAAATTCAGCCATCCAGAACGGAGGTCTTCATAGTTCACCCCCAAACCTGAATCTTCCTTTGAAATTATTTTCTCGGTGAATGACTCCATCTCCTGCCCAGCCACTCAAGCCAGTGGGTCAAAAGTTCTCTCAGTTCTTTCTGTCTTTCCCTCTCTCTCTTTCTTTCTTTGATAGCAGTAAAATATAGATAACATAAAATGTACTATCTTGACCATTTATCAGTGTACAATTCAGTGGCATTAAGTGCGTTTACACTGTTGAGCAACCAACCCCACCATCCGTCTTCAGAACTTTTTCATCATCCCATACTGAAGCTAAGCACCAATTAAACAATAACTTCCCGTTTCCCTCTTCCCCCAGCCCGTGGTCATCTCTATTCTGCCTTCTGTCTCTATGATTTAGAATATTTTAGGTACCTCGTATAAGAGGAATCATACAATATCTGTTCTTTTGTGTCTGGCTTATTTTACTCAGCATAATATCTTCAAGACTCATCCATGTTGTAGCACGTCTCAGAATTTCATTCCTTTTCAAGGTTAAATAATATTTGATTGTATGAATATACAGCATCTGTTCAACCATTTATCTGTCAGTGGACACTTAGCTTGTTTCTACTTTTTGGCTATGGTGAATAATTGTGCCATGTACATGGTGTACAAATAGCTATTCAAGCCCGTGCTTTTAATTCTTTTGGAAGCATAATTCTAGAAGTGGAATTGCTGTATCGGATGGTAATTTTATGTTTAATTTTTTAAGGACTTGCTAAATCGTTTTCCATAATGGCTCCACCATTTTTGATTCCACCAGCCATGTACAGGGGCTCCAATTTCTCCATGTCCTTGCCCAACACTTATTGATTTCTTTATTTTTTGAGATGGAGTCTTATTCTGTCACCCAGGCTGGAGTGCAGTGGTGCAATCTTGGCTCACTGCAACCTCTGCCTCCTGGGTTCAAGCAATTCTCCTGCCTCAGCCTCCCAAGTAGCTGGGATTACAGTAGACAGCCACCACGCCTGGCTAATTTTTGTATTTTTAGTAGAGGCGGGGTTTCACCATGTTGGCCAGGCTGGTCTCAAACTCCTGATGTCGGGTGATCTGCCGGCCTTGGTCTCCCAAAGCACTGGGATTACAGGCATGAGCCCCCTTGCCTGGCCTGTTGTTTTTATAATAGCCATCCTAATGGGTGTGAAGTGGTATCTCGTGGTTTTAATTAGCATTCCTCTGTTAGTTAGTTGATATGGAGCAATATTTTCATATGCTTATGGGTCATTTGTATGTTTTCTTGGAGAAATAACTATTCATGCTCTTTGACAATTTATTAATTGGTCTGTTTTTTTGTTGTTGTTGAGTTTCAGGAGTTCGTTACATATACTGGGTATTAATCTCTTATCAGATATGTGATTTGCAAATATTTTCTCCCATTTTGTGTATTGTTTTTTTACTCTCCTGGTAGTGTCCTTTGATGCATGAAAGTTTTACATTTTGATGAAGTCTGATTGTGTCTATTTTTTTTTTTTTTTTGCTGTCTATACCTCAATTCTTCTTAATAAACCTCCATCCCATTATCATTACCACCTTAGTTTACAACCTTAGTCCAGGCTCTTGTCTCCACATCTCCAAGCTCAACCTTTTAAAAACAAACATTAATTAGCCACTCTCAAAGACAAATGTAATCATTTCACATCTTCATTTATTTATTTAGCTACATTTATGGAGTACCAGGCACTCTACTAGGTGAGGAAGATGGGATTGTAAATAAGACAGGCCCCAGCCCTCAGGAAGTTTCTGTTCTAGTGAGGCAGACAGCCAACTAGCAGATAAATGCAGCCAAGAAAATGGTTTTGAAGTATTTCTGACGGGCCAGGTGCAGTGGCTCACACCTGTAATCCCTACACTTTGGGAGGTTGAGGTGGGCAGATCACCTGAGGTCAGGAGTTTGAGACCAGCCTGGCCAACGTGGTGAAACCCCATCTCTACTAAAAATACAAAAATTTGCCAGGCACAGTGGCATGTGCCTGTAATCCCAGCTACTCGGGAAGCTGAGGCTGGAGAATCACTTGAACCCAGGAGGCGGAGGTTGCAGTGAGTCGAGATCTTGCCACTGCACGCCAGCCTGGGCGACAGTGAGACTTCGTCTCAAAAAAAAAAAAAAAATTTCTGATGTGTCTTCCTTCTCAATAATTTGCCTCTCCACACCCTCTTTCCTTCTGCAGTATTCCACCATTAAGGCTGAACCATGAAGATGACATTGCAGGGAAGGAGACACACTACCCAGAACCAAGAAGTTCATTGTGAAAGGAAGATGTGCTATTTGGGGGATCCTTCCAGACAGGAGGAGGAAATAGAAAGCACTTCAGGGAGAAGGAAGAGGCCAGGAGTCTGGACAAAGGCCTCTTTGCCAAAGGTGGTGGCAAAGTGCACCATTGGCAGCAGCAGCAGCAGCAGCAGTGATCTTCCTGGGGCAGCCAGACCCACCTTGCTGCAGATGAGGCTAGCGAAGACTGAAGGGTGGCATTGAGAAACTCCCCTCTGGCCCCTTCTCTCTCTCCAATTCCGCTCCTGATCACTCAAATGTGTGTGCTTTACCCTTGGATCCAGATGCCAGTTGAAAAGAAAGACAGGAACAGGAGAATGGGGAAGAAAATCCTGAAGAACTTGACTATTTTTCTTAAAGCAACCACAGTCTGAACTGAACAGTGAATGAGATAATATTTAACCTGAGCTGAAAAGACCCCTATTAAATTGAACCCAGTATCCTGGCCTGGGAGAGAGTCAGAAAAGGGCCTGGAGAACAAAGTTGAATTCAGTTACAGTTCAGTTATGGGAACTGAAACGTAATGACTTTTTACCTTTGCCACAGAAACAATTAAGATCATTATCACTGGAGGCTAGTGCTATCTATTGCAAGGAGATGGATGGGCTGCTGTGACAGGCAGGACTGAGGAAGCCTATTTCAAGTCACATCACGGCCAAGGAGGGCGCCTTGGAGGAGGTGACCCTTGGCTGAGCCTCAAAGGATAAGAAGTAACCCAGAGGAGAGCCAAGGTGAGAGAGTTCCAGGAAGGGGAATTGTGGACCTAACAGCAGGGGTTGGGAGATTGCACCACATGTGTGAGAAACAGGAAATGACAGTGCCAATAAGAAGCAATGATTCAGGGAGGGCATTAGAACCTTTAGAATCTTCCAACATGATTACAACCCTCCACTGCTTAGAACATTTTTAAATGATTCCTCATATGTTCTAAAATAAAGTTCATATTCATCAGCTCCAAGCCCAGGGCCCTTCTATCCTGGCTTCTTGGGGCTCACTTGCACCACTGGGCCTCTTTCCCCATCCATCAGTTCTCCCCAACAGACCCCTGCAGACACCTTGTTCTTCCCACCACTCTGCCTTTCCTTCACCTGGGACGCTGGGCTCCCACTTCCTGACCTGCCTAATCCCCTCCCCTTCCTGTGTTTAAAGACCCAGCTCCTGCCATTTCCTCCAAGAAGTTTCTCTGACCTTCTCAGGTTGAGGGGACCACCCCCTCCTTTGTGCCCCCACCGTTCTTCCTGGGTACAGCCACCATTCCCTCTGCTGTGACTGTTTGCCTATTTTTCTCCCCATGTGACTGCATGCTCCTTGGGGGTAGGGACTGAATCTTATTCATTTTGGCACACTCCGTGTTTTTCTGGTAGGTGGTTGTATATACACTGACATCTCCAAAACCTTTTCTGCCTCCCAGTTCTCTCTTTTGAGCTTTAGACCCATACATCTTCCTGCCCTCCAGATACATTCGTGCAACTGGCCTACAGCAGTGGTTCTGGGGCACAGGTGTGCATCGCAATCACCTGGAGGCCATTCATGCTGCTGCTTCAAGAGACAGTTGTGTGCACCTCTTCCCAACTCCCCGTTTACTGATGCACGTTTAGTGATGTCAGATTGGTAGCTTGAAATCAGCCATGGTGAGATTTGCACCCCAGGAACTGGAAAACACCACCCATCAGGGCTTCTCCCTGTCCCTGGAGGGCCAGTTGCTAAGCATTTGGCAGGACGCCTCTAGCTGGAGGGCTAGACAGTTTATTAAAACCCAGATTGCTGGGCCCACCCACAGATCTCCTGATTAGTCAGGGCCTGAGAATGTGCATTTCTAACCAGTTCCCAGTGATGCTGATGCTGTTGGTCTGGGGACCACAGTTTGAGAACCGTTGGCCTACAGGCACCTCAAAACCATGTTCAGACTTAAAGCCATCATCTTTCCCTCAAACCCACTCCTCCTCCTCCTGTGTTTTATGTTGCAGGGAATGGCAGCACCATCTACCCTGCTTCTGAAGTCAGAAACCTGGGAATCCGTTTGAAGCCTTTGCCTCTTTCAGCCTCTGTGGCTCAGTGATCATCAGGTCCCAGCAACCGTCCTGCATCAACCCTCCTCTCATCCTTCATCTTCTGCCCAGCCCCAGTGCCTGGGCCCTACCTACTTGTGCTTTATCTCTCTCCTTATCAGCAGTCCTGCACCAGCCTCCTGGGTGGACCCTGAGCTTTCATCCTTGCCCCCCCGTGGTCCCTTCTCTGCATCACTGCCAGGACGGTCTTTGTGAAGTATCAGTCCAATCATGTTATACCCAGCCTGAACGATGTCAGCGGCTCCCCATTCGTTTTCTTTAGGAGTGCTTCTGTCCAGAGCTCCTATTCCTCCCTCAATTATCAACACTGGCTTAACTGTCCCCCTCCTAGAAACTGTTCTTTTTTTTTTTTTTTTTTTTTTTTTTTTGAGATGGAGTCTTGCTCTGTGGCCCAGGCTGGAGTGCAGTGGTGTGATCTTGGCTCACTGCAATGTCTGCCTCCCGGGTTCAAGTGATTCTCCTGCCTCAGCCACCTGAGTAGCTGGGACTACAGGCTCACATCACCACTCCTGGCTATTTTTTGCATTTTTTTTTTTAGTAGAGAAAGGTTTCACCATGTTGGCCAGGCTGGTCTTGAACTCCCGACGTCAAGTGATCCACCCACCTTGGGTTCCCAAAGTGCTGGGATTACAGGTGTGAACCACTGCACCCAGCCCTAGAAACTGTTCTTAACCCTCTCCCCTTCCTAGGTTGTGCTGGGGTCTTTCCTGGGGCAGAGCCGGTTACCCCACAGGCTCTGGATTGCATCTTTTCCTGCCTGCCTTGTGCATTTCACTGCAAACTCATGAGGCATGAAGGAAGAACTGAGTCCATTAGTTCATTTTTTTTTTTACAGAGTCTTGTTCTGTCGCCCATGCTGGAGTTCATTGGTGCTATCTCAGCTCACTGCAACTTCCGCCTACTGGGTTCAAGCAATTCTCCTGCCTCAGCCTCCCAAGTAGCTGGGATTACAGGTGCGTGCCACCAAGCCCGGCTAATTTTTGTATTTTTAGTAGAGACGGGGTTTCACCATATTGGCCAAGCTGGTCTTGAACTCCTGACCTTGTGATCCTCCTGCCTTGGCCTCCCAAAGCGCTGGGATTACAGGGGTGAGCCACCGCGCCTGGCCCATTAGTTCTTTTTAAACCTCTTTTTAAATTATGCTTACCACTGTGTCTGGCACACAGCAGGCCCTTGTCTTAGCTCAAGTTACCCCAGAAGAAGACTAAGAATTGAAGTGCAGGTCATTTATTTGGGAGGTGACCTGAAGAGACACCAGTCGGGGAAGTGGAGAAAGCCGGTGAAAGATGTCCTATCAGGCCAGTTGCCCCCGGGGACCAACAGAAGCTCAATCTCAGGTTGGTGGGGTGGGGGAAGCTCTGGGAGAAGATACAGAACACACCTCAGAGTGATCTTCCTCAAAGGGGTACCTATCCACTGTTAAAGCAAACTGACTATGGCCTGAGAAGGACTCCTTACTTCTATTTCTGAGTCCTTGTGGATGAACTGTAGCATAGCTTAATAGGCCGACAAGATTGAAACCCTAACTTAGGAGTATGCATCTGTAACAATAGCTGAGTCTTGGCCAATCCCAGCAGCCATACTTCAACCACTCATGGACTGCCGAATGTTCAAACTGTGTTCAGATAAGGCAAATGCCATAACCGATCCACCTGTTTCTGTACCTCACTTCTGAGTTGTGTACATCGCCTCCCTTTTTTGTCTATAAATTTCTTCTGACCATGAGGCACCCCTGGAGTCTCTCTGAATCTGCTGTGATTCTGGGGCCTGCCTGATTCACAAATCGTTCATTGCTCCATTAAACTCCTTTAAATGTAATTTGGCCAAAGTTTTTGCTTTAACACCACCAACACCCATCTGTTGGTGACTAAGGGGTGCTTCTGGGGGCACCAGCTCTCCAGTACTGCCCACCCGTGCAAAGGCCATTCCCACAATCAGAACCAAGCCCTCAGTCCCTGTCTGTGTGGTCTGCAGTCTTGGGCTCATAGAAGTGGATGCCAAGGGATGTGGGCTGGTACCGCTGACTCTGGCATGGCTCTCCCTGTTTAAGCAGATCTGAAGGAAAGGGCGTCTTAGGCTGAGCTGATAGCACATTCCAAAGCCCTGAGGTTGGAAGGAGAAGGCTCAGGGAGCAGTAATTAGTTCTCAAAACGGCAGCATGGAGAGGTCTGCTTTGGGGCCTCCTGGATGGGCAAGCTCCAGGGATGAGTCTGGGTAGTGGAGCTCACGGTTCAGGGTCATGCTATCCCATGGGACTTTCTGATGATGGAAATGTTTCATATCTGCACTGACCAATGCAGGAGCCGCTGTGGCTGCCGAGTGCTTGAAATGTGGTGAGTGCAAGTGAGGAAGTGAATTTTACATTTTAGTCAATGTTAATGAATTTAAGTGTAAATGTCCATAGGCAGACATGGTTAGTGGCAGATATGGTTACTGTACTGGACAGGGCAGGCCTAGAGGCTCCGTCCACCTCTCCTTTCGCTTCTCTGTCCTTTGCAACTACAGCAATTGTGAGCTCCCCTGACACTGGGCATCACGGTGCCCAAAAACACATCACCTGGCATGCTACAGGGTCCTCCCCTTAGTGGCTGAGTTTGGGCCTCAGAGCCTCAGCCTTGTGTCCAGCTGCCACCTGCAGGATTTGGAAAGCAATGTGCAGAAGGTATATTGATCCCTTGTCCCTGAGCTAGAGATGGCTGGTGCCTGGCAGCAGTCGAGCCCCTCATCCTCACTGCCCTTGCTCCATGGAAACCCCTCTCTACAGCATCCGGCTTTACAGAGGATGAGTAGGGAGCACAACTTGGGACACTTCTCAAAACTCTTGGAGAGGGCTTAGTGGGGAACCCCCGGGCTCCCGGTAGCCATTTGTATAAAGTTAGCTTGTGGTAAAGGCCTTCATTTCAACAGGGGTTTGTGTCTCTGATGGTTAATTTGATGTGTCAACTTGACTGGGACATGAGGTGCCCAGATATCTGGTTTGACATTATTTCTGGGTGTGCCTGTGAGTGTGTTTCTGGGGGATATTAGCTTTGAGTCAGTGCACTGTGTAGAGCAAGTGGCCCTTCTCATGAGAGTGGGCATCATCTAATCCACCGAGGGCCTGCAGAGAACAGAAAGGAGGAGGAAGGTTCTCTTTAGCTGATGGCTTGAGCTGGAACACTGATCTTCCTCTGCCCTCTGCATTCCTGATTCTCAGGCTTTCAGACTTGGACTTTTTTTTAAATTTTATTTATTTTATTTTTTAGATGGAGTCTCGCTCTGTCGTCCAGGCTGGAGTGCAATGGTGCAATCTCGGCTCTCTGCAACCTCCGACTCCTGGGTTCAAGCAATTCTCCTGCCTCAGCCTCCTGAGTAGCTGGGATTACAGGCGCCCACCATCATGCCGGGCTAATTTTTGTATTTTTAGTAGAGATGGAGTTTCACCATGTTGGTCAGGGTGGTCTCAAACTCGTGACCGTGTGATTCGCCTGCCTTGGCCTCCCAAAGTGCTGGGATTACAGGTGTTAACCGCCACACCCAGCCCAGACTTGGAGTTTAATCTCTACTATCAGCTCCCTGGCTCTCAGGCCTTCGAAAGACACCACCATTTTTTCCGGGTCTCCAGCTTGCAGACAGCAGATCATGGGACTTCTAAACTTCCATAATTGTATGAGCCAATTCCTTACAATAAATCATTTATGTTTATATAGACATATATGTATTATAATGACACACACACACACACGCCCCCTATTGGTTCTGCTTCTCTGGAGAACTCTCACTAATACAGGGCCCATTTTTAAATAATAAAAGGCACTTACCCAAAGGAGCTAGACATTTTCAGAGATGCTAGGCTTTCTGCAATAGGCATCTACAGAAATTTTGGGGTTGGAGGGCATGGCCTAACTCTAGAGAAGGTGAACTTCAGACAGAACACAGGTCTGCTCTTAAGCCAGTGCGTCTGAACACGTTTTTCTATTTTAACCCTCCTGATGGATATAATTCATGTCTCTCAGTAGCAATGCTTCTCACACAGGAGAAAAGGTTATGGCCCCTCCAAACTTCCATTCACCATAGCACGTGGAGCACACATTGGAGTTCCCTACCTCCAAGTCCGAAACACACAAGGGCAGGACACACTATTCAAGAAATATAGAACTAACTCGAAATCAAGAAAGAGACATTACCAGGTCCCAGCAATGGGATGGGAACTGATGGTGCACAGCCCACAGGGCCTGGGAGTAACTGCGGGACTGAGGAGTTGTAGTCTTAGGCCCCATGGAGGGACAGGAATTAAGCCTCATGGACAACTGAGAGATGGAACTAGGCTTTAGGTGTGGCCAGGCATCAAAGGCAAGTCACAGACCAGAAAGCCCCTTTCCAACCGGGGCTTTATTAGGACCCCGAGCCTCCCACCTGTGGGAAAATTGAGTCCTAATTCGTGCTCTCCATGCCATGTAGAAACCCCAAGCTGAGAAACTAACATAAAAACATGTTTGGCCGGGTGTAGTGTCTCACGTCTGTAATCCCAGCACTTTGGGAGGCTGAGGCAGGCGGATCACCTGAGGTCAGGAGTTCGAGACCAGCCTGGGCAACATGGTAAAACCCTGTCACTACAAAACAAAATGAAACAAAACAAAAATATTAGCCAGGCATGGTGGCACGTGCCTGTAGTCCCAGTTACTCTACTTGGGAGGCTGAGGCAGGCGAGTCGCTTGTACCCGGGAGGCGGAGGTTGCAGTGAGCTGTGCCACTGCACTCTAGCCTGGATGACAGAGTGAGACTCTGTCTCAAAAAAAAAAAAAAAAAAGTTCGACTTTGTAGGGGATGCAGCAAAGACAACCTCAGAAACTTCTCTGTAGGGAAATGTCCTTGACCCCACATAATGTGTGAAAATACTTCAAGCATTAACTGCTGCTGAATAAGGACAAAAAATATAAAATATATGAGGAAGTTCAGCACTACTTATGTATGGATTCAGTCATTCATTCATTCAGCAGTTTTTTCTGGATACCTACTATGTACCTGGGGCTAGAGATATATCAGGGTACAAAATAGGTCCAAATCTTGCATTCTTAAAGCTTATGTTCAAGTTGGGGGTGACAGACAATATATAAGTAACATACACAGCAGACTTGATAATGATAAGAGCTACAAAGAGAAGTAAAGCATAAAAGGGGATTAGGAAATTGTGGAGGAGGATGTCACAATTTAAAATATCATGATTAGGGAAACCTCACAGAGAAGGTGAGCAAAGTGGCTATCTGGGGAAAGAGTATTTCAAGCTAAGGGAATGGCAAATGAAGATGACCTGAGGCATAAGCATGACTGGAAGTTTCAAAACACAGCCAGGAGGTCAGTGTGGCTGGAGGAGTGAGCAAGAGGGACATTAAAAGAGATGAAGCTAGAGAGGTGAGCCACATTGTGGAATAGGGTTTTATATGTTATTGCAAGCCAATAGTTTTAAGCAGAGGAATGACACGACCTGACTTATGTTTTAACAGGAGTCAATCAATAGTTACTCTGGGATTTTTTCTTTTTTTTTTGAGACAGTCTCGCTCTGTCACCCAGGCTGGAGTGCAGTGGCGTGATCTCAGCTCACTGCAACCTCCATCTCCCAGGTTCAAAAGATTCTCCTGCCTTAGCCTCCTGAGTAGCTGGGACTACAGGCATGTGCCACCATGCCTGGCTAATTTTCGTACTTTTTTTTTAGTAGAGACAGGGTTTTACTATGTTGGCCAGGCTGTTCTTGAGCTTCTGACCTCAAGTGATCCGCCTGCCTCAGTTTCCCAAAGTGCTGGGATTACAGGAATAACACACAGTGCCCGGCCTAGGATTTTTTTTTTGATCTGAATAACTAGATGGAGGGAGTTGCTAACTCATATGGGAAGACCAAAGTTAGATAATAATTTTGTGAGAAGATATGGAATTCTGTTTTGTACAGTCCATGTGAAGATACTGAGCAGAAAGTTGGATAAATGAATTTAGAGCTGATAGAGGACATTATGCTGGACATATAAATTGGAAGGTCATAAGCATGGAGATAGTATTTGAAACCATGTGACCAGATGATATCACTAAGAACATGAGAGAATATATTAGGCTGGTGCAAAAGTAATTGCAGTTTTTAGAGTAGTGATCCAAAGACTGAGAACTCAGAGGGTTACAAGGCTATAGGGTCAGACAGTCCAAATATCCAACAAACAGGAGAACTTACTCATAATGAACAAGAAATAATTGACCAAATTGAAAAGTAAGTATGCTGAAAGTGTTCAAGTAGTTAAGAGTAGCACCCATAACACAAAAAAAGATTATGAAACATGAGCAGATAGAAATGATGAAAAGGAACCAGGTAGAAATCATGCAAGTGAAAAATGTCATTACTGAAGTAAAAGTCTCAACGGATGAGTTGAACAGCAGGCTAGACACAGCTGAAGAGAAAGTCAATGAATCAGAAGACAGAATTGAAGAAATCCATCAAACTGAAAAACAGAAAGATAAAGAAAAATTTCCTCTATTTTTAGGAAATAGGTGTTTGTATTAAGTGCTGTCTTTGGGTGAAAGCCCCCCTTCTTAAAAGCCGGGGTCACTGTCCTAACCATTCAAGCTTTTGAGTCAGAATCCAGAAATGGAACCAAATCCATTTGTTTTTGTTTTTGTTTTTGTTTTGAGACAGGGTCTCAGTCCAGGGTTGGAGTTCTGTGGCATAATCAAAACTTACTGTAACCTTGAATTCCTGGGCTCAAGCAATTCAACCATTTCAGCCTCCTGAGTAGGCAGGACTACAAGTGTGTGCCACCACACTTGGCTAACTTTTTCTTTTTTTTTTTTCTAAGAGACAGGGTCCTGCTGTGTCACCCAGGATGATCTTGAGCTCCTGGTCTCAAGCTATCCTCCCATCTCAGTCCCCCAAAGTGCTGGGATTACAGGCATGAGCCACTGTGCCTAGCCTGGAACAAAATTCTTAGCAGAAAGGAAAAGGTAACTTATTTCTAGAATTAGGGAGTTAGTGGCAGGATTCAAGTCCTCTGCTAATAAGAAGAGCTAACATTTATTGGCTGCCTAGTGTGTTCCTGTCCCTGTTCAAAATACTTTACATGGGTCAGTAGCAGTGAGTGGCTAGGGGATGGGCTGAGAGGACAGGGAGTACCTCTGTAGATTAAGTGAAGCAGCTTCTCTGCCTATCTGCTGGAGTTCTCCCTGATTTAGTTTTCCCTCTCTGTTTCATTAGCTCCTATTTGCAATCTCTTACCTTCAATGTTGCTATAGTTTCTCTAGGGTATTGTTGGGTCAGTTAACCATCAATTCAATAGTCAAATAACTTTTTTTTTTTAATTAACCAACTTCATTGTGCCAGGTTTTTATGTTGTAAAAGTAAGGGACACAGACATTGATTAGACATGGAGCTAAGCATCTGATTGGGGACAAGTTACATAGCTCATTTCAATACAATGTGATGAGCGTCACCAAAGGGATTATGGCAGGTGCCTTAAAAGCATGGCATCTTGAGAACAATGCCTCAGAAAACCAGCAGACCTAAATAAGTGAAAAAAAGGGGGAAGATTGCAAGGATTTGGCGTTCCAGGTAGTAGGAACAGCATGATCACAGCCATGGGAATGTAGAATTTTGATGCATGTGGGAAATCCTAAATTGTAGCCTGGAGTGTAATCTGGGGAATGGCTCTCCATTTCACTCAGGACAAAGTCCAAACTCCTTAGCCGTGTGTATGATGTCTTTCATGATCTGGCCCTAGCTTCATTTCTTAGCACCTCTTCCACCCACCCTCTATTCTTGCACCATATTGAACTACCTGCAGTGAACAACGCAGTGCCTGGCACATAGTAGTTTTTCAATACATGTTCGTTGAATGAATAAATGAGTGGCAGAAGACAAGCATGGAAAGGCAGGCAGTGGCCGAACCATGGAGGACTCTGCTTGGAGTGTCCAAACCGAGGAGGTTTATGCACCTAGACAAGGCTGACTGCCTCAGAAGACCCTATGTATTCATCAGAGAATTCAGTTTCTGGGTCTTCAATATTCAGGCTTCTGCTGGAGTGGACTTTGTGTCTTCGAATTCTCTGTCTTGTCCCTCCAACTAGATTGTGCCTCTTCGAGGGCAGAGACCACGTCCAATGTCCCATCCAGTGTTGGACATCAGTACTTGTTGAACTAAATCTGTTTGTAGAAAGAGCTGGAATTGCCTGTTTACATCTCCACAGAAAGGGGAAACATGGGATTTGATCTAGGGATGCCTGTCTGAGCATTAGAATAACCACAAAAACTGAATTTAGAAGTCAGTCTCCCCTGCTGCTGGCTCAACCACGACGGCAGGGTGGATCCCCTGAAGATGGCCACACCAGAGTGGTCGCATCTTCTCCCCAGCAAGTGGTGCAAAGCTCTTGGGCAGTGAAGGGTAGAATAGGCCTGTGAGGTTCATGGGCAGCGAGGCACTTTCCTCTACTAGCCAGACTGAGATCAGTGAGCCTGAGGCAGAAGGATGGAGAGAGCTTTTTGTCTTCTTCAAGTTCCATGGCAGAGAAAGCAAGATACTTCACTTCCCTAAGATAGGTTCCCTAAAAGATTGTGAGATGTGGGTGGAAAGCCCTCAGAATGCCAACAGCAGGAAGCAGAGGAACATATCAGTTGCACTGCTTGTTAACCACTAGCATTGACTGAATATTTACTATATATGAGCTCCGCCTTCAGTGCGATGAGACACAGACATGTGACATATATGTACACAGATGGGAGAGAGAGCAACACACCTGAAAGCAAATAGGAAACAGCTCAGAATGAGGAACTTCCTGGAAATAAGCACTACATAGAGGCAGAATAGTAGAGGAGTTAAGAGCACCAAGTTGGTGTTAGGCAAATCCGAGCTGGGTTTGAATCTGAACTCTACCACGTACTGTGGGATTATGAGCTGGTTACTTTACCTCTGAGCCTTGGTTTTCTCATCTGTAAAACAGAGATAATGTTGCTGACCTATTTTGTAGTTGTGAAGACTCCATGAGATAATGGGTGTATAGCATGGTGGTTACGAGTGCAGCTCTAGAATTAGACTCCCTGGGCCCAGACCTCGACTCCCATCACTTCCTAGCTGTGGTCTTGGGCAAGTTACTTAAATCTCGGGCTCCAATTTCCCATTCTCACAATCAGGATAACAACAGTACCTACACCATTGGTTTGACATGAGGCTTAAATTAATTTTATTTCATGTAAAGCTGTTAGAATAATCTTGGAACATAGCAAGAGCTCAATAAATCTTAGATGTTTCTGACTGCACACAGCCTCCTGTTTGGCTCAATGAATTGAAGCTGTTATGATAATCAGAGAAGATGTAGATCAATCAGTGTCATCACAAAAGCTCGGGTAAAAGAGGCCTAGAAGTGGGGCAGAAACCAGAGAGAAGAGGGGACATCTGATGGGGAATGGATTAAGCAAAAGCTTTGGAAATCAGAACAGTGAGGCTGGCCTGACTGGAAGATGTGCCAGGGTGGAGTTAAATGGCTGGGTCTTGTTTAAAATTAAGCAAATTTCTTTAAAATATCCAGTGTCTACAACATGGTGCAAATAACAATAGCTACCCCTTCCTGGGTGTTTGCATTGTGCTAAATGCTTCATATTTTAAAAATCTCCCTTACTTCTCACAGCTATCCCCTGTGAAGAACAGTAGCTCTTATCATTCTCAGATTATTTTATTTCAGTGAGAAATTCAGCTCAGAGCTAAATACTTGTTCAAGATCTCCTTGCTAACGAGAGGCGGGACTAAGATTTGAACCCAGATTTGTTGAACCCATTCTCGGGCTCTGAGTCAGGAACGGTCCTACCACAGAGGAGTTGCTACAGAGCCAAAGTTCTCATGAGGCCAAAGTTCTGGGGGAATCTGCCTTGGAAGCTCTCAGACCCTTGCTGTATGTGGAACAGAAAGGCCACTAACAGCTGCCCTTTGTGCTGGAGAGTTGGACTCCAAGTTTCATTCCCAGCTAGTTGGTGCCAGTGTCTAAGTCTAGTGTGAGTCAGACCTTTGACCTATCTAGTAAATAAGCCCCATAGAGTTCCAGGATGGCACCCACAGGGCAGGGCTGCTGCCTGCCTTTGCATCATCACTGGGCCCTCGCATCACCAGCCCTGCAGGAGGTACACATTCATGGTCTGTCAGCCTTCACACAGTACAGCTTCCCACCACACCTGATTTGAAGCAGCATCTGAAATGAGGCTGGCAACAATGCTGTGGAGGCAATTCCAAGTCATTTCAAAGAGAGATCTAGCTCTTTCCTCTTCCTTTCAGATAAGCAGATTTGTAGCTGTTCCTACCCTGTACTCCTTCTGTATAAAACCGACTCGAAGGTGCCTCCATTCATTGTTGGCTGACCATTCCTGCTTTTAAGAGGTCGAGGCCATCCTGGTCAACATGGTAAAACCCCGTCTCTATTAAAAATACAAAAATTAGCTGGGCGTGGTGGCATGCACCTGTAGTCCCACTACTCGGGAGGCTGAGGCAACAGAATCGCTTGAAAGCAGGAGGTGGAGTTTGCAGTGAGCGGAGATTGTGCCACTGCACTCCAGCCTGGCGACAGAGCAAGACTGTCTCAAAAAAAAAAAAAAAAAAGTCCAGAGTAGAAAAATATTTGTTGAATTATTAACACAAAAGAAACAAAAACCTATGTGCACACAAAAACCTATATACTATTTATTTTTTTAGACAGAGTCTCACTCTGTCACCCAGGCTGGAGTGCAGTGGTGCAATCTCAGCTCACTGCAACCTCTGCTTCCTGGGGTCAAGTGATCCTCGTGCCTCAGCCTCCTGAGTAGCTGGGATTACAGGCCCCCACCACCACGCTGGCTAATTTTTTTGTATTTTTAGAAGAGACAGGGTTTCACCATGTTGGTCAGGCTGGTTTTGAACTCCTGACCTCAAGTGATCCACCCACCTCAGCCTCCCAAAGTGCTGGGATTATAGGCATGAGCCACTGTGCCCGGCCAAACCTATATGCAAGTGTTTATTGCAGCTTTATTTACAATCTCCAGAAGCTGGAAGCATCCCAGTGTCCTCCAACAGGCCAACAATCAATGGAACACTACTCAGCAACAAAAAGTATCGAATCGTTGATCCACGCAACATGGGCGAACCCCAAGTGCATTCAATATGTTGAGGGAAAGAAGCCGGACTCAAAAGGCCATACCCGAATTCCATTTATATGACACTATGGAAAAGGAAAAGTGACGGGGTGGGAGAGCAGACCCGTGGTTGCCCAGGGTTAAGGGTTGGGGAGGTTTGACTACAAAGGGACAGCATGGGGGAGTCTTTTTGGGGTGATGAAAGTTTTGTATCTTGATTGTTGTGATGGTTGCATGATAGAACTGTACACCAGAATGAATTTCATAGTATGTTAATTTTAAAAAGTCAAGTGACTGGGCTGGGCATGGTGGCTCACGCCTGTAATCCCAGCACTTTGGGAGGCTGAGGTGCGTGGATCACCTGAGGTCAGGAGTTCAAAACCAGCCTGGCCAACATGGTGAAACCCCGTCTCTACTAAAAATACAAAAAATTAGCCAGGTGTGGTGGCACATGCCTGTAATCCCAGCTACTTGGGAGGCTGAGGCAGGAGAACTGCTTGAACCTGGGAGGCAGAGGTTGCAGTGAGCTGAAATTGCACCATTGCACTCCAGCCTGGGCAACAAGAGTGAAACTGCGTCTTAAAAAAAAAGTCAAGCAACTGTTGAAGGTTTCAGGAAAAAATTGTGGTGAGGTGGGGAAGCAGGGAACCACACTTAGATACTAGTTAATTTCGATGGATCCCTGAGTGCATAAAGGCTGACTGTATTCAGTAACAAATGAGCTTGCTGTTCTCAAAATACATCTGATAAAACTGGAGTTTGTTGGACTTTAGCTGCGTAGAGAGGTCACAGGTATGTCTGGTGTAAGAAATTACAGACCTGCTTGGAAGAAATTAGTCTTTGCTAGAACCAAACCCTTCAAGTTCCATGAGCCATTATCTGAGACAATCAGTGTCTGATTACATCCTAGCAAAGTCCATAGAAATGCTGCCTTCAGTGGAATCCTGTCCCAAGGGGAATGCCTGACTTACACGATGCACCCCAAGGCTGTCTGTGAAACTTACTTGGATGAACTTTAAGATCAGTGCTTACCTGAGGGCCATGACTTTGTGGCTTAGATGATTATTCCTTTGCCAGGAAGGTCAATTATATACCAAACTCTGAACATGTGCTGACTGTAAGTCTTTCCCGGTTAAATGCATCATTCTAATAAGTTCATCAACTATAAAACCTAGTGATGGATTGTTTTTTCTCCCCTCACCTTGCTGCTGAAAGAAAGATAAAGCCAATGTAGGGCTTGGGAAGATCACATCCAGAGTTAAAGCTGGACTTCACAGCTGCCCAAATTAGTCAGGTTCTAAAGAAAAATCACATGACAGACCTATTTTGCTCATAAACAATTTTATTTTTTTTCTCAGTATGTGCCCTTGAAGATTCCAAAATGTTGGAGTTTCTGATTCTCCTGGGATCAAAGGTAAAAGCATTGTATGGAAACACTCAACCTTGGCTCATTACCCTCCTGAGGAGCTAAGTCTGGAGGCCTCAGAGAGAGGGAGCTGACATTCACAACTTATTCCAAGATGGGTAACACAGTGAACAAAGAATTAGTAAAACATAGACTCAGTCTGTAGAGGGCTTCAAATATACATATTCTATATATATAAACCTGTTATATAGGATTTCAACTTATTGGTTTCCTTGTGATTTGTAATTAAAGTACAAATTATAAAGATGTTGCACACTGCTGATTTCCCCTTCTCAGCCCCCCTCCCTCCCCAACATAAATAACATTACAAAGGTCAGGTGATCCTAAGAATTTTTGTTGTTGTAAATATTTTGTTTTTAAAATCATATTCCCCTTCCTCCCCTGCAAACTACCTCTGAGAGTTTGTAACACAGCAGCATGGAATGGACAAGACTGGGGACAGCATGGAGGTCTAACGGAGAGAGCGCAGAACGTTGCTTCTCACTGACGGGCACCAGATGGGCTTCCGCATTTCCATTGACAACAGAGGCTACGACAGGAAGCAGAGAATGTGCAATGCGGCTTCATCCTCCTCCAAAGAGAAGGCTAGCTGGACCACTGAGAAAAGCCCTAAAGGCATTGAGGTTTTTGGAGACAGAGCACAGCTCCAGAAATGTCTTGGCTCAGTATTTACACAATATCTTGAAGCTGCACTTTCCTTTTAAGAAATGTGTGTTTCTGAAGGTGCCTCTTCTGAGGTTGGTTGGGGGAAAGGAGAAACGTAAAAACAAAAACAAACCAATTCCCACATATGTAAAAGTCCTGTTATAAGTCTTAGTTATTTTCACACACATCATTAATAGTAGATACTGACAATGATTGGTTTCTTTTCTTATTCTTTTTTTTTAGAGCATGAGTAAAGAGAAAGAGAGAAGGAAGAAGTGCACTAAGGAGAGCGCCGTCCCTTCTTCAGCATTAAGTGACACTGGATGGTCTGGATTCGGTTCTTGGCTGGGACAAACTCGGGCTGAAGCTTCAATGTGGATTCATACCACACCAGTGCTTTTTCAAATTCTTCCTGTGAGGGCCAAGGAGAGAAATGTGAGGGGATGGCACCAGCAGACTAAATATATACTGTGACCTCTTTTTTCTCAAGAAGCACCTCTGTACTAGGGACAATCCCGCAGCATTTGCTCAACGGATCTAAGTCTTTGTGGAAAACTCTGAGGTTCCTCTGGGAGGAAACAGCTGCCTTCATTCCCGAGGTATGGGAATGAGGTATGGGATGAACAAAGGAAACTACGGCAGAGCCCAAGAACAAAAGGAAAAGGGGTAGAGCAGCTTTTACAAACCCAGCAACAGTAATAATTGTGGTAATAATGAGACCTAACATTCCTGAGTGCCTGAAGTGTGCCAGGCTGTGCTAGGTGCTTTATGAAATCCTTCCATTTAATCCTCACAGAAACCTCCAGAACCGTGCCTGACAAATGCCCATTATGCATCTGCCTAAATTTTCTAATGTAGCTGGAAAGACGGAAACTAAGTCCGGTATCTCAACTGGACTTGTACATTTTGAAGAGTTTTAAAATTCTCTTTAACATTTAAAGATGCCAACAAAGATTGGGAAATGATCCCTGCCATATTGAAGGTTAATCTTTTACTTAGAGTTACACTCTAAAAGAAGAGCCCAAATCTACTGGTTTAATGACTTCTTCTAGCCAAATGAGAGACATAAGTCCTCGTTCATAGTAGCAAACTTCACATTTACTGGGAGCAACAACAGATTCTTCAAGAAGCAGAGGGAAATCTGCATATTCGGCAATACCTCCCTGGCAAAATACTTCTCGCCTCTGAAGTCAAGAACGATACATGAAGCTGGTAGCCCAGGGCTGCTCACTCTATAAGCCATTACTGAGATCATCTTGGGACTAGCCCTATGTGTGATGCCACATTTTAGATGAAAGCGAATGGCATGATTCTCATGCTAAATTGGGTTATGACAGCTTTTAGGGGGTCCCCCTGGGATTTTCAGTTCTGAAAGCAGTTCTTGTTTCTGATCAGAATGAGGGATCTGGATGACTTTGCCATTTTCTCTGTAAATGGTATTCCATGAAACTAGCGGAATTTCTTCATTCATTAACTACTTGGTGAGCACCTACCATGTGCCAAAAACACTGTGAGGCACTGGGAACAGGGAGGTGAAGAGGAGTCTTGTCCCCAATGAGCCCGTAGGCTAGAGGGAAAGACAAATACTTAAACAAAAAATTATAAAACAAAGTGAAAATCCAGCAAGAAAAATATGCAAAGGGTGTCATGAGTGCGATGACAGGTACCTTAGCCCAACCTGGAAGCAAGAGAGCATGTATGTGTGTCTACATGGAGTGTTAGGAGAGGTTTTCTGGAACAGGTGGTGTCTCCAGGAAACTGTAGGTAAATCTGACTCTGCTGTTAATGTTCAACTCATGTTGAGGAACTACGTAGTTGCAAATACTTAGAAGAATTTCATGTATTATGTTTTAAAAAACCTCTCGAACCCTTATCCATAAAATATAACATTGGTGGAACCAGCAATTTTAGACAAGCTTACAGGAAATTGGTGGGCAATGACATATTCAAAGAGGTTTTGAAATCAAAGATGTGCTACTGTTTGGCAGAGTTGGTACATACTGCTCACACCCCCATCTCACCATTGCCACGTAGACATTGCCCAGAGTGAAGTGGTTCACAGCAAAGTGTGGTGCGATCTCTACTGCCATGGTGGCTACTATGACGGCGTCATTCCAGAGCTTGGCATTGTGCAAGATGTTGGCCAGGCTAATCAGGGGCACATCCTGGGAGAAGAAGGAGAATGGTGAGAAGGGAAAATTGGGTTTTGAGCTTTCATTCTTGTTTTTGGTGATCATAAAGAATACAGTCTGTGTTTCCTGGTGAATGATTAGAACAGTGCCACTCAAAGTGCTTTTGTGCTGTTTGCTACTGGTCTGTGATAGATAAGGTGCTTGTACCAGAATATAAATCAATTACTTCTTTCATTGGCGAAGTCTTGCTTCGAAAACAAACACAACAAAATGTCAGCTGAAGTAAACAATCTGCTGAATAATGTAGTTGGTTTCTTCTGGTGAAGCTCCTTGTCTCATTGCAGACTGCTAATAAAAAGTCTGTGTACTGTCCACAGACCACACTTAGAGTCATGCTGTCAGAAAGCCAAAATAATTTCTGCAAGAACCATTATATCATTACGGGTTGGCAAACTTTGGCCCATAGGCCAAACCTAGTCTCCTGCCTATTTTGAAAAAAGTTTTATTAGGACACAATCATTCCCAGTCCTCTACGTATTTCTGTGGCTGTTTTCATACTACAATGCTAGAATTAAGTAGGTGCACCAGAGGCTGTCTGGCCTCCAGAGTCCAAGTGTTTTATTCTCTTGCCCTTTTCGGGAAGTTTGCTGACTCCCAGAGGTAGAGCCTCAGCCCTTCCCTATTGCCTAACAGTATAGAGTACAAAATGATGGATGGAACAAGTAGCAAGATTGCTATCATCACAAATATCATTCCCTTTAAATGTCTAACTTGAGCAACTGTTACCTGTATCATGCCATATTGGGTTCTGTAGCAGACACAGAAGAAACAGAAAGGACCCATCTTTGTGACAGCCATAGAATGCATGACTCTAGATGAGCTCATTGAAGTTCAATAAGGTGCCCAAATTCACAAAGCTAGTAAGAGGTAGAGCTGTGTTTAAAACTCAGCAATGCCTGACAATAAATCCTGTGTTCCTTCCATCATTCCATACATTGCCTTGACGAACAAAGAAGACACCAGCCATGTCTTTAAAAAGCATAAGATCTGGATTAATGCAGAACTCAGAACACATGAATACAAATGTGCTGATAAAACACTGTATTTTCTCATCCATCATAACAATAACCGGTCTTCTGGAAAAGTCTGGTGTCACACAGGGTTAGCCGGTTTTTTTTTTTTTTTTTTTTTTTTTTTTGTGGAAAAAGTAGAAGTCAGACAAGGACCAGGAACTGGCCAATGTACATGAATAAATGGAAATTTGCTTCTATCTCTGTGCTTGGAAGCAAGCTCAAGCCAAGAGGATAAGCAAAACAAGTCTAAGAGGTCACCAGGCCCCTGATGACAAGCTAAATTCAGATTGACTTCTATGTGTCAGCCCACTTAGGCCAGTGCATTTGCTGTATGTTGGGTGGCTCTGAACACAGCAGAAAGGGGACTAAATGCAGTACTGTCTTACAGTGATCTGGAAGGCCTTCCCCACGTTCCAACCTGCTGAAGCTGGGAAGGCAGCAGGGATAGTTCATAGGCTTGCTGGGGCACAAGCCCAGTCAGAAGGTCTCCTGCCCCATTCTCTCCTTGGAATATGTCCTCACTGGCTGAGCATGAGGGAGGCTGGTTCAAAGGGCAGAATAAACCATGGGGAATGGAAAGGACAAAGGGGCAGAAGTTCCCACCTTCTGAGTCCCACTCACCTTCATCTGGTGTGGCGCATAGTGCAGAGCCTGGCGGAGGCAGTCGATTGCCTTCTTTCCTTGGCCTTTCACCCTCCAGTAGAGGGCTGCCATGCTGGAGAGGACCCAGGACGTCTGGTTCTGCAAAGGAATGTTAGCCAAGGCTGGTGTCCTTTCAAGAACATACTCATTTATTACCAAGATTAAGTTCAGTAACACAAGTCATGACCATTCAACTGAGTATTTACTAAGTGCTGGCACTCTGCTCAGCACTTTCTGTTCCACCTGTCCTTCATTAATCCTTAGAACAATCCTGTGAGCTTGATACTACTATTACAGCCCTTCTATAAATGAGAAAACTATGACTCAGAGAGCTTAAGTGTCTTGCCCAAGTTCACTCAACTACTGAATAGCAGAACTATATCTCATATCTATGTTCTATTTTATTTAACTTTCTGAATAGGTAACACAGTCACACGTTTCAAAAACCAGGAAGTATACAAAGTTATACCATGAAGTCTCTCTCCCATCCTCGTCTCTATGGTAGACAAGTAAACATTATTTTTAATTTTTTACGTTTCCTTCTAGAATTTCCTCCCCTCACCTCCCCCCTCCCCCCTCCTTTCCTTTGTCCTTTTTTTTTTGAGACAGAGTCTCGCTGTCGCCCAGGCTGGAGTGCAGTGGAATGATCTCAGCTCACTGCAACCTTCATCTCCCAGGTTCAAGCGATTCTTCTGTCTCAGCCTCCCGAGTAGCTGGGATTAGAGGAGTGCACCACCACGCCTGTCTAATTTTTGTATTTTTAGTAGAGATAGAGTTTCACCATGTTGGCCAGGCTGGTCTCGAACTCATGACCTCAGGTGATCTGCACACTTCGGCCTCCCAAAGTGCTGGGATTACAGGCATAAGCCACCATGCCCACCCGGATTATAACAATTTAATCTCCTGCCAGAAATATCTAAGTATCACCATTTCCTTATAGCCCCATCACAGAGTTTGTTACTAAACTCTTAGGCCCCTGACAATCTGATGGGTGAGAAATGTGGTTTTAATCTGCATTTCCTTTCTTATGAGTAGAGTTGACCATTCTTCCATATTTGTTAGCCTTTTGAACGTCTTTTCTGTAAACTATTTGCATTCATATTTTGTTAATTGTTCTGTGAGGTTTTTGTCTTGTCTGTTGGTAAAAAGTTCTTTATATTTTAGGGAGATCATCCTTGCCTATGATTTACAGATAAGCTTCCCGAGTTTGAAGTCTGTCTTTGGACTTATGGTACTTTGTGTGATGTAGATTTTGATTGCTACAGAATTTGGTTTTTTAGTGATCTTCAATGACTTCTGGATTTTCAGTTGTAGTTAGGAAGCCCTACCTCATTCCAAGGATATAAAGAAATTTTACTGGGCCAGGCTTGGTGGCTCACGGCTGTAATTTTAGTGCATTGGGAGGCCAAGGCAAGAGGAGATCAGCCTGGGCAACACAGCAAGATCCTGTCTCTACAAAAAATAAAAAATACAGCTGGGCATGATGGTGTGCACCTGTAGTCTCAACTACTTAGGAGGCTGAGGCAGGAGGATCGCTTGAGCCCAGGAGTTTGAGGTTGCAGTGAGCTATGATCACACCACTTAGTGCACTTCAGCCTGCAGGAGACAGAGTGAGACCCTGTCTCTTAAAAAGCAAAAGAAATAAATATTTCACCATTTCCCCTACAGAATTTTTATAATTTCATTTTTTACATTTAAATATTTGATCCATTTGAAATTTAATCTGCTGTAAAGTAAAAGATATGGCTCCAACTTAATTTTTCTCCAGATAGCTACTAATTTGTCTCAAAATTTAATTAATAATTCACCTCTCTCCCCACTGAGATACTACCTTTACTATATATAAAGTAATATATATATTATACTATATATAAATACAGTATTTAATTTAGGTTGAATTTTGAATTTAGGTCTAACTTTGGATTTTTAAAATCTATTTCATTTGCAACTTTTGGTTGATGATCTCTGACTCCCAGCCATTACAGAAGAGGCACTCAGAAAACTTAACTGCTTGTCTGATTTGTGTTTTCAATAACATTTTTGTTAATTTTATAATTCTACATTTTCAGGGCGTATAGTATTTACATTCTGACCTATCACTCTATGCCTCACCTTTTAGTATTGGTTTTACAGCTGAATATAATCAGTGGTCACTGACATTACTTTTGTGTGGTTTTCCCAATCATCTCCTGGTTGGCTAAAGCTCATCTTCTAATAGTTTCCTCAAGAACGGCTCATGGGAACAATATTCTTTGAGATCACTGCTATGGGTTGAACTATGTTCCCCCAAAATTCATATTTTTAAGTCCCAATCCCCTGTACCTCAGAATGTAACTGTATGTGGAGGTCTTTAAAGCAATGATTAAGTTAAAATAAGGCTATTAGAGTGGGGCCCTAACTCTAAATGACTGGATTTATATGAAGGAGCTAGAAGAAGGACAGACACACCAGGGTCCTGTGTGCACAGAGGGACAACCATGTGAAGAGGCAGCAAGAGGCCAACTGCAAGCCGAAGAGAGAGGTCTCAGGGGAGACCAACCCTGCCAGCACTTTGATCTCAGGCTTCCAGCCCCCAGACCAGTGATAAAATAAATTTCTGCTGTTTAAGCCACCCTGTCTGTGGCATTTTGTTCTAGTGGCCCTAGCAAACTAATACACTCATATATGTTGAAAAACTTCTGTCTGGTGCTTTCAGAGCTAAAAGACAGCTTGGTTGGATTTAAAACCACAGCTTATTCTTTCCTCAAATAATGTGTCAGCATTTCTCTATTGCCTCTTGCTGTGGAATGCTGCTGCAGAGAAATCTGAAGCTAGCCCAACTTGTTTCTCCTTGTTAAATGATTTGTTCTTTTTGACTGGTATTCCAAAAGGATTTTAAATAAAATGATCTTAGGCCAGGTGTGGTGGCCCACACCTGTAATCTCACCACTTTGGGAGGCCAAAGAAGGCAGATCACGTGAGGTCAGGAGTTCGAAACCAGCCTGGCCAACACACTGAAAACCCGTCTATACTAAAAATACAAAAATTAGCCTGGTGTGGTGGCAGGTGTGTGTAATCCCAGCTACTCAGGAAGCTGAGGCAGGAGAATCACTTGAACCCGGGAGGAGGAGGTTGCAGAGAACCAAGATTGCGCCACTACACTCCAGCCTGGGTGACAGAGTGAGATTCTGTCTCAAAACAAACAAATAAACAAACAAACAAAAAAGTTATTTCTTTAATGCTAATATCTGACACACAAAAGAACATAAATAATTAAATACACATATAATATATAATTTCTTCTTTTTTCTGAGGCAGCTCTTGCTCTGTCTCCCAGGCTGGAGTGCAGTGGTGTGATCATAGCTCACTGTAGCCTTGAACTCCTGGGCTCAAGTGATCCTCCTGTCTCAGCCTCCTACCTCAGCCTCCTGAGTAGCTGGGACTACAGGCATGCACCACCATGCTTGGCTAATTTTTAAATTTTTTGTAGAGATGTGATTTTGCCATGTTGTCCAGGCTGGTCTTGAACTCCTGGGCTAAAGTGATCCTCCTGCCTCAGTCTCCCAAAGTGTTAGGATTATCAGAATGAGTCACCGTGCCAAGTAAATATATAATTATATAACATAGTTAAATATTAGGTATATAACTATGTAAAACATATTCATGCTGTAAAACATACAATGAATATTCCAGAAACGACCACCTTACTGAAAAATGGAACTTGTATTTACTTACGTGTTCTTACACCATTCTATCCTCACACACTATTCTAAATGTTATCTTTATTATTCCATTTCACCTTTTAAACATAGTTCTATCTCTGACATACATGTATACTTGACTCAACAATATACATTAGTTTACTTCTTCCTGTACTTTATGAAAATGGTATAGTAGTCCCTCCTACCTGATAGGGATACATTCCAAGACCCGCGGTGGATGCCTGAAACCATGGATAGCATCCAGTTTTACATCTACTATTTTTTTTCAATCTGATAATGACAGGCAGGGAGCTTCTACACGATGATTCACATCCCGTGTGGACTGAGCCCAACAGCAGGTGGTTTCATCATGCTACTCAGAATGGTGGACAACTTAAAAACTTATATTTATTTTTGGAATTTTCCATTTAATATTTTTGGACCATAATAGACTGTGGATAACTGAAACCGTGGAAAATGAAGCTGCAAATAAGGGGGGGACTATGGCGTATTGTATGCAGACTTGACAAACTTGGGGCTTTTTATTCAACATTATATTTCTAAGATTCATTCATGTTGTGTTTATTCAGTTTCCTTGCTGCACAATTAAATGCTCATTAAGTTGAATATACTACATGGTATTTATCCATTTTCTGTAGATGGGCATTTAGATTGCTTCCTGGTTGTCTCCTGTTATAGTCTAGAGTAGATACCAAGGAGTAGAATTTCTGGGCCACGGGATATGCATATGTTCAAAAAAAAAAAAAAAAAAAACAAAAAACCAAGAGATTGCCAAATTGTTTCCCAAAGGTGCCATGCCAACATACAACCCCATTCACATTGTTTAAAAGGACCTCTTGATCCATGTCCTTCCTAACCCTAGGTACTGTTGGTGAGGGGAAAATGGCATCTTCCTGTGGTATTACTTTGCATTTCCTGATCACTAGTGAGATTGAGAATTGTTTCTCATATTTATTCATCACACATATCACTTCTGTGAAATGCCTGTTAATATCTTTAATGCATTTTTCTATTTTATTACTTTTCATCAATTTATATGTTTTGTATATTAATCTTTTGTAGATTAAATGTGTTGCACATGTTTTCTCCCTGGCCTGCCTTTCTTTAATTAAAACAATTAAACTTTAATATACTTTAATTCATTAACATTTTCTTTTATAGTTATTTTGTGTCTCCTTTAAGAAGAAAACTTTCCTTACTCCATAGCCAGAAAGGTCATCTCCTACATTTTACTCTAAGTTTTAACATTTTGTTTTTGATACTTGAGCCCTTAATTCATGTGGAATTGAATTTTTGTGTAAGATATGAAGATTGAAATTAAGTAAGCAATTGCCCCAGTACAGTTCCTGAATAGTCCCTTCTCTTCCCACCAATTTTCAATATTACTTTTTTAATATATCACAGTTCTGTATGTTAGAGCAGAGGTCCCCAACCTTTTTGGCACCAGGGACCAGTTTCATGGAAGACAAATTTACCATGGATGGGGTAGGGGGTGGTTTTGGGATGATTCGAGTGCATTACATTTATCGTGCACTTTATTTCTATTATTATTACACTGTGAAATAATTATACAACTCACCATAATGTAGAATCAGTGGGAGCCCTGAGCTTGTTTTCCTGCAACTAGATGGTCCCATCTGGGAGTGATGGGAGACAGTGACAGATCATCAGGCATTAGATTCTCATAAGGAACTTCCGTGCAACCTAGATCCCTCGCATGTACAGCTCAGGCAGTAATGCGAGCGATGGGGAGTGGCTGTAAATAGAGATGAAGTTCACCTGCCACTCACCTTCTGCTGTGTAGCCCAATTCCTAACAGGCCACAGACCAGTACCCATCCGTGGCCTGGGAGTTGGACCCCTGTATTCGAGTCTATTTCTGGCCTTCCTATTTAGTCTTCCTAGCCATTTTTATTTATGCTTGAGCAAACAGCATAATGTCTTGTTTTATCAAAAAAGTAAGGCAACTCTCACTTTATTTTTCTTTTCAAGAGTGTCAGGTCTATTCTTCATGATTTACCTTTCCATATAAAGACCTGCTTTTCAAGTGCCATAAAAAAACCCTGCTGGTACTTTGATTATAATAGCATTGACTCTATAAATCAAATTGAGGAAAACTGACATGTTTATAACATGTGTCTTCTTATCCATGAACATTATATATCTATTTATTTAGATTGTTTAAAATGGTTTTTAATAGAAGTTTTATCTCTTGCTGCACGGAGGTCTTGATAACTTTTGTAAGATTTATTGAGAACTTTATATTTTTATAACGATGTATATTTTTAAAAATTACACTTTTAAATTTTGTGCTGCTGTACAGAAATGCAACTTTTTATTTATTGAGTTTACGGGAAGCCACTTTGAGAAAAATATTATTTCTAAAAAACTGTGGAGTCTTTGGGGTTTACTATACAGATAATCATATCACCTCTGAATGACATTTTGTTTTTTCTTCTTTACACTTATGCCATTAATTTATTTCTTTCTTTTTTTGAGATGGAGTCTCGCTCTCTCGCCCAGGCTGGAGTACAGTGACACAATCTCGGCTCACTGCAACCTCCGCCTCCTGGGTTCAAGTGATTCTTCTGCCTCAGCCTCCTGAATAGCTGGGATTACAGGGCTGCACCACCACGCCTGGCTAATTTTTGCATTTTTAGTAGGGAGGAGGTTTCACTGTGTTGACCAGGCTGGTCCTGAAATCCTGATTTCAAGTGATCTGCCCACTTCGGCCTCCCAAAATGCTGGGATTACAGGCGTGAGCCACTGCGCCCAGCCTAATTTCTTTTTATTGATTTACTATACTTGCTAGGAGTTTCAGTACAAGGTTGAAAAGAAGTGGTGATAGTCTGCATTCTTTTTCTTGATTTCAAGTAATTATTTTTCATATTTCCTCAGTAAGAATCATCTTTGAAGTAGATGTTTTGTTGATTATTTTCACCACATTAAGGAATTTACTAAGTTTTACATTATAAATGGGTATGAATTGTATCAAATGCAATCTACTGAAATGATTTCATAGTTTTTTTCCTTTAATTTGGTGACTCAAATTTTGCGTTTTCCTAGAGTTAGACCATTTTCAGTATTTCTGGGATAAACCCAATTTGGTCAAGGTATATCTCTTTTTAAAGAAATGTGCTGCTGGATTCAGTCTGTTAACATTTTGCTTATGATTTTGATTTTGATACCTAAGTTCATGAGTGAGATTAGTGCTAACTTAAAAATTATATATGACAACATATATAAATATATATTATTTTTCTTTCTCATAATGTCTGGTTTTGTTTTAAAGTTTATACCCGTCTCAAGGAATTAACTGGTATGTCATTCCTTATTCTAATGTCTGGAAGTCTGTTTATATTAGGATGAGGTATTTCTCAAAAGTTTGTAGAATTCACACTTGCAAAATCAACAGACCTTGTTGTAATCTTTGTGAGAAGATTTTTTAAAAACTTACTACTTAATTTATTTGAGAATTATGAGATTCTTCAGGTTTTCTTTTTGTTCTTGAATCAGTTTAATACATTACATTTTTCTAAGAAATTGTCTACCTGTTTTCAAATTTATTGGCATAAAGTTGCAATTATATGCTTTTCTTATCCCTTAATTTGATATAACCATAGTTTTGTTTTGCCCTTTTTCTTGATATTGAGAATTTGTACTTTCTTTTTATCTTAATTTTGCCAAAAGTTTATTTTACTACTTGTTTCAAAGAAACAACTTTTGGATTGTTCATCTTCTCTATTATATCTTTGTTTTCTATTTCATTGATTTCTACATCTAGTAACAGAACTTAGAAATACACAAATCGAAAACTTACAGGACTAAAATAAGATACAAGCAAATTCATAATTATTAATATAGTTGAATTAGCCTCTCAATAACTTATAGAAGACCAGAAAAATCAGTAAAGAAAATATAAACAATACTATCAGGAGCTTAACCTAACTGATATTTCTAAAATGCTCTACCTAACAAAAGCAGAAGACAATATTCCTTTCTAGTGCACATGAAGCATTAACCAAGATAGGCCACATTCTGGCCCATAAAACAAGCTTGAATAAGCTGAAAAGAATTCAAATCATACAAAGTATGTTCATTTACTACAATGGAGTTAAACTAGCTATCAATTAAAGAAAGATATCTAGAAAACACCCAAATAGTTGGAAACTAAATATCATACTCCTAAATAACTCATGGGTCAAAAAAATTAGAAGGAAAATTATAAAGTACTTTGAATTGAATGAAAATGAAAATATGACAAGTTAAATTTGTCATAAATTTACAGGAAACTTTTAGCATTGAACATCTACATTAGAAAAGAAGACAGGGATCAAGTCAATAATACAAGCTTATATTAAAAGCCTAAAAAAAAAAAACTATTAAAAACCTAAAAAATGAAAAGCAAATTAAATCCTAAGCAAGCGGAAGACAAGGAAATTACAAAGATAAGAGCAGACATAAATGAAAGAGAAAACAAAAAGATGGTGGAAAGTCAGTGGATCCTCAAACTGATTATTTAAGATCAATAAAATGGCCAAGCATGGTGGCTGTAATCCCAGCACTTTGGGAGGCCGAGGTGGGTGGATCACTGGAGCTCAGGAGTTTGAGACTGACCTGGGCAACATGGTGAAACCTCATCTCTACTAAAAATACAAAAATTAGCCAGGCATGGTGGTGCAAGCCTGTAACCCCAGCTACTCAGAAGGCTGAGGCACGAGAATCACTTGAACCCAGGAGGCAGAGGCTGCACTGAGCTGAGATCGCACCACTGCACTCCAGCCTGGGCGACAGAGCGAGACTCTGTCCCCCTATTCCCCAACAACAAAAAAAATCAATAAAATTCATAAACTTCTAGCGAGTCTGATCAGAAAAAAAGAGATAAGATACAAAGTACCAATATCAGGATTAAGAGAGGGTCCATTACTACAGATCCTACAGATAGTAAAAGGATGATAAGAAAATAATATGAAGAACTTTCTGCCAATAAACAATTTAGATGAAATAAACAAATCCCTTGAAAGACACAATTACCAAAGATCACCAGAGAAGAAAGAGATAATTTGAATAGCCCTAGATCTATTAAAGATATTAGAGCTATAATTAAAAACCTCCCACAAAGAGAACTCTAGGACCAGATGGCTTCACTGGCAAATTCTATCAAATATTAAGGAATTCTCTACAGACTTTTTCAGAAAACTAAAGTGAAGGAAACACCTCCAACTCATTAAACAAGGTCATTATTATCCTGATACCAAAACTTCACAAAAACATAATAAAAAAAACCACAGACCAATATCCCTCATGAACATAAACACAGGTACAAACTGACTGACTTATGCATAATGGAGAAGAGTGTTTATGTTGACAGATTTGCAATTTCTAACTGTACATCTATCTTTCTTTTGTTTGCTTTACATATTTTGAGGGTATTTTACTGAATATGTGTAAGTTTAGAACTGGTATATCTTTCTGGTGAATGAAACATTTTATCATTATGTAGTCATTCTCTCTACTCCTAATAATTATTGTTTTGAAATATATGTTTTTCAGGTAATTAATATAACTATGCCTACTACCTCCTTTTTATTAGTTTGTACCTGGTATTTCTTTTCCAACTTTTTTGTTTTAGATGTAGTCATAAAAATATGCAGTTCCTTTAAAAGTTTTCTGATTTCACATTATTGTCACTGCTGTATTATAGATCATTTTATATTTGTCCAGATTCTTGAATGCTTTTTTTTTTTTTTGCATTTTCTTGTATTGATTTTTTTTGGCTCATCCTCTTCTTACTTCATTATTTTATCCTCACAGGTTTTAGATTTGTGTATTCTTTTAATGATACCCTTAAATTTTACTGTAAAAATTTAACAAAGTCTAAACAATGTATTATAACTCTCTTCTCCTGCATAATAAAAGGGCTTTTGAAAACCTAAGATCTGATCATCCCACTCTTAAATATACGTTCTACTTTGTACAGTATTTCAGTCATTTCTTTTAAAATCCCACAAATTATTATTTTCCACAATGTTTGGGTTTGTATCTTATTTGCTTAGCATTTTGTCATTTTATTTGCTTAGCAAATCTTCTTGGGTCTCAGATAATTCTTCTGCAGCCATCATATAAAAAATTTTCTTTAGAACGGCACTCTTGGTAGTAAATTTTTCTAGCTCTTTGCTTATCTTTAAATATCTTTATTCTTTCTTCATTGTAGGTCACACAATTCTAGGGGGTCTGGTATCCTTTCACAATTCATCTGGCCTTAATAGTGGCTATTAAATAGGTTGTCATTTTAGCCATCATTCCTTGTAGGTGATCTGTCCTTTCTTTCTGTCTCCATGAGGGCAGAGATCTTTTGAGTTGTTTTTCACTGATTTATCCCAACCATTTAAAAAGTAAATGGCATATAGTAAGCTTCTACTAACCATTTGCTGAATGAATGAATAAATGAATGAGTGAATGAATACATGGCTACTGTGATACTTATTGAGCTATTGTCTTTCAGGTCCAAATCTGCTTTGCGATAACTGCTGGCACTCTGCAAACCACATTTCTCCTTTGTTAACAGGCTTCTTGTTAGGTTCAGCAAACATGTGCACTAGAAGATTGGAAGGCAAGAGGGAGAAGGGACTTCTTTCTTCCTATTTGCATGCTGCTCCTGTCAGTGTTATTCCAGCAACAGCACTCTAGTCTCCAGGTTCTTTAAGCACTCCCAGACCCAGGCTCACTGCACCCTTCTGCCACAAGGCTGTCCCTCTCTGTGGAAGCAAGAGCTCCAGCTCCTCAGTTTCTCCTGTAAACTTCTAAATTCTGAAAACCCTAATCACTTGCTGCCCTTTTCCACACCTAGAGGTGGGAGCTGTTCCCTACAGTTATCTTTAGTTTACTTCCTTGTTTCCTTTTTCTCTTTCAGCCCTCTACAACGTCATCAATTCTCTAAATCAAATTTGCTTTTCTGAAATACCTAGTGTTATTTCTGTTTTCCTGACAGTACCCTGACTGAAATGGATGCTTTAAGATACCTTTGCCTTTGCTATTTTGTAGTTCTACTATAATGTATGTAGGTATGGATTTCTTTTTACTTTTCCAGCTTGGAATACATGGTACTTCCTAAGTCTGTTGATTCATTTGTCTCCTTGTCTCTATAATATTTCAGGTAAATTTTTTACAAAGCTTGCAATTCACTATTTAATTATGTCTAATTCATGTAACCCATCAACTGAATATCTGACTTACACAATTTATTTTAGTTTAAGATGGCTAATTTGCTTTTTAAATTTACCTACTCATTTCTGATGCTATTTGTTTCTCATCTTTGTAATCACATCATTTAAATGTTTTATAATGAAAAATTTCAAGTATATACAAAAATAAAGGAACTTTTTTTTTTCTTTTTTTGAGATGGAGTCTCGCTCTGTCACCCAGGCTGGAGTGCAGTGGCGTGATCTTGGCTCACTGCAACCTCTGCCTCCCGGGTTCAAGCTATTCTCCTGCCTCAGCCTCCAGAGTAGCTGGGATTACAGGTGTGAGCCATCACACCTTGCTAATTTTTTGTATTCTTAGTAGAGACAGGGTTTCACCATGTTGACCAGGCTAGTCTCGAACTCCTGACTTGGTGATCCACCTGCTTCAGCCTCCCAAAGCACTGGGAATACAGGCGTGAGCCACCACGCCCGGCCTGGAACTACTCTTTTAAAAGCTGCACTCCTGGCTGGGTGCGGTGGCTCACACCTTGTTATCTCAGTAATTTGGGAAGCCAAGGTGGGAGGATTGCTTGAGGCCAGGAGTTTGAGACCAGTCTGGGCAACATAGCGAGACTACATTTTTATGAAAAAAATTTAAAAATTAGCTTGGCATGGTCCGTGCCTGTCGTCCTAACTACTTTGGGGGTTGCGGGATGGGGCAGGGAGGATGAGGCAGGAGAATCACTTGAGCACAGGAGTTTGAGGCTGCAGCGAGCTAAGACTGTGTCACTGCACTCTCGCCTGGGTGACAGATGGAGACCCTGTCACTTTAAATTACATAAATAAATAAATAAAACAATATAATGAACCCTCATGTGCTCATCATTCAGCTTCAACACTTATCAACTCATGGCCATGTTGTTTCATCTATACCCTCATCCATGTTAATGTGAAGCAAATTCCAGATTTCATACAATTTCATGGGTAAATTCTTTAGTGTGTGCCTCTAAAAGATAAAAACTCATGTTTAGAACATAAGCTTATGTACATTATGCCTAAAGAAGTGAAAATGATTCTTTAATATCATCAAGTATTCAGTTGGTTGTTCCTATGTACCCCAAGTGTCTTACAGAAGTTTCATTTTGCTTTTACAGTTTGAATCACAATCTAAATGAGCGCCATACATTTTAATTGGCTGCTTTCTCCTTAAATCTGTTGTGATCTCTGGGGTCCATCTTCATTAGTTTTTTCTTTACAAATTTATTTTTGTAGAAGAAATAGGGTTATCTGTCCTGTTGGTTTCCAGCATTAGACTCTGATATTGCATCCTCATGGTACCATTTAACATGCTCCTTTGTTCCCTGTTATTTCTCACAAATTGTAATTACAGAAGTGACTGGTTTAGATTTAACTTTTGGGGGAAGAGTGGGACAAAACTACTTTATAGGTGTGTACTTCTAATGATACACACATACTGTCTGGGTGTCTCAGATGTTAGCAGCAAGTGATGATCACTGCTGATATTCATTAAGGGCTACAAAACTGTAATATACTGATGTTATTATCACTTTCAGTTTATTAATCGTAATATTCCTAGAGAGACTTTCCCTCATCAATTGCTTATCCCCCAAAAAAAATTAATTTAGAAAAGGAAGGACACATGCTTTTTACTTTTAATTATATCTACATTGAAAAAAAACTATTCCCATGTGATATGGTTTGGCTGTGTCCCCACCCACATCTCGAATTGTATTTCCCAGAATTCCCACGTGTTGTGGGAAGGACCCAGGAGGAAGTAATTGAATCATGGGGGCCGGTCTTTCCCATGCTATTCTCGTGATAGTGAATAAGTCTCATGAGATCTGATGGGTTTATCAGGGGTTTCTGCTTTTGCTTCTTCCTCATTTTTCTCTTGCCACCACCATGTAAGAAGTATCTTTTGCCTCCTGCCATGATTCTGAGGCCTCCCCAGCCATGTGGAACTGTAAGACCAATTAAACCTTTTTGTTCCTGGTTTTGGGTATGTCTTTATCAGTAGCATGAAAACAAGCTAATACAGTAAATTGGTACTAGCAGAGTGGGGCACTGCTGAAAAGATACCTGAAAATGTGGAAGTGACTTTGGAACTGAGTAACAGGCAGAGATTAGAACAGTTTGAAGGGCTCAGAAGAAGACAGGAAAATGTGGGAAAGTCTGGAACTTCCTAGAGACTTGTGGAGTAGCTTTGCCAAAAATGCTGATAGCAATATGGACAATAAAATTCAGGCTGAGGTGGTCTCAGATGCAGATGGGGAACTTGTTGGGAACTGGAGCAAAGGTGACTCTTGTTATGTTTTAGCAAAGAGACTGGTGGCATTTTGCCCCTGTCCTAGAGATTTGTGGAACTTTGAACTTGAGAGAGATGATTTAGGGTATCTGGTGGAAGAAATTCCTAAGCAGCAAAGCATTTAAGAGGTGACTTGGGTGCTGTTAAAGGCATTCAGTTTTATAGGGGAAGCAGAACATAAAAGTTTAGAAAATTTGCAGCCTGACTATGCGATAGAAAAGAAAAACCCATTTTCTGGGGAGAAATTCAAGCCAGCTGCAGAAATCTGCATAAGTAGCAAGGAGTCTAATGTTAATCCCTGAGACCATGGGGAAGATGTCTCCAGGCCACATCAGAGAACTTCACGGCAGCCCCTCCCATCACAGGCCCAGAGGCCCAGGAGGAAAAAGTGGTTTTGTGGGCTGGGCCCAGGGTCCCCGTGCTGCGTGCAGCCTAGAGACTTGGTGCCTTCCGTCCCAGCTGCTCCAGCCATGGCTGAAAGAGGCCAACATACAGCTTGGGCTGTGGCTTCAGAGGGTGGAAGCCCCAAGCCTTGGAAGCTTCCATGTGGTGTTGAGCCTGTGGGTGCACAGAAGTCAAGAATTGAAGTTTGGGAACCTCCACCTAGATTTCAGAAGATGTACGGAAAGTCCAATTAAACCTCTTTTTGCTCCCAGTTTCAGGTATGTCTTTATCAGCAGCAAGAAAACGAACGAATACACCATGCATTCTCCAAGGCACAATTATCACTGCAAATTCAGTAGTTTAATTGTAGGTGATGCATTTCATTCATTGCAGTTATTATCCTCCTGTTGCTCAAACTGTCTTATGTTTGGCCAATGGGAGCTTATTCAAGTTCATTCCAAATTCTTTTGATACAACCTGTTGTCATTGCGAGCTTCCTTGCTTTCCCAGACTTGGTAGAAGCTTTTTCTCCAAAGAATACTGGTTCAAATACTTGGTAGAAGCTATTTCTCCAAGGAAAACTGGTTCACCTAGATTGTGACCTTTAGGTACCACTTTCCACTAAAATGGAAGCTAAAGTCCACAATCTAGAGACTAAAGGTGCTTATTAGTACTGGATCTGTCATTACCTCTAGTTTTTTCAGCAAATAAAGCTAGGAACTTTGTATTTTAAAACTGATAAAACACATCAGAATTTGTACCAATATTTCCAATTCAGGACCACAGGTGTTAACGCCATCATTCTCACATCTGTATCTCCTTTCATCTCTACCAAAAATTCTAGTTCTCAACACCAAAAAAGAACTCATTCATTTCACAATACATACACTTAGAATCTCAGAAGAACACTATCAATATCATTAACAACATTATTGAAAATAGTACAGGTTGAGTATACCTAATCTGAAAATCCCAAATTTGATATGCTCCAAAATCCCAAACTTTTTGAGCACCAACGTGATAACTGAAATGCTCATTGGAACATTTTGGACTTTCAGATTTGGAATGCTCAAGCAGAATAATGCAAATATTCAAAAATCCAGAAATATCTGAAATTGAGGCCAGGTGTGGTGGCTCACATCTGTAATCCCAGCACTTTTGGAGGTGGAGGTGGGTGGACTGCTTGAGTCCAGGAACCTGGGCAACACAGGGAAGACCTTGTCTCTATTTAAAAAATTTAAAAATTAGCTGGGCATGGTGGCACATGCCTGTAGTCCCAGCTGCTTGGGAGGCTGAGGTGGAAGGATTGCTTTAACCTGGGAGGTTGAGGCTGTAGTGAGTGGTGATCACGCCACTGCACCTTTAGCCTGGGCGACTGCTTTCCTTATAAAACTGAATGCCTTTAACAGCACCCAAGTCACCTCTTGAATGCTTTGCTGCTTAGAAATTTCTTCCACCAGATACCCTAAATCATCTCTCTTAAGTTCAAAAAAAAACCCCATCTGAAATTCAAAGCACTTCTGGTCCCAAGCATCTTGGATAAAGGATAATCAATCTGTACAAGGTTTCCTTTGGTTCTTAGGGTAAATCTCATTAGGGATGTATAGTCAAATACAGTTGACCCTTGAACAACACAGGTTTGAACAGTGCAGGTTCACTTACACACGGATTTTTTTCAATAAAAGACCAAGCGTGCTTGCCTCTCCTGCCTCCCCTTCCATCTCCTTCACTTCTTGTGCCTCTAATACCCCTGAAACAGCAAGACCAACCCCTCTTCTTCCGTTCCTACTCCTCAGCCTACTTAACATGAAGATGGTGAGAATGAAGACCTTCAAGATGATCCACTTCCACTTAATGAACAGTAAATATATTTTCTCTTCCTTGTGATTTTCTTAACATTTTCTTTTCTATAGATTATAAGAATACAATATAAAATACATATATAAAATATGTATTAACCAACTGTTTATGTTATCATAAGGCTGCCAGTCAATAGTGGGCTATTAGTAGTTAAGTTTTTGAGGAGTCAAAAGTTATATGTGGATTTTAAACTGTGTAGGGAGTTGGCACCCCTAACTTCCATGCTGTTCAAGGGTCAACTGTAATTGTGTTTTAAAGTCATTTGGAATAATTCCTCTTGATAATTCCCCTTGGTATGGTTATGCTACCAACTGAATACATAGGCTCATTTAATTTTAAGTAGAAACTGCTTTATTAAAAATTTTGTGTAATTGTGCAAAATATTTACTTGGTTTCAAAGTCAAATTGAAAAAATAATGTAGATTCAAGGAACCTAGCTTCATTCCTTGTCCTCTCCACCCCATTTTCTTTCCTCTATGGAAAACCATTTAAAAATATTTTTAAGATTTAGTCTTTCATTTTAAAATATCTTTTTCTCTACATATATCCACTCTTCCCTTGCCATTTTTTAAAAAAGATAAATAGTATCCTAAGATATTATTTTTTTCCACTTTTTCTCCTCCACTTGATATCCTGGAGATTTTATTCCACTGAAATGGTCCTTGTTCTTTTTGACAGCTGCAGAAGCCTCCACTGTGTGGAAGCCTCCACTGTGTGGATGTTCACACATAATGTACATCCACAGGGAACTTTTCATTTAATCACTCCGCTACTGCTGGGCATTTGGGTTGTTTCCAATTTGCTACAAATCAGGTTACAATAAACAGCCTCATTCAAAAGTATTTTTGTTTTAATGTTTTTGCCAATGCATTTTTGGGAATAGTTACTAAAAGTAGAATTGCTGGCTAAAAGGGTAAATGAATGTATAATTTTGCTAGATATAGTCAGTTTCTTCCCTGTAAAGGTCATCCATTTCTTTCTTTCTTTTTTTTTTTTTTTTTGAGACAGAGTCTCATTCTGTTGCCCAGGCTGAAGTGCAGGGGTGCAATCTTGGCTCACTGAAACCTCCGCCTCCCAGTTCAAGTGATTCTCCTGCCTCAGCCTCTCAAGTAGCTGGGATTACAGGTGCTTGCCACCAAGCCTAGCTAATTATTTTTATTTTTTTATTTTTAATGAAGATGGGGTTTCACCATGTTAGCCAGGCTGGTTTAGAACTCCTGACCTCAAGTGATCCACCTGCCTTGGCTTCCCAAAGTGGTAAGATTACAGGCGTGAGCTACTGTGCCCGGCCCATTTCACATTTTCATTAGCAATGTATGGCAGTGTGTTTCCCCACAGTCTAAGAGGTTTTAGTCTTATAAAACTTCTGAATTTTTGCCAGTGTGATGGGTGAAAAATATCTCAATGTAGTGTGGTTTTGATTTGTTCTTTTTCTAGCTTTTTGAGATAGAAGCATAGATCACTGACGTTCATCTCCTCTCCCCTTTCTGTTTTAAACTAATATATCCATTTAGGATACAAACTTCCCTCAAGTATTGCTTTAACTGCATCCCACATGTGCTGATATACCATATCTTTTACACTGTATCATTCATTTCAAAATATTTTCTAATTCCCTTTGTGCTTTTTTCATTGACCCATGGATTATTTAGAGGTGTAGTGCTTAATGTTACCAAAACAGGTGAAGATTTTCTTTCTTTTTTTTTTTTTAGATGGAGTCTCGCCCTGTCGCTCAGGCTGGAGTGCAGTGGAGTGATCACAGCTCACTGCAACCTCTGCTTCCCAGGTTCAAGCAATTCTCCTGCCTCAGCCTCCCAAGTAGCTGGGATTACAGGCACGCACCACCGCACATGGTTAATTTTTGTATTTTTAGTAGAGATGGGGTTTCATCATGTTGGCCAGGCTGGTCTCGATCTCCTGACCTCAGGTGATCTGCAGGTCTTGGCCTCCCAAAGTGCTGGGATTACAAGCTTGAGCCACCGCACCCAGACTGGAGATTTACTATCTCTTCTTTTGTTTCTGATCTTTTTTTTTTTTTTTTTAGCTTAATTCCACTATGGTGAGAACACATACTGTAAATGATTTAAATGTGTTAAAATTTAACTGAGGCTTAATTTATGACTCAGGTTATGATCAAGATGGTAAATGTTCCATGTGGCTTTTTAAAAATGAGTAGTTTGTCACAGTTGATATCAACATTATAGAAATATCAGTTAGGTCAAGTTTGCTTTTTAGTAAGATGATTTATATTTTTACTGATTTTTTTGTCTGCTTAATTCTATCACCTATTGAGAGGTATGTAAAATTCCACTAAGACTGCAGATTTATGTTTAATATTTGTTATAGAACTTAAAACTATGCTATTAGTTACATATAAATTTACAACTTTCTATATCCCTAGTGATCATTTTATCATTATGAAATGTCTGTCTTTAACTGTAGTAATGCTTCTTACCTTAAATTCCATATTATCTGATATTAGTATAACTACACCAACTTCCTTTTTACTTGTATTTGCATGATATATCTTTTTTCTTTTCTGAAACAGGGTCTCACTTTGTCACCCAGGCTGGAGGGAAATGGTACAATCATAGCTCACTGCAGCCTCAAACTCCTAGGCTCAGGATTCTCCTGCCTCAGCCTCCAGAGTAGGTATGCTACTATGCTTGGCTAGGTTGGTTTGTTTGCTTTTTTTAGTAGAGATGGTCTCTGTTGTTCAGGCTATTCTCAAACTCCTGGTCTCAAGCAATCCTCCTGTCTTAGCCTCCCAAAATGCTGGGATTACAGGCATGATCCACTGTGCCTGGCTGATATATCTTTTTAAAATTTGTTTAATTTTAACTGTTGTATATTTTATATTTAAAAGCACACAATTTGGTTCATATTTGAAAACCCAGTTGATAATGTCAGTACTCCAGTACCTGAAGTACTTAGTCCTTTTATATTTATTCTGCTTACTGATATATTAGGTTTATCTGTCATTTTACTATTTGCCTTCCATTTCACACATTCCTTTTGTCCTCCTTTGTCTCTTTTTAAAAATTGATCAAATGTTTATTACTCCTTTTCCTTTAATTATACATGTTTTGCTCTTAAGTGGTTAGCCTAGAGATTGCAACTTGCATCTTCAACCTATTACACACTGAAAATACGTATTATTACTTTAATTTCATTACTTTCTTGATAATGCTAAAACCTAGCACTTTATCCGTGAATACTCATGGGAAGTTGATCTCATGTTAACCTTTTGGCTTCGAAATCTTCCCCCGTGGGAAGGGATGAAAGCTGGAGACAAACTTATGCTGAGAGAAGCTGTCCACTCCTCTCCGCTGTCCATAAATTGGACTTGACCAGAAACCAAACTGCAGCTGGGCTGGTTGGCAAAAATGATTTTGCCTTGGTGCAGCTGATGCATTAGGCCAAACTAGGCATTGATGACGGGCTGGGGGTGGGAAGGAGACAAGCACATGAGCTTGAGAATTTATGTCTGCGACTGGGTCTGTGATAGGACAAAGTGGGTGGAGCAGACGGCTGGCTCTGACCAAGCTGAGCTGCCTGCTCATCCAATGTAATGTCTACGAGCCTCTACCTGAGGAAGTGGGGGACAAAAGTAGGGGAATTACTCTACAGCAGCCCACATGGTTACATAGGACTATGTGGTAACCTGGCATACAAGCTGGTGCAGTGGCAATGGCAGCAGCTTGATGCAAGTCTAGGGCCACCGGTGGAGCCCTCTGAGCTGCAGCCTGAGTCGCGTCCTGAATGTTCTGATAGTGCAGGTGGATCAGGTGGATTTAATCCTAAAATAGAGTCTGGTTAATGCCAACTGCTGACAGTTAGTGACAATTAATGTCAATGTGAACTCAAAAACTCCCTAAGGAGACAATTAGAGATGGGCTTTTGAAGAAATAATAAATAATGACTAGTATTTTAAAGGCTGAAGCTAAAAGAACATGGGGACCCTTTAGTAAACAGGAAAGGGGCACTTTTACTTTGTTATCACTGCCATTGAATAAGGCATTGGTTTTAACGTGGGGTCCTCAGGTCAGCAGTATCACCCAGTATCACCTGGGAACTTATTAGATATGTAAATTCTCAAGCCTCACCCTAAAGCTACTGAGCTAGGAAGTAAGTCATAGGGCACCAACAATTTGTGTTTTAACAAGGCCTCCAGGTAATTCCTATCTACCCTAAAGTTTTAACTCAAGGTCGTGGAAGTCCGTCCGTGAGCCTAAAATGGAAAACAATGTTGGATGAAACTTCTAGCTTTATTTCCCTAAATATCTAATATCTGTTACAGGTAACATATGGTAAAAAATAACACTGGTTGGTAAACCTATCTGGACTGAGATGATTGTAAATAAACTACAAATACCTGATGAAAAGCCACAGCTTTGAGCTTCTGAGTGTCACGGTTCTTATAGCCAAGCCATGTCCCTCTCCAGGACTCTATGCTCATGAGGCTATTACAAAAGATATTGATTCTTTATTGGAACTTAGGGTATCTAAACTAGGGTAGTTCCCACAATTAATAAATTGATTTGTTCCCTTCTATCTGAACTGACACTTGGCAGAAAATGCGGGTGGGCAGAGAATGGCCCCTGGACTAAGGTGCGAACTATGTGAGGGCTCACTCTGGAGGTATACCTCTGATGCTGCTGCAGCGGCATGAATGTGAAATGTCTAACTGGTCCTAGGACTATCTAACGTGGTCAGTACAGTTCCCTTCTGCCTTTTATTGTTTTATTATCAATGATATTTCATTTTTATTTCAGTTCCCATCTGCCTTTTATTGTTTTATTATTGTTGTCATACATTTTTACTTTGGAAGATGTTACCGTCCATATTTTGTAAAGCCATCCTCATTTCTCTGTCTCCTCGAACATTTACCCTTTCTGTGGCTTTTTGTTCTTTCCTATATTTCTGAGCCTCCATGTGGGATAGTTTTCCTTCTGCCTGAAAAAATCCTTTACTGATTTTTTAGTACAATCTGTTGGTAAAAGCATCTTCCAGCTTTTAGTGGTCTAAAATCTTTATTTAACTTTCATTTTTAAAAAGTGAGGTATAACTTACATAAACAAATGCTCAGATCCTAAGTGTAACATTCACTTTCGACAATTAAGTAACAAAGACACAGAAATATCCAACACTCCAGAAAGTTCTTTCATGCGGTATTCCAGTCAATACCTTCCCCCACGAAGTAATCACTGATCTGATTTCTATCCCTATATGTTATTTCCCCCTATTCTGGAATTTCATATAGTTAGAATCTTAACTATGCATTTTTTTGTTACCAACTTCTTTTGTGAGAATAATATTGAGATTCGTCAATGTTGTGGATGTTGGTTCTTTTTTGCTGAACAGTATCCACCATCTCAATAGACCACTGTTTACCTATTCTTCTATTGATGGGCACCTCACTGTTACCAGTTTTATTGGCTATTATGAATAAAGCTGCTGTAAATATTTTTTTTCCAAGTATTTTGTGGTCATATGTTTTCATGTCTCTTTGATACATTTCTAGCAGCAAAATTACTGGGTCATGTATATATATGTAACTCTTTAATAAACTGACAAACTGTTTTCCAAAATAATCATATTATTTTCTACTCCCACTAGCAACATATGAGGGTTCCAGTTGCTCCACATCCTCTCCAACATTTGTCATTATCAGTCTTTTTCACTGTCTAGCCCTTCTACAGGGTATGAACTGGTATTTCACTGGGGTTTTGTTTTTCATTTCTAGATGACTAATACACTGGGTACTTTTAAAATGTAATTACTACACATATATTGTGTTTTGTGAAACATCTATTCACAAAACTCACCTTTAAAAAATTGCGTTGTCTTTTTAAAAATTACTAAATTGTAGTTCTTTATATATTTTGAACTCAAGTCCATCATATATACGTATTGTGAATATTTTCTTTAAGTCTGTGTCTATTTTCTTAAGTGTCTGTTGAAGATACATTTTATTTTTTTTTAAGCTGGAGTGCAGTGGCACAATCATAGCTCATTACATCCTCAAAGTCCTGGGCTCAAGCAATCCTCCCAACTCAGCCTCCTGTGTAGCTAGGACTACAGGCGTTGCTGGCTGATTTTTAAATTTTTTGTAGAGATGGGGTCTTGCTATGTTGCCCTGGTTGGTCTTGAACTCCTGGCTTCAAGTAATCCTTCTGTTTTGGCCTCCCAAGGTGATGGGATTGGAGGTGTCAGCCACCATGCCCAGCTGAGAAATTTTAATGAAGTCCAACTTACCAATTTTTTTTTCTTGTATAGTTCATGTTTTCTAAGAAGTCTCTGCCTACACCAAGAACTTAAAGAGAACATCTTATGTTTTGCTCTGGTAGCTTTATTGCTTTAGCTTTACTTTTATGTCTATAATTTATCTCAAGTTGATTTTTCTGGATGATGTGAGGTATGGGTTTTTTCTTCTATATGCATATCCATGCATTCCAGACATACTTATTACAGAGATTTTACTTCATTCAAATGCTGTCGTGCCCTTTGAGAAAATCATTTGACCATCTATGTAAAGGTTTATTCTTGGCCTCTCTCTTTTGTTCCACTGTTCTATTGGTCTATCATTTTGCCAATAACATACATAATGATTACTTTATTTGCTTCATTTTTAAAGGATATTTGCAGGGTACAGAGGTCTAGGTTGGTGCTGTTTTCTTCCAGCAATTGAAATGTCACTTTGTTGTCTTCTGGTTCCATTGCTCCTGCTGAGAAGTCAGCTGTCAGTCTTGGACATTTGAAAGTGAGTTCTTTTCTCTATCTTTTAAGATTCTATTCTCTGTCTTTTGTTTTTGGCAATTTGCTATGATATTCTAGTAAGGCTTCTTTGTATTTAAATCTGTGGATCACACACTTTGAGTCTGTGAAATAATGTCTTTCATAATTCTTAGGAAATAAATTCTGAGCCATTACCTCTTCAAACCTTGCTCCTGCCTTGTTCTCTCTCCTCTTCTCCTGGGATTCTGTATGTTGGATTTTTTTTTTTTTTGGATGTGTCCCACATGTCCTTTATTGCCTTATCTCCCCTCTGCCTCCACAAATTCCTTTATGTCTTTATATATCAGTTTGGATATTTTCTACTAAAAATGATTTTCTTCTTCATCTTCAGTTTGGATATTTTCTAATAACCTGTTTTGACCTATCTTTCATCTTTTCTGCTGTGACTAATCATCTGTTCTACTGTTCTACTTGTTATTGTAGTGAAAACGCATAAAATTTATCTTAACCATTCTAAGTACACAGTTCAGTAGTGTTTAGTATATTCACATCATGTAACCAACCTTCAGAACTTCTTCGTCTGGGAAAACAAACTCAATATCCATTAAACAACTTTTCACACCCCCTTCCTCCCAGTTGCTGGCAACAATCATTCTATTTTCTGTCTCTATGAATATGACTACTCTAGATACCTCACATAAGTGGAATCATTCAGTATTGGCCTTTTTGTGACTGGCTTATTTCACTTACCGTTAATTCCTCAAGATTCCTCCATGTTGTAGCATGTGTTGGAATTTCCTTCCTTTTTAAGGCTGTATTCATAGTGTGTATATCCCATATTTTGTTTATCCATTCATCTGTGGATGGGCACACAGATGGCTTCCACCTCTTGGCTACTGTGAATGGTATAGCTATGAACATGGATGTGCAAATATTTCTTTGGAATTCTGCTTTCAATTCTTTTGGATATATATCCAGGAGTGGAACTGCTGAATCATATAGTAATTCAATGTTTAATTATTTGAGAAACTGTGATACTGTTTTCCATAGTGGCTGCATCATTTTTTTTTGTTAGTTTTTATTTCATAATCATAAACTTAACTCTGCAATCCAGCTATACGTGGAGGGACATAATGAAAATATAGAACTCAAAGAACTGCAGTGAGAGCACAAATATTATAGGATATTGTGAGCGAATGGGGTGGAACGGTGCTCTCCTGAGCTACAAAAGGAAAGGTCTGGTGGTTAAGATAAAACACAAGTCAAATTTATCAGAGTTGTCTGCAGTTGGCAATGGCGATCTTGCTTGTCTTGCCATTCCTGGACCCAAAGCATTCCATGGCTTCCACAATATTCATGCCCTCTTTCACCCTGCCAAAGATCACATGCTTGCCATCCCACCATTTGGCCATGGCAGTGCAGATGAAAAACTGGGACTCATTTGTTTTGGGTGCAGCATTTGCCATGGACAAGATGCCAAGACCTGTATGCTTCACAATAAAGTTCTTATCATCAAATTTATCCCCGTAGATGGACTTGCCACCAATGCCATTATGGGGTGTGAAGTCATCACCCTGGCATATAAACTCCGGAATAATTCTGTGAAAGCAGGAACCAAATCCTTTGTCTTTATTGTTCAGAGTGTGAAAGTTTTCTCCTGTCTTTGGAAATTTGTCTGCAAATAGCTGAAAGGAGATGTGTCCTAAGGGCTTGCTGTTGATGGTGATGTTGAAGGGCACAGTCGGGATGACCATGGCCTAGTGACAGGGGGTGTTGGGGGACAGCAGTGTCTGCAAAGCCAGCTGCATCATTTTATATTCCCACCAACAGTGCACAGGTGTTCTAATTTCTACATCCTTGCCAATGCTTATTAATTTTATGTTTTTAATAGTGGCCATCCTAATTGGTGTGACATGATATCTCGTTGTGGTTTGATTTGCATTTTCCTGATGATTTGTGGTATTGAGCATATTTGCATATGCTTGTTGGCTGTTTGCATATCATCTTTGGAGAAATGACCATTCAAGTCCTTTGTATATTTTTTAATTGGGTTATTTTGTTTTTAATTTGTACAAGTTGTTTATATAATTTGGAAATATTAACCCTTTATTAGATGTATGACTTGCAAATATTTTCTCCTAGTCTGTAGGCTGTCTTTTCACTCTGTTAATTGTGTCCTCTGATGCCCAGAAGTTTTAAACTTTAATATAGTCCACTTTGTCTATTTTTACATTTGTTGCCTGTGCTTTTGGTGTCATATCCAAGAAATACATATATTGTCTTAATGCTTTTTTCCTCTGTTTTCTTCCAAGAGTTGTACAGTTTTAGGTCTTACACTTAGGTCTTTGGACCATTTTGAGTTAACTTTTGCCTATGATATAAGGTAAGGGTCCAACTTCATTCTTTTGCATATGAATATACAGTTTCCCTAACACCACTTTTTGAAGAGACCATCTTTTCCCCATTGAATGGTCTTGGTACCCGTGTGGAAAATTATTTGATTATATACATGAGGGTTTATTTTTGGGCTCGCCATTGTCTAATTTGATTTTATACCCATCAATTGAGTTCTTAATTTCAGTTATTGCAATTCTCAGCTCTAGAATATCCATTTGATTCTTTTTATCCCCCACAAGTTCCAATTATCTGGGGGGAAATTTCCCTTTTATTTATTTTCTCCCTGTCTTCTATTTTCTTGAACAATTATCATTGTTATTTCAAGTCCTGGTCTTAACTCCACTGCCTGAATCATCTGTGAGTATATTTCTATTGTCTGCCCTTTCTCTTGGTTTTCAATCCCATCTCTTGAATGTCTAGTATAATTTTACTAAAAGCTTGACATTGTGTCTAAGAAGTTGTAGAACCTCCATATGATGTTATCTTCTAAAGACAGCATTCATACATTCTTTAGCTTGGCAAGTAGACAATAAACTTAATTCAATAGCTGACTGAATTTGGGCTGCTATGACATTGTGTAAAGGCTACAGTTGGCAATGGTGATCTTCTTGCTGGTCTTGCCATTCCTAGAACCAAAGTTCACTTACCCTTAGTTTTGTCCCTTCTTAAAAGGCACCAATCTCCAGACTTTCCAAATGAAATCCCCAGACAGTCACCAAAAGCCTCTTGTCCTCACTGCTGGGTCTTGAACTCTAATACTAGCTTCCTAAAAATGGTTTTTCATAGCTTTCTACTTGGCTTTCTGGTCTCTTGTGCTTTGTAGCTTCAGAATTTGCCAATGTATTGTGAAGGGTACTAGGCTCACATCTCTGTCCTTCCCTTCTCAGCAGGACCTTAGCCTTTCTAGTATCCAATCTTATTTCTCTAGCCCTGCATGACTTTTAAAGGCTGTTGGTTTCTCTGCCCAGATCAGCCTCCTGTATTGTAGCAGATCATTCTCTCTTTAAAAAAAAAAGCTTGCATTTCCATTTTTTTCCTCTTTATAATTCCGTTTGACAATTTTCCATAATTTTCTGCTTTCATTTTCTTTTCTGCTGCATCTAGTCCATTTTTCTAAGATTGTTGACCTTCTTCCTTCCCTGTAAAAGCTCCTTAGAAATTAGGTTTAAAATCCCTTTATCTGTAATATAATTTGAAAATACTGTTCCCAGCTTTTCATTTTGTTCATTGCGCCTGTTTGAAATGCAAGTTTTTTTAAAAAAAGTTAGTTATTCATCTTTTTCCTTAGTGTGTATGAATTTTGAGTCTATTAGGAAATTTTCCCTACATCCAAGTTACAGGGAAATTCCCATGCATTTTATTTGTACTTGTATGAAGTCATTTTGTTACATTTATTTTAATCTCTGATCCACTTAAAATTTATCTTGGTGTGTAGTAGAAGGAATGGATGTAATTTTTTTTTTTTTTTTGAGATGGAGTCTCACTCTATCGCCCAAGCTGGAGTGCAGCAGCATGATCTCAGCTCACTGCAACCTCTGCCTCCCAGGTTCAAGCGATTCTTCTGCCCCACCCTCCCGAGTACCCGGCATTACAGGCGTGCACCACCACGCCCAGCTAATTTTTTTTTGTATTTTTAGTACAGATGGAGTTTCATCATGTTGGCCAGGCTGGTCTTGAACTCCTGACCTCAGGTGATCCACCCGCCTCAGCCTCCCAAAGTGCTGGGATTATAGGCAGGAGCCACCACGCCCCGTGGAATGGATATAATTTTATCTTTTCCCCTATTTAGCATTAAAACATACATTTCCTTTCACTGATGAGATGCTGCCTTTACAGTATTCGAAATTGCCATATGCAATTAGTCTTTTATTCTTTCCCATTGGTTTGTGCATTCATGCAGCAATATCAAACTACATTAATTAAAGGCTTCATGTATGTTTAATGTCTTCTAGGTTAAATCCTCCTCTTCTCCCACTGTTCTTTTTTTCAGTTTCTCTAATTATTCTTGATTGTTTCTTCTTTGAGATAAACTTAAACAATTATTAATAGCTTGCCTGGCACCAGAAAATAACATGGCATTTTTATTGTTATTGCATTAAAATGACAAACTAACTTAAGAGAACTGATATTATATGATGCTGAGACTTCACATGCAAGAACATGGTTAAGTCTTTCCATTTGTTCAAGCCTAGTTTTGTATTTTTCAGAAGAGTTTTAAATTTTGGAGATTAAAAAAAAAATTGCCTAAGGTATTTTCTTTTAAAATTCTCTTACAACTTCTGTTTTTTTAAATTGTATATATGAAAGCTATTTATTTTTGTATGATATTTTTATTTTGTATGCTATTTTTATTTTGTAAGCTATTTTTATTTTGTATGATTTCTGGCTTAATCTGTATTGGTCAATATCCATTTCCATGCTAAGAAATTTAAATCTTTGGAAATTTGTTAAGGCCTTTTTTATGGCTCAGTCATATGTTAAGTGTTCACATATGATAAATGTTCCTTCCTTGTGCATGTAAAAGAATGAATTTTGGGCCGGGCACGGTGGCTTACAGCTGTAATCCCAGCAATTTGTGAGGCTGAGGCGGGTGGATCATGAGGTCAGGAGTTTGAGACCAGCCTGGCCAATATGGTGAAACCCCGTCTCTATTAAAACATACAAAAATTCCTGGGTGTGGTGGCGCACGCCTGTAGTCCCAGCTACTTGGGAGGCTGAGGCAGGAGAATCACTTGAACCTGGGAGGCAGAGGTTGCAGTGAGCCAAGATAGCACCACTGCACTTCAGCCTGGGCAATAGAGTGAGACTCTGTCTCAAAAAAAAAAAAGAATTTTGTCACTGCTGGATTCAGTGCTTACATATGGCAGCTAGGTTCAGTTTGTAATTGTGGTGTTTTTGGTCTGCTACAATAATAACTGCTATCAGTTATTATAATTTTATTCAAATCTACTTTGATTGGGAATATGTCTATTTCTTCTGCCAGTTATGTCAATGTTTACCTTATATATTTTAGATTATGTTCTTTGGTGCATACAGTTTACAGAACATACCTACCTTGTGAATTAAATCTATATTACTTTCCTATAGCTACTGTGACAAATTAACACATACTTGGTGGTTTAAAACAATAAAAATCTATTCCTTCACAGCTCTTAAGGCAGGAGGTCCAAAATCAATATCATTGGGTCAAAGTCAATGTGTCAGCAGGGCTGTGCTCCCTTCAGAGGATCTAGAGAATCTGTTACTTCCCTCTTCTGGTTTCTCGTGGCTGCTGGCATTCCTTGGCTTGTGGCTGCATAACTCTGCCTCTATTGTCACACAGCCTTCTACTCTTCAGGATTAAGTCTCTGTCTCCTTCTTTATAAGAATACATGTGATTGGCTTTAGGACCCAACTGGATAATCCAGGATAATCGCTCCATCTCCAGATCCTCAATTTTATCTGCAAAGTCCTCTTCTTTCCATACTGTGTATGTATATAGTTTTCACAGGTTCCAGGGATTAGAACGTGGATATCTTTGTAGGGGGGCACTATTCAGCCTGCCACAGATCCCTTTAGTGTTATAAAATATTCCACTTTAACTCCAGTAATGCTTCTTATTATAAAGTTTACTTTTTCTGACAAGGGTATAGTTATATAGCCGTTTTTTTTTTTTTTTTAATCTAGCCTACATTTAATTCTTAAGTTACACAGTCTTCCTCCATGTAACTACTGATGTGCTTGGGTCTATATTCGCCATTGTACTATTTGTGCTCTACTTTTATGTACCTTTATCTTCCCTTGACTTCCTTTGGATTAATCAAATGTTCTACATGATTCCATTTTCCTTCTATTAAGTTACATTTAAAAATAATTTTTAGTTGTTAGCCTAGAGTTTAAAACATGCTTTTTTACTTATTAAGGCCAATGCAAATTATTACTTTTACTACTTGGCTGATACCAATTAAGCCTTAGGACTTTTAAACTCTATTTGCTTCCCTCTCATCATTTAAGTTATTGCTACCATGAATTTTAGATATACAGTACATAAAATTGAAACTCCTCAGGGTGTACCATTATTATTTTGTACAGTTACTATTCATTTACATATGTTTCCCAGTGTTCTTCATTCTTTCTTCCAAGTCCATATTTCTATCTTGGATTATTTTCCTGATAAACTTCCTTTACTTTTTCAGTGCAGGCCTACTGGTGCCAAATTGTCTCTGTTTTTGTTTGTTTGAACACATATTTGTTTTGCCTTAATCTTTTAAGAACATTTTGGCTGGTTTAGAATTCTAAGCCTGCAGTTTTCTTATTCTAGCACTTTAAACATGTTGTTACAATGGCTTCTAGTTTTTTTTTTTTTTTTTTTTTTTTTTGAGACGGAGTTTCGCTCTGTCGCCCAGGCCGGACTGCGGACTGCAGTGGCGCAATCTCGGCTCACTGCAAGCTCCGCTTCCCGGGTTCACGCCATTCTCCTGCCTCAGCCTCCCGAGTAGCCGGGACTACAGGCGCCCGCCACTGCGCCCGGCTAATTTTTTGTATTTTTAGTAGAGGCGGGGTTTCACCTTGTTAGCCAGGACGGTCTCAATCTCCTGACCTCCTGATCCACCCGCCTCGGCCTCCCAAAGTGCTGGGATTACAGGCGTGAGCCACCGCGCCCGGCCGGCTTCTAGTTTTTATCATTTCTGTTTAAAAGCTAACAGTCTCATTGTTGCAACTGTGAAGGCAACTGGTGAATTAACGATGGGACACATATTCTTTGTCACTACCATCAGGTAGAGGATATTTTCCCTGCCTGTAATTTTGAGCAGGCCCCGGGACTTGCTTTGAAAGGCAGCATGGATGAAGTAGTGCTGTTTCAGTTTTATGCACAGGCTCTAAGAGGCCTAGCCCAGATGCTTCTGCTTTCACCCTCTTGGAGCCCTCAGTCATCATGTGAAATGGCCCAGGACCCTGCTGGAGAGGGAACTGCAGCTGTGCCAGAGCTAATGCAGCCACCCCAGTTGAGGCCCCAGACATTTGAGTAAAGCCATCTTTGGTGGAGTCCCCACATGTCTGCAGTTGCATAAATGACTCCAGGTGAGACCAGAAGAAATGCCCAGCTGAGTCCAGTTCAGACAGTAGAATCTTAAGCAAAGAATAGTTTTGTTTTAAGGTAGTAAATTTTGGGGTGATTTGTTAGGCAGAAAAAGATAACTGAAATAGTATTTGGTATTTAAACAGGGCATTGCCATGACAGAAACTTAAGACATGTAGCACTAGTTTGGGGACTGGGTTATAGACATTTGGTGGAAGAGCAGCAAAGAGACTACTAACGGAGGCTGGAAAACCACTGAGGAAATTGGTATTTCAGGCTGGACAGAAGCCATGTAATCTACTGACAAAACAAGTGAGACAGTATCTTGGAAGATAGAAAAAGTACCTATTGAAGTTATAGATCTGGCTAAGGTTTCCAGGAAAAATGCTGAAAGTGATAAGCAATTTTTCAAAAAACACCTGTAGAAAGGTATTAAAAGAGAGAAGAACTAAACAAGGAACTGCTCAGTTTCAAGCAGAATTTAGAGGAAAATACTTTCAACCTGGGACTTGCAGGGTTACAAAATAAAACTTTCTCGTTACCAGCTTCTTCAGCAAAAGGTTCTGAAGTTAAAAAAAAAAAAATCCAGGGTGTTAACTGTAAGATTATGGTCTGAGGATCAAGATAAAATAAAGCACATGCAATACAACCTTGTTACTACTACAGATGCTCCCTGACTTACAATGGGGTTATGTCTTGATAAACCCATCGTAAGCTGAAAATATTAAGTTGAATAGTACACGTAACCTACCATACATCATAGCTTAACCTGTCATTGCTTAAATGTGCTCAGAACACTTGCATTATGTTATATTGAACAAAGTAATCTAACACAAAGCCTATTTTATAATGAAGTGCTGAATATTTCATGATTTACTGAATACTGTACTGAATGTAAAAAATAGAATGGTTGTATGGGTACTTGAAGTATGGTTGCTACTGAATGCATATAGCTTTCATACCATCCTAAAGTAAAAGAATTCTAAGTTGAACCATCATAAGTGGACGACCACCTGTACTTCAGAAAGATTTAAGCCAGTGTCTAGCTGACGCTCTCAGGTAGACAAAAGACATATATGACTCTAAAGGGTATCATTCCCTGATTGACATTCAAAGTACATAGAGGACTTCTTGAAGAAATTTGTGGGTGTGGCTTCTCTCTGGTGGAGTGAGTGGTTTATAATTTGAAAGTCCACAAAGCTTTTTAAAGAAGTTGTGCCAGTGTGGATAACTGTGCCAGTTGGGACAGAGCCTAGAAGCAGGCTGAGAAAGCTACAAAAAGAGGACATTTCTCATGGAAAAGGAAAGACAGCTCAAAGAAAAAAGTCAAGAACTGAGAAAAAGAAAAGGGAGCCAACTTCAGAGAACCAAAGTAGACTAATCAAATGTTCCCTACCCCTGGAATTGGGGGAATTGGTGACATATAGGCAGATGGATTTCACAACTGCCATGGGATTGCTACATGCCTTCAATTTCCTCTCTTGTAAACTTAGTCAATTCATGTGACATCGTATCCTTGCCATAACAATGTAGGTTGTATGTGCGGGGGTGGATAGGACCAATAACTTTTTTTTAATTCATAGGTTTACAGTTGAAGAGAAGCTGTATCTGAGGAGTCTCTTCCATACACAGGAATTCTCTCTTATCTGAGGGGAATATGTTCCAAGACCCCCGGTGTATGCCTGAAACTGTGGATAGTACCGAACCTTATACAAACTATTCGAACCTTATACAAACTATTATTTTTTCCTATATACATACCCATGATAAAGTTTAATTTATAAATTAGACACAGTAAGAGATTAATAATAATAAAACAGAACAATTAAAATAATACACTGTAATAGAAGTTGTGTGGATGTGGTCTGCATCTTTCTCTACCTCAAAATGTCTTATTAATACTGTACTCATCTATTTTTGAACCTCAGTTGACTGTGGGTAACTGAAAACTGTGGAAAGCGAAACCACAGTTGAGGGGGAACTACTGTACACAAGTAGACTCTGAGCCTGATGCCATAATTGGATGGGACTGTGGGGTTCTTGGGGTGGGTGTCATTTTGCATGTCGGAGGAATTTAAGCAATGTGAGCCAGTAGGAAGACTCAGGCAAATGAGAGATGCCCTAAAATTCTATCTGCCCTCCTCTTCACCCATGTCTTATCAAGAAGTGAAGTTCTATCTGTTTCCTTGAATCTCAGCTGGCTTTGTGATGACTGGCTCTGACCAACAAGAATGCAGTTGAAATGATGCTCTATGAGTTTCTAGGCTTTGAGAAGCCAGGCAGATTCTGTTTTTCACCCTTCTGAAGCCCTGACCCATCACGTGCTTATTACTGTGCCAGAGAGACCATGGGGAGCTGGAGAGACCAGATGGACTTGGAGGGATCACATGGTACTTAAGAGACCATGTAGAGATGGAGCCTGGACAGCTCCCACTCTTCCAGGCTTCCCCAGAGGCACCAAACATGAGAGTCAAGAGCTCTTGTGTGTGTAGCCCCAGCAACATAAGTGACTTCACGTGAGATCAGCAGAAGAAGTGCCCGGCTGAGCCCAGCCCAGACAGCAGAATTACAAACAAATAAGTGGCTGTTAAGTTCTGTAATAGTAAACAGCCATTTGTTTGTTTGTAACAATAGGTAACTGATACAGAAATAATATTTTTCCTCCTGGCTCTTAAGCTTTTAATTTTCCTAGATGTGCTTTTCATTGTACCTATTCTGCTTGGGGTCTGCTGAGCTTCTAGAATCTGTAGGCTACCTTTCATCCATTTTGGAACATTCTAGCCCATTTCTTCAAATATCACTTCTGCCCGATTCTGTTACTTCTCTATCTCCCAGACCCTAATTATATGTATGTTAGATCTTTGGAGTTTTTCCATCACGTTTCTTATGCTCTTATCAATCCCCACACTCCCTTATTTTCTCTGTGGTTCTGTCTGTATATTTTTCTAGTTCACCAATTCTGGGCTGTGCTCTGTTCAATCTGTTATTAAACCCATTCAATGAGTTTTCATTACTGTACTTTTAAGTTCTAGAATGCTTATCTGATTTTTAAAGTAGTTTTTAGTTCTCTGGTGAAAAGGTACTTTTTTCATCTACTTTCTTCATCTTTTCCCTTATTTTTGTGAATATATTAATTGTAGTTATCTTAAAGTCCTTGTCCACTGAGTATAATATCTCTATTATCTGTAAATCTACTCCTATTGTCTGCACTTTGCCTTATTATCAACCATACATTCTTGCTTCTTTGCATATCTAGTATTTTTTTCTAAAAATTGTATTCTGGTCTTTCTGTATAAAAGAATCACAGCGGCTCCAGATATTATACTTCATCAGGGCAGTTTTTCCCTTAATTCTATTAGGCAAAGAGGTCGTAAGACTGATCAACTCATTCCTGCCTGATAATGTTAAGTTGGGGCATACAGTTTGGCAAGACTCAATCTGTCTGGGTCATTCCTGTTCCTCTGCTGTGGCACTCCAGGAATTCTGATTAGGAACTAATCTAGACCTAATGCTAGATAAGGAACTAATCTAGATCTAATCAGAATCCCCAGAGTGCCACAACTGAGGAACAGGAATGACCTCAGGTGTCTAGTAGGTAGGTGTTTGTCTCCTCAGCCCAAAAGACTTTTTCCTGTTAGAGATCCCCAGCTCACTTCAGTCTCCCATCCAAGTAGTATTAAGATGAAAGTCCTGAGGGGAAAAAGCCATATGCTTATGGCTGGCTCTGTTACCCAGCATCTCCTTATTTCCTAAGCAGTGTGAGATGGAGAGATTTCACTCTACCGTTCCTAAGTTTTGAGCCTAATCCCCCAGACTCCTGTGTGGCCTTAGTTCTAATCGAAATGCTCCTTGGAAAAAAAACTGGTCATGTGTTTGATTTCCAATCTGTTAATTCCACCTGGAACAACTGCTAAAAGCTTTACTTCTTTCTCTTTTTCCTCAGTAATGGCTTTCTCCCTACGCTAAGGCCAGTTCTTAGCTCACACCCTGAATCAACAAGTGCTGGGGGCATAGGCAGGGAGACACAGCTGGCAATCACCAGCTCACTTTGGAAAGGTTCTTCTGTCACTAGCAATTTAGTTCTTTCATATCTTGTTGCTTGCCTAGTTTTGTGATAGCTTTAAAAACATGATTTTAGAAGTTTATCTGGTTCATTCAAGTTACTGTAATGCACTGACCTGCCTTGACCTACTACATCCTAACTGGAATATTACTTTTACAGGTGTATTAACTTTTAATGTTATTTGACTAAATTCTTGTATTCTTTGTAGTTGCTTTTCCATGGATTCTTTTGGGTTTTCCAGACATATGATTTTATTAGATACAGTAGGCAGTCTGAATGCCTTTGTCTATATTAATACATTCAAACTCATGTTGAGTAGTAGTAGATAGAGTGGACATTCTTGTCTGGTTCTTGACTTCAGTGGAAAAGCATTTAGAAGGCGCCTAGTAAGGTCCTGGCTTTTCTGCTAAGTGGTGTGTGTGTGTGTGTGTGTGTGTGTGTGTGTGTTATTGTGCTAAGAAAAGTATCAATTCTTAGGGTTCTTAAACTAAGTTGGTACTGAATATATCCAATGTTTGCACAAGTCTGGATATAATTATATGATTTTTTCCCCTCTATCAATATGAAGGATATTAACGGTTTCCAAATAGTAAATCAATTCAGTATTCCTAGAATAGCCTTTTAGTCATGATGTATTTTTCAAAATATGCTGTTAGATTATGTTTGCTACTATTTTACTACTTTTGAATTGTTAACAAGAGAAATAGGTTAGTAGTTTTATTTTTTGGTGTCATTTTTTTCAGATTTGGGGAACAATGATATGTTTTCTTTGTAAAATACATTTTCTTTTTTTGATACTCTGAAATATAGCAGCATTGGAAATTTTTGGTCTTTAACGGTTTGTAAAAGTCCTCTGTGAAGTATCTGGGCCTAGTGTGCTTTTTGGTTGGAATTAACTATTTTTTCCATTTCTTCTATGGCAATCTTTCTGATTTAGATGCTGTTTCTACTGAGAAATAATATTTTTAGAAAACTACAGTGCAGCATTTTTTCTGCATTGTAGTTTTCTAAAAAATATTATTTCACCTAAGTTTTCAAACCTATTTGAATAAATTATATGTTTTGGTTAAAGTAGTCTGATTCTCTAAGCTTCCTATTTTTATGGTCATGTCCCCCTGCCTTTCGAATTTTATTTTGGCAATCTCCTTTTCCTTTATTAGGTTAGCTAATGATGTATCCATTTTATTGATATATACCTCAAACTCAACTTTTGGATGCATTGTTTCTACTGATTTTCTGTATAATTAATGCATCCTTTTTCTTTGTTAATTCTTTTGCTTTTAGTTTATTTTTTCATCCTGGTTTTGGGTGTTTATATCTTTTCTTCTTATTTTTCATTTTTACTGACACAGTACTTAATGCTATGCAAATTTCTCTGAAAACTGTTTTAGTCTGTTCTACAGACTGTTATTTTGTTTTCATGTATCTTCAAGAAATTCTAAATTTCTTATTTTCTCTTTGACTCAGCTGTTTAAATGACATGTTTTAGAATTTCCAGGTAGGAGGGCTTTTATATTGTTAGTTATTATTATTATTATTATTATTTTTTGCATTCTGGCCAGAAAATGCTACTTTTATTTTCTTCCTTGGAATTTGTTCACTGCTCTGATATAATTTTCATGAATGAATATTCTATGTTCAAATGACAAAAAGATGTATTTTCTATAATCAAAGTTCAGAGTTTGATATATCTAATAAGATCTACCTTACTGATTATGCTATTTAGGTCTTTATATCCTTATTAATTTTTTGTCTGGTATTATGTGGTATATTTTAATCTGTTTCTCTGAATCTCCCTGAGTCTCTGCTTTATGACATTTGTTTCTGGATACATAAATACTAATTATTATTACAAATTTATTGTAAACTGTAGTCTTTAGCATTTTAAAGTATATTTCTTTGTCATGTCAAGCTTTTTGATCTAAGTTTTTCCTTGTTAGGTATGGAGATCATAAACTTTGCTCTCTTATTTGCATTTGCCTTGTATGCTTTATCCATTCTTTTATTTTTATCTTAAATCTTGTTAAATTTTATTTGGATATTTCTCGAATACAGCATAATGTTTGGCTATGCTTTGTTAAACAATTTGAAAATATTGTTCTTTTAATAGTTAAGGTAAGAACATTTGCAATTATGGATATAATTGTTTGTCCTTGGTCCCTTGAATCCATCTGTTTAATATGTGTACATGTGTATTCTTTTACTATATTGTCTATCTTATTTGCATACTATTTTCAGGTTATCTTTTGGTATTTAGGAAGGCTTGTATTGTATCTATAGAGTAAGGCCTTTATATAATACCATTACTCTCCCTTCCTTCATACTTTTTTTGGGCTATATTCTGTTGGTCCCCTACTATGAACAGTATGGAAATTACCTGATAACCTTTTCTTACATTTCTACCTTTCCTCTCCACCAGCATTTAATTTGAAGTACCATTCTTTAATTCCCAACCAGTATCTATTAAGTAATCAGTGAGCTTATTTTACCTTTCATATATTCTCCTATTCTCTCACCATTTTTTGATAATTGTACTATACCTACATTTTCAGAGCTCAAACAATCCCCAACTTAGGATTTTTCAACTTTATGACAATGTGAAAGCAATGGGTATACAGTAGAAAGCAGTACAACACTCTTGCGAGCTGTAGCTGCCAGTCAGCCACATGATCACAAGGGTAAACAGCTGATACTCTATAATATACTGTGCTGCCAGATGATTTTACCCAACTGTAGGCTAATATAAGTGTTCTGAACACATTTAAAAAAGGCTAGGCTAAGCTATAATGTTTGGTAGGTTAGGTGTACTAAATGCATTTCGACCTATGGTATTTTCAACTTAACAATGGTTTATCAGGATGTAACCCCATGGTAAGCTGAGGAGCTTCCATAACATACGATACTGTCTTGCCTCTCTTAGAGCCATTATTCAGTCTTGGCTCTATAGACAAATATATAATGCTTGCTACTAGTCCCTTATACCAATGCTGCTCTGGTCATTTTGGCTGTCTGAAGCTTATCTCTAGACAGTCTTCTCAAGAAGGGGCTCATGGAAACAATATTTGTTACATGTTAATGGCAATTTGTCTGTGGACTCTATATTGATGGTCAGTTTGGTAGCATATAAAATCCATAGCTCCTCTTTTTTTATTCTTTAAGTATTCTAAATATGTTACTCCATTGTCTTCTGGAATCAAGAGTTGCTGTTGAAAAATCTGATTATATTTTCTTTCTTTCTCTCTTTTTTTTTTCTTCCAAGATGGAGTAATTTTGCTTCAATAAGCACTGCTGTTGACTGTTCTGGATCAGTTTTCTATGGCACACAGTGCACCCTTTTAACAAAATATATTTTATAGAAATAGAATAAGACTCAAATCTTATTTATTTGAATCTAGAGCTTAAAATATGTTTCTAACATGTTATCTTCAATTTTTCTTTAACTCTCTTATTTTCGTCACTTGTCACTTCTGTCCTCTATGTCCCTTTCTGTGTTTGTGATGTATTCCTCTTGCTGCTCCTTCCAATTTTGTCGTCAGTTCTGTGACAAAATTTTTCTACTACTGACCTGTTTGGCCTGGCACTCAAGTTTAATATATTTCAGTTTTCTATCTCCTGTTTTTATATCCATTGCTAATCTTTCTCCTGTGTTTTTATATTTTTGCTTTGTGATCTTTATTTATGCAGGCGAATTTTTTTTTCTTTTTGAGACAGGGTCTCACTCTGTTGCCCAGGCTGGAGTGCAGTGGCATGATCATAGCTTACTGCAACCTCAACTTTCTGGGCTCAAGCGATCCTTCCACCTCAATCTCTCAAGTAGCTGAGACTACAGGTGTGTGTGAGCATTTTAATTTTTTTGTAGAGATAGGGTCTCGCTATGTTGCCCAGGCTGGCTCAAACTCCTGGGCTCAAATGATCCTCCTGCCTTGTCCACCAAAGTGCTGGGATTACAGGCATGAGCCACTGTGCCTGGCCTAATATTTTAATCCATGGAGAAAAGTTCAGTCTGAATTATAATGTGTTCCATTACAATATTTTCCTGCTGTGTGTTCTTTAGTAAGTTTTGCTGCTTTTTCCTATGGTTTTCATTCATTCACTCATTCATTCATTCATTCATTCATTATTTATTGAGACAGAGTCTCACTCTGTCACCCAGGCTGGAGTGCAGTGGCGCGATCTTGGCTCACTGCAACCTCCGCCTCCTGGGTTAGCACTGATTCTCCTGCCTCACTCTCTCAAGTAGCTGGGATTACAGGTGCGTGCCACCGCACCCGGCTGATTTTTGTATTTTTAGTAGAGATGGGGTTTCACCATGTTGGCCAGGCTGGTCTTGAACCCCTGTCCTCAAGTGATCCACCTGCCTTGGCCTTCCAAAGTGCTGGGATTACAGGTGTGAGCCACCGGGCCCGACCGGTTTTCTTTTATTTTTGTATCAGTGCTGTGTCTGCTCTGTTTTTATTACTCAGGATTTTCCTGGTTGGGCTACCTGTAGAAAGTTCCTTCAGGTAGTAGAATTTTGCTGACGTTTTCTGAAATTGCTAACCCTGCCTGAATTCTGCTACAATTCATCCTGTATGTTTTTTGTGTGGATCATAACCACTTTTGGCAATCCTTACTTTTTTTGAAGTCTGGGGATCATGTGTTTGCCCTAGTTTCATTATAACTGGAGTCTGCTGATGATTTTTCCATGTGCGATACTCGGAAGATGAAGGAAGTTGCTATCTCACAGTGTCGCATTCATACTTGAAGTTGGGTTGATTGTTTAAATGACTATGTTAAATTAGCTCTTTAATATTATACAGTAATAAAGTAGAGAGATTCTTAGCCATAAAGTAATAAAATTAAATTAAAAAACCCCTCCTCTTTACACAAATATCACACAGAGGAAGAAAAGGAGTCTTAGAACCTCTCAATGATATTTTCTGTAGGCTCTACGAAAATGCAATTTGGTAAATATTTTGTTTCATGATTTCAAGAGAAAAGACATTTCAAAGTGTGTTTCCCATCCATCATCCAAAATACCAAATATTCTTCACCATCAGAAGAATATCTGACTTATTTCATATACCTAGATTCCATGGTTTCCAATACTACCACCTCTATACACACATACTGGGGTAAAGAAGAGAAAACTGACTAGGTAAGTTTCACCACAGAAAGCAGGCAAAGAGACAGAAAAGAATATTACCCAAGTGATAGAAAAAGCGACTGAAACATTCTGAGGGGAGTTATTTCACATTATCCTTTTAGCCACCAAGTGCTAAGTAACTAACAGAAGAGGTTACAGACACTTAGGAGCAAATAACTTAGAAAAGAAGTTAGAAGGAGGGCAATTGTTTCCAGCTTTTCTGTGGGGTGACTTACCTTTTCCAAAACTTTGGCAATTCGGGTGCCAATCTGTTCAAGCGACTGTTGTGGATATTGGTCTTTGCCGAGATTTTGTAATACCTGGAAGGAAGGAAGATAGTAGATTAGAAGAATGAAAACGATGCAGGATCTAGATGATACTGCTAATGCTGAGTTGGGCACTGTACCACAGAGGCAAACTGTTTTTCTGGGATACATGCTGTGGTCCTATTGGTAAGGTAATCTATGGAAGACACATTTAAGGCTGTTTTATCATCCCCTCAGCTCTCCCACATTTAACAAAAATTACAGAATGTAAAACACATTCATTATAGCAACACTAGAACACAGAGTAAATGAAATAAACTATGTGTAATCTTGTCATTCAGACATGTAAAGACATATAGAGAGGTATTAACAACCACTTTTAATACCTTTATATGTCTTTCAGATATTTTTCTATGTACATTTTTTTCTCACAAAATATTGAATTACACTGTATACTGTTACCTATGTTTTCACATTATATATTGTGAAAATTTATTCAGGTCAATAAGAATATTTCTATATATTTTCTAATGGTGCCACTGTATACTATCTTACATCTAACCAAAATTTATTTAACCAATCCTCTACTGTTGGATACTTGTGATGTGTTTTTCCAATTCTTCTAGGTATATGCTTTGCTAGGTATATATTGGGTCTGCTTTCCTTACCCTTCCTTCTTAAAAATGTCAACAGGAGAATTAACTGCCCCATACATTTTTCTCAAGAGTTGGTATTTGATGGCAAGGCAGAACTACCCCCCTTGAGGGGTAAATCAGAATTAAAATTCCATGGTCATAAAGAAAAAAAGAATAATAAGCTCAGTCCCAGGGCCTGAAAGAAATCAGGCTTGGCCCAAACCCACCTAGGTGATGCCTAACTGAAAAAAGCCCCTATTTTTTTTTAAAAGGCCCGGTCACCTGGGCTTTCTATGTAGTATCAATGTGCATCCTAACTGTGAGGCTAAAAAACAGCCTGAACAAAGCCGAGCACTCACCTCTGTTAACTGACTCTCCCCTGTGTAGTGCAGGCTGGCTCGGTTGGAAACCCCATGCAAGTGGTCCAGGGTATGCATACTCGTGGGGAGATTGCCATTGCAAAGAGGCTCCATTGCTGGCTGCTGTATAGGGGTGGCAAAATCTATGTGTTCTGTGATGCTGAAAAATGGAGATTACCACATTAGCTATGGGAAATTTTTGAGTGGGTGGGAAGAGAAGAGAGACAGCATTAACAATCAAGGAGAGACAGCATTAACAATCAGCTCATCATAGCTTCAACATGCTATCCCCTGATTTTAAACGAAGTAAGTTTTCTTCTAGGATTTCTTCTTCCAAGATATAAGTGGTGATAAATACCCACAACTAGTTATATCTTTTAGTTTTCTTTTATGCACAGCAGCACATTCCTCCCCACAGAAAAAGTTACCTAAAGCTTAGACAGTAAATCTTATAGAGATACAGCCGTACATTGTATTTAGGTGTAAGACTAAGTACTTCCTTTCATTTTCCCACCATATACAAGCTTACTATTATAGACTATCATATGCACTAATATGACAAATTGGCACTGCCATGTTTTACTTGCAGCTATTTAAAAAGTCTAACAATTATTAGGCAAACATTCACTCATTATTTATTTAGAGCCTATTACATGTCAGATACAAGGACTATAATAATGAGTAAAACAACATAGTTAGTCCCTGCTGTTACCATGTTCATTCTCTTGTGAGTGATTCATTTATTACATGTGGTAAGTTATAAAAGATAAAATATGGTGCAATGATAATACACTCCAGGAGGATATATGTTGCCTCTGCACTGGTGGAGGAGGGTAGCTAGTGAAGGATTCTGTGGAGGTAAGATTAAGTTGAGGCCAGAAGGTTTAGTATGAATTAACCAGCTGAGAACCCACAGTGAGAACAATGCCACAGACAAAGGAGACACCACGTGTGACAGCCCTGGCAGGAGAGAGGGCAAAAGAGAGGATGAAAAAACAGGCAGGGAGCAGATCAAGAAAGGCTTTATGGTCCACTTTAAATAGCATTAAGAATTTCCTAGAGTGCTTTAAGAATGATTTGACTTATATTTGAAGAATTCTGAGTACTGTGGAGAGAATAGATTGAACAGAGGCAAGAGTGAACAGAGCAAGAGGACCAGCTAGGAAGTACTGGATGAACCGACGTAGGGATGGTTATGCTCTGGTTTGAGGAGGCAGCAATGGGGATGGAGAAAAGTAGGTGGTTTTGAAAAATACTCAGGGAGTAAAAGTGCTAAGAATTGGTAACAGGCTGAATTTGAAGAGCAAGGGAGGAAAATCATTAAGGATAACTCCCAGGTTTTTGGCCTAAGCATTACTGGAGCTATTTACTAAAAATAGGAAAAGAAAAAACAAAACAAAAAAAAACAATAATTTTTTAATATGGAGAGTGGGCAAGAAAATTATGACTTTAGTTTTCCCGAGCATGGGTTGCCTGAGTGCAATCTAGACAGACAGGTCAGGGAGACAGACAAATGAGTTGAACGCATTGTAAAAAGATCTGGTCTGGAGATTCAAGTTTGGGAGCTGTTAGTACATCTTTGTGTTGATTGGAATTTTGGGAGTAGATCAGTCTGACTAGAAGTGATTACAAAATAAGAAGGCTTAGTGGTAAATCCTGGGGAACTCCAACACTTAAAGGGTAGAAAAGGGGTCAGCAAAAGAGAGCGAGTGTCCAGTGAGGAAAAAGCAGTTATCAGAGGCATCTACTATGTCTTGGTAGGTGTTTGCAAATCTGGATTTGCTCTGGCTCCCTTACAACTGCATGATATTCATGACAAACCATGGGTTTTGTGCTTCTATAGAGAGGATCCAGTCTTCAATTCAAACTAAGCAGGTTATACATGGCTGCTAGATAGCTTACAAAGGACAGGTGAAGGCACCGGGAAGGGGGGCACACTCACTGCTTTGCTACAATGGGTTGGGTCCACCTGGGGGCCATGGTCAGCATGGTCATCCTTTGAAAATTCAGCTCTAGAAAGGATAACTCTTCTACTAGCTGCTAAGAGGGGATCCTTAAAGTCAGCTGGGTTCAATGGGACTCAAATGCCATAAAGGAGGGAGAGGCTTAACATACTTACTCAATGTTTTTTGAAGAAACTGCAAGCCAGGTACTCACGATGGCAGTCAGCTCTACCCAGCGGAGTTTGAGGCATTCGTCCGGGCTGGGCCATCCCAGACGCTGGTAGTCACGTTTTTTTCCTGGAAGGAAAGTATGCCATGAATCCACACAATTGCAAAGGAAGAGAACCCAAAGGGCCTTATGCCCTGGTGATTACTTCACCTGGATTGGTGTATTTGGAGGTGCTAGTCATTCCTGTAGTCTTTAACATTTCCCCCATCTATGATCTAATTAAAATCTCGTCATTATGCAATGGAACTAAAGATCATCTCTGAGTAAAGATAGGTGGAGAAGTAAGAATAAATGAGTCCTTTGCTAGATTTAAGATTGATCAACATGAAATAAGGGGTTAAGGCATTCTTCAATGTTAACATTCTTACCAAACTTAATTTTTGCCCCTCTGTATTTTGATTTTATAAAGACAACTCCAACTTAGTAGAAACATTTATCTCTAAAGCAGGGTTTCTCAACCTGGTATTATTGGCATTTTGGGCTGGATAATTTTTTGAGGGACCTGTCCTGTGCATTGGAGGGTGTTTAGCATCATCTTTGGCCTTCACCCACTGGATGGTGGTAGCACTGTTCCCCAGATATAACAACAAAAATGTCTCCAGATATTGCCAAATGTCCACACCCAGTAGAGAGAACCACTACTATAAAGAAGAGCAGCAGGGAGTAATGATGTTAATGAAAGATTATCATCTCCTCCCAGCCCCCACCACACCACCACAGTCCAAGAACCAGCCTGGTTATCAACTATTTGAAGAGCACTTCCTGTGTATTCAGATCCCATGCTAAGTGCTTTACATCCTTAACCTCATGTGGTTAAGTTTTTTCCATTTTTCTTTTTTTAACCTCATGTGGTTAAGTTTTTTCCATTTTTCTTTTTTTAAGTTAGAGACAGCACCTTGCTTTCTTGCCCAGGCTAGAGTGCCGTGGCATGATACTAGCTTTCTGGAGCCTTAACCTCCTGGACTCAAGTGATCCTCCCACCCTGGCCTCCCAAAGTGCTGGGATTACAGATGTGAGCCACTGCATCTGGCCTGAAGTAGGTTTTAACCCTCATTTCTCAGATGAGAAAACAGAGACTCAGAGAGACTAAGTGACTTGTCCAGGTCACCTGGCTAGCAACTGGCAGAGCTAGGAGTCTGTTTGACTCTAACGTGTATGTTCCCAATCAACAAGCTATTTAAAGCTACAAAAAAATTTAAAGCTCTGTTTATTAATATCCTTCGTAAGTACCACCTTTTGGGTGTGGGCCCTTTACTTACATCAAATCCCCAAGAAAAGAGCAGAACTGTCTTGTCTGGGAAGGGTTTTCTGAAGGAGTTATAATGGAATAGGCAGGAAGGAGAACTTTAGTTCTGTATAGCGCTTTTTATATTATAGGAATTTACGAACAGTAGAAAACTGTTTGAGGTACAGGCAGGGGTTTAGATTGAGATTTTAACAAAACAGAAAGGAACAGTTTTGGAAGAGTTTCAAATTAACTCTGTTTAAATTAATAACTTAAATAAGCCATAATTTTCACAAAAAATCTTAATTTTCTTTTACATTTAATAATTTCATTTGAAAAATATTTATTGAGCACCTGTTATAAGGGGCTGAGAACCATAAAAGACACTAGGGGTACAGAAAGGAATAATTAAGACGGCCTGCTCTTGAGCTCACAGTCTAGTAAGGAAGGTAAACATAAACAAATCATTACAATACAACAGGAAAAGAGCTAGAGCGAAGATATAGAACAATTGCACAGAGGAAAGAGTAACTAATTCTGCCTGAAGGTAACAAGGAAGAGATGGCACTTGATTTTGAAGTTTAAGGATGAGTGATATTTTAGCACGGCAGAGGGCAGAGGGGGCACAGGGCATTCCAGGCAGAGGGAATAGCATGTGCAAAGGCACTGAGGTAAAAACATGAGCATGGTTGGTTCAGAGAATGGTGTTGAAGGGTACACAGAGGCGGGCTGTAAAGGGTCTTGTACACCACACTAGGAAGTTTGAATTTTATCCTGTAGGCAATGGGAAGGCTTCAAGCCCACATCTCTCCATCTGGTTCACAAGGATATCATAAGAGGCTCTGTTAAATGCCTTGCTGAAATCCAGTTACATTATGTCTATGGCACTTTCCTGGTCTTCCAGTCTAGTAGCCCTAACCAAAAAAGGAAATGAAATTAGTTAAGCATTATTATTAGTTCTTAGAAAATCTACAATGGCTCTTAATGATCTCCATTTTTCCCCCATGGGCTCACAAACTATTTAATACTTTGCTTTATAACTTGGTTAGGATTCATCATGAAGCTGATTAGTTAGCAGTGAATAGAATCCATACTAATTTGAAAATTGGGTTTTTGAATCTCTCTAGTATTTCTGTCCTCTATGCTTTAGAGCTTTTCACTTTAATGCCAATAAGTAGTTCCATAATCTCATTTGCAAGTACATTCAATGCCCTACTTGGGCCCACCAACTTGAATACATTTAAAACTGCTTAAGTGCTCTCGTATCATCTCAACCATATTCGGCTTTAGTTTTCACTTTTATAATAAATTTTTAGTTTTTTGTTTATAAAAGTAATATAGGCTTATTGTAAAATATTTAGAAAATGGAAAAGTCATACAGAAGAAAATAAAAATCACCTATAGCTCTGTTAGCACCCAGAGATGACCGTTTATAACATTTTGATGTATTTCATGCTAGTTTTGTTTCTATGTGCTTGTTTATTATACCATATTTCATCAAATCTAAGATGCTGCCAACTGTAAACATACATTATTTTACAGGATTTAAGAAAGAAAAACAGTGGCAATTATTATATAAGATACTATCAACTGTAAGATGTATTCCAATTTCAGAGATATTGAAATGTGAAAAAAATGTAGTTGATGAAATATAGCATAATGATTAAGGTATTCTCTACATTTACTACTTTATAAATTGCTTTTCTTTACTTACTATATTACCAATATCTTGAGTGCATATTATGCAGCATAGATGTGTTATGATTTATTTAGGCAATTACAACATTTATGTTGTTTACAAATTTTTATTATAAGCAATCCCATGATCAATAATCTTTCTACTTACATCTATGGCACTTGTAAGATGATTTACTTAGGGTAAATTACTAGAAGTAGAATAACTGGTATATTTTTAAATTTTCTGATGCGTCTAGTCAGACTGCCGCAAAATTCACTTCAGTTAAATAAAATGTGTGTTACACATTTAAAAACAATTTGATAATCAAAACTGGTATCTTACTGTTTATGTCTGCGCTCCTCTGATTGCTGATGAGGTTGAATATCTTCTCAAGTTTAGCGGCCATCTGTGTGTGTGTGTGTGTGTGTGTGTGTGTGTGTGTGTATGTATTTGGTGAACTGCCTATGTACGCTGCACGTATTTTACTGAAATACTGTATGTTTCATATTGATTTGTAGGTGCTCTTTAAATGATATTGATACCCTCTGCTTATCATATATTCTGTAAATATATACAAAAATAATCTACAAAAAAACTTTGCTTCAGTCCTTTGTCTTATTTTGTGGTACTTTCCAGTGTCAGAATTATTATTTTCTTTCCCTCTCTCTGCCTTAGAAAGTTCTTTCCACATGGAAAGAGCATGTAAATATTCACCTAATTTTTCTTCCTTTATGATTTATTACACATAATGTTAAATCCACTGGAATTTGCATTTCCATAATGTTTTAGAGTTTGAACATTTTTTTCATTGATACAGAAGATAGACTGGTTTCTTGACCACACTTTGCCCCTTTATCATCTCATCTGAACTATTTCAAGTTACAAATACAACCTTTGTGAGAAATGAGATAGTGACATCTAAAACAAGAAACTGGCATATTAAACATTCAAATTTACCTTGTGGCCCAGGAGATGCCACCTTGGGGCCAGTGATCTCTAGGTTTGCTTGGTAACGATGTCCATTTTCTATCTGACCTGTTTCTACTTTTTTCCCAGGAGTTTTCTTATGATCTCCTTTGGGTTTCTTTACACGTTTGACCTGGAATGTAATCTGGGAAACAGAAACATGTTAGGGACAAATGAGACCAGTGATCAAATCTGTCAATGATTTGTGAATACTAGTTTAAGAATAACCAAGTACTGTGCTCAGGTTAAGTTCTCTCCTTGAGTTTAATTCTTAAAGACCTAAATAAAAAATGGTTAGTGAAATGAACAAAATAACCTAGTCTCGAAGAATGTATAGAAGAAACCGAAAAGAAAGATGTCTGAACTGGACAGTTCCAAGTCTGCAGGCTCTGACAGTGGCTTCACACCCATCCCATTTCCTCCTGCCTTCCAGAAGAGCCAGCAATACATAAGTAACATGAAATGCTTCCTCCCAATAAAATTCCAATGTGAAGGCTGTCCTGGAGTGCATAGCCAAGTAGTGCCACATATCCAACAGAAACTTCCCACTTTGCATATTAGGATCCCCTGAAAGGCATGGGCTACAATTTTGTGAGAATTAAGTTGGCAAACTTACCCATTCTGTTGCTTCATCATCTTCACTTCTGCAGTCTCCATAGCAAGAGCTTCTGGCCACTCCATCCTGGGGACCTTTCTTCAGCACCCGTATTCCTTGTAAGTCTAGACGCCGCCCTTTCATCTCTAGTGCACCCCCAAAGCCTTCCAAAGGCCATGCCTGTTGAAATTCATCCACCAAAGCCAGTATTTCTTCTGACATTTTGGTTTCATCTGAATTCTCCATCTCATCAGAACCATTGCTCTCCTCAACCACCGTACCTGAAATTCAAGGGCCAGCACGTTAGTAAAAGGTACACAGTACTCATTCAAGACCTTGGGTGACTCCAACCCTGCTTTTGGAGAAACGTTTTGGCTCTGCTTAGAGGCACTACTATAGCCCAATGTAATAAAAATTCCATTCAGCATCTTCAAAATACATAATAAAATACCAACTTTGTCATCTAGCGTTTGCCAAAAGCCTGGCTGAGAACAGTGGCAGCTAGAGAGCAGGCAGTCAGAGATTCTGTTATTAGCGAGCATGGGGACAGGTATGTGATACACTATTTTTTAAAAAAGATCCACTTGCTCTACATTCAAAACATAGATGGCAAGGATGAAGCTTATTATGTTATTTAATATATGGGATTCTTCAAGGTTTATTCAAGTATCTGGACATAGCTGTGTGTCCAGACCATATAGCTGGCTTAATTGCCTTAATTGAAAAATGATTTGTTTAATGGAAAACTATCCTAATTCTACATGAAGGCTCCCATTTTTCACTAAATGGCTGATATAAGAAATAGCAATATACTACAATAATTTCTTTCTAAAATGATTACCAAGATATTATTTAGGTGGCTCAAGTCTCTTACATAAAGACTCCTATGGAAGACTCTCAGTGTAATGGCCTAGCAAAAATTCTCTCTCCTGAGAACTCAGTATGTTTCCTTTATTATCCAATGAAGGTTACACAGCCCTCTTGAGTTCTCCTCTAAGCTTGAATAACAAGGAAGCTCAGGCAAAATTAGCCCGAGTTTCTTAATAGAAGGCTTTCTTTTAAAAAATTCTTCACTACTTAACTTTTCCTGTTTATTTTGAATTGGCTGGATGTTACACTGTGCATTCCATGAAAGTCATCCCTAGTCCCTTTAGGAAGTAGATAGGGTACAAGAACAAATAACAAAATGTCTCCTTTTGTAACATGTACCCACAGGAAAACCTGAGAGCTCTGGGTTGATACCTCACAAAATGCCAGTTTCATTATTCTAGTGCAATAATCTTCAGTTGGTAATTCTGGCTTGTTCAGGGATTTAGAACATGGTATTATAGCCATGCACCACATAATGAAGTTCTGGTCAATGATGAACTGCATATACCATGGTGGTGCCATAAAATTATAATACTGTATTTCCCCTGTACCTTTTCTGCATTTAAATATGTTTAGAGACACAAATATTTACCATTGTGTTACGCTTGCCTACGGTATTGCAGTACATAAACATGCTGTAGAGGTTTGTAGCCTAGGAGCAAGAAGCTACACAATATAACGCGGGAGTGCAGTAGGCTATACCACCTAGCTTTGTGTAAGTAAGTACAGTACACTCTATGATGTTCCCACGACGGCAAAATCACCCAAGGACGCATTTCCTAGAACATATCCCTGTCGTTAAGCAACACATTGGAAAAAATTCATGCTGTTTAGCTACGAAGAGTTCTGCAAACCCAGTAACCCAAGGTGATTGCTTCCTTGTGCTCCTACCATATGGTAATATTTATCGTTATTTAAAAATTCTGAGAGAGAGGGGCTTTCATTAATGGAAACTGATATTCAAATGAAGAGAGAATATGGAGCTTGCTGAAGGCTTCTGTTGCTGGTAGCCATTAAGCTTTTCTAAAGGCTGCTGGGGTTGGGGCGAAAGCAATTCCTAAAAAAACAACACTAAATATGTACATATTTTTATATTTTCTCCTCACAGGTGAAGAATAAGTAGATTATAAGTGTGCTCTGAGTTAGCAAAAAATAAACCAAACTTTATTGACAGCCTACTATATGTCTATCTCTGTAAGCTGTAGGTGGGAACAAAAAAAAATGGAAAGTTTCTAACCTTAAGAAATGAAATATAATGAATTTATAATCAAGTTGGAGACAGACAACTACATACATGAAATAATAAGAGAAAAATTAATTTTTTTTTAGAGGGAAAAAATATTTGCATGTAATCACAAAATGCTTCTTAGAGAAAGGCGGACTACCTGAGACAGGATTTAAACAGATAAGAGTAGAGGGTCAGGGAGGTCACTCCCCATAGGGACTTTTTTTTTTTTTTTGAGATAGAGTCTTGTTCTGTTGCCCAGGCTGGAGCGCAATGCAGTGGTGTGATCTCAGCTCACTTAAACCTCTGCCTCCTGGGATCAAGTGATTCTCCTGCCTCAGCCTCCCAGGTAGCTGGGATTATAGGCGCAGGCCACCACACCTGGCTACTTTTTTTGTATTTTTGTAGAGATGGGGTTTTGCTATGTTGGCCAGGCTGGTCTTGAACTCCTGGTCTCAGGTGATCCGCCCACCTCAGGCTCTCTAAGTGCTTGGATTCAGGTGTGAGCTACTGCATCCAGCCTTCCAGAGTTAACAATTTTTTTTTTTTAAAGCATGTATGCATAGACTCATTTGTCTACACACATACATACAGGGATAGTAAAGGCACATGTGAGGGCATTACCAATTTCAAATTAATTAGAATAAAGAATGTATACAGGGGATAGTAACAAATAAGATACTGAGGAAAAGGTAGGTGATGTTACAAATGTGTGGGAAAGTCACGAAGAGGATTTGTTGTAAAGGGAGCCTCTTGTTTCTTAAACAGAAGAATAACAGGATGAGGGCCATAATAATTACAAAGGTTAAAGTCTTAGAGTAGTAAATCAGTTTGTGTATCGGAACTGGGGTGTTGGACAAGGAAAGAGAAGACAGAAGACAAAGAGACCAATTAGAAAGGTATTGAATAATCTTTATAAGAGTTACAGAAGTAGGTTGTCTTAAGGTAAAGGGAAAAGGAATCTTTAAAAAAGAGAGGGTAAAGAGGTATACAAGGAAATGTTAATGGAGAAAAATTAGTAATAGGATAGGCTCAAAGGTGATTTCAAGATTTTTCAGTCTAATGTGAAAAACTGGGATTTTTAATATATGACTATAGGTTTAGAATCTGTGAATATGTAAACAGAATGATATTTATAAAGACAATGGAGTTAGGAAAGGGCAACAGGATAAAGAGTTGGAATTGTAGACACTTGTCATTAATTCATGAAAATGTTTGTTGCTGTATCTAGCAATGTGCTGAGGGCTGGGGTTGTAACAACCCATGGAACTTACAGTCTAGACAAGAATGGATGGAGGAATGTATCTTCAGATATTGTCCTATATAGAACACTGTCCTACACAACTGTCCTATACAGCTGAAAATACCGAATTCTGGTTTGGTGAAAGGTCTGGATTGTAGAGAGATCTCAGAAGGTTTCAAATTATGCTTGAAGCAAGAGGAATAAGTAAATCTTAGGCTTGCTGCTTGTAGGACAGATGGTATGATATAAACTGAAAACAGAGCCTATTTTTTCTTGATTTTCGTTACCAAGCACCATTTTCACACTGGGAAGAAGAATAAATATTGTGAAGTTGGAGAGAATGTGAGCATCCACAGTGAGGTTTATATGAGTTCACATCCTTTACTGAGATGAAGCCTATTCCAGGGTAGTGGGAAGGTTTATACTTGTATCTGAGCCATATTAGGTACTATCAAGAATCACAGGGACTAGGAGAAGTGTTAAGAGATGAAGCTACGGGCTGGGTGCGGTGGCTCACGCCTGTAATCCCAGCACTTTGGGAGGTCGAGACGGGAGGATCACCTGAGGTCAGGAGTTCGAGACCAGCCTGGCCAACATGGTGAAACCCTGTCTCTATTAAAAAATACAAAAATTAGCCCAGGGGTGGTGGTGGGCACCTATAGTCCCAGCCACCTCGGGAGGCTGAGGCAGGAGAATGGCATGAACCCAGGAGGCAGAGCTTGCAGTGAGCTGAGATTGCGCCACTGTACTCCAGCCTGGGCGACACAGCAAGACTCCATCTCAAAAAAAAAAAAAAACCAAAAAAAAACAAGACATGAAGCTATGCATATGTAGTCCTGTTGAAAACAAAAAGAAGCTTGTAATGTTCCACACACATCTGGAGATTCATGTTTAAGTCTGTGCACCTCACTTTAAGAGATATCCAAAGCAGAGCACATTCACAGAAAATATACTTGGCAAAAGTACTCAAAACCACATTAAATGAAGACAGACTGAAGAAGTCGACGGGGATCCAGTGGCAGGAAGAGTAGCTGATATATTGCACCAAAAATTCGGGCTTGAAAAGATTTTGAAAAATTCCAAAGAGATTACTTCAAAGACAATGAAGAGACTAGATGCCATAACATAAGTTATTCAAGGAAGTGAGGACATTTAACTGAAGAGAAGCAAAGACATAGGAAAGGAAGGTAGGCAGGAACAATAACCATCTTCAACGCCTAAGGGAATGTGCTATTAATGAGAAACAAGACTGATGCTGTTAGCCTCATAAGACAAAACTAGAAATGAGAGGCTCAATATTAGGAAAGACTTTTGGATCAAATGACAATGGTTATCCGGGAAGAAACTGGGATCATCATACCTGGAGTAGAAACAGAAGCCAGTTAATGGCTGCAGAGGACACTATTGAGAGGGAGTGGAATATCAGAAGCCAATTAACAGAAGGTGACTATATTTGATAAGAAACAACATTAACAATCTTGGAAGAGAAGTTTCAAGGAGTTTAGGGAGCAGAGGATGGAAAGATGAGTGCTAGATTCAAAACAAGACAGAAGTAAACACAGCCATAGAAAGAGGTAAAGAACACAAATTCAAAGAGATGGCCAACAAAATCTGACCGACAACATCTTCCTCCAGAAAGTCTTGCATGAGTAATATCAATGGGTGCCAGAGTACTTAAGATTGTGGCTTCTGAAGGCAAGTAAGGCACATACTATCTTTAATAACAATACTGTAGAAGGAATATGTCCCTTTGTCTCACAAAAGAGAAAGAGTATTCTAAGGAATTAGACAAACTTGATTCCAAATTAAGATTACCACCATACAGCCGGGCGCTGTGGCTCATGCATTTGGGAGGCCAAGGTGGGTGGATTGCCTGAGCTCAGGACTTTGAGACCAGCCTGGGCAACACAGTGAAACCCCATCTGCACTAAAATACAAAAAAATTAGCTGGGTGTGGTGGCATGCACCTGTAATCCCAGTTACTTGGAAGGCTGAGGCAGGAGAATTGCTTGAACACGGGAAGTGGAGGTTGCAGTGAGCCGAGATCGTGCCATTGCACTCCAGCCTGGGTGACAGAGTGAGACTCCTCAAAAAAAGATTACCACCATAGGGCCTTGGGCAATTCTGTCTTCAGTCCTAGGGTTCTCTTTAAAAGGCAGTGATCTGATTTGAAGTCAGATTGGAAAGCTGCAGATATGCTTACAATTTAACATATAAACAATGACATAAAATTTCAAGCCAGTAATCAGAAAGCGCAAAAGGCTTAGATTAAATCATTCGGATTAAGGTAGGTAGGGAAATCATTCTCTTCTGAGCAGAAAACAATAATCATAAGTATTTGTTGCCACCAGTGGCGTTCTTCCTTTTTTTAGCTGGGTCACTATAGCAAGAGAAAACTGGGAACTCTGAGTAGATAACCCAGAAAAGCAAACAGGGAATCTTTCCTGTAACAATTCTTGTGCAAATGTATTATGGCTCCCTTGAACTGAACAGATGTTTACTGATCATGTACTATGTGTATGTGTTTGTAAAGACTTTGACTCCTGAAGATGCAATTATATCTACATTTGTAGAACATTTACTGGGTTCTGAGTACCAGGCACTAAAATAAATGCTTCCCAAAGTTATTTCATTTAAATACTCAAAACCACTCTATACAGCATTTTTGTTGGTTTGTTTTTAAATAAATGAGGTAAGAAAGGCTCAGGAAGATTAAGTAACTTGCAAATCTGATCAGATTTACATTTTAGAAACAACTCTTTGGACGCACAAAAAGTTAGTTAACAGTGGTTGTTTCCGCCTTTAAAATTCTGTATTGATTACATGTATTCTCTTTCTTCACATACAGACTAAAATAAAAGACTAGATTTAGAGAGCCAAATTAAGACGCTACTGCAATAGTGTAGGCAGAAATGAAGAAAGTCTGAATTCAAGCAGTGGCAGTGGGAATAAATGAAGAGATATAGATGCAACAGGTCTGAGAGACTGACTGGATACAGTGGTGCCTGGGTGAGTTGTGATGTTCTTAAGAGAGATCAGGAATACAGAAATTAGAAGCATTTCAGAAAATAGGGCCAATATGAAGAAGAGTTCAATTTTGGATATGCTACATTTAAGTGCCTATGGCACATCCAGATAAAGAGTACGCTAAAAAAAAAAAGTAGAAATAAGATCTGGAGTTGTAGAGAATGTCTTAGCTGAAATATAGGTCTGGAGACATTGGTGTAGTCAAGGGTATTTGAATCACCAAGAGATAATACATAGAAGGATGAGAATAGAAGGTCAAAGTTAGGATCCTGGATAACCCAACAAATAAAGGGCAGAATAAAGTGTAAGTGAAAGAAATTTTAAAAGATGATGTGTGGATAGAAGAAAGCTAAGAGCAAGTGATATTCCAGAAGCCAAGAGGAAAGGAGAGAGTTTCAAGAAGTGGGGATGAGTTATGCATGGTTCCAGATAGAGTAAAGTGGTCAAGTGGGTGAATACTAAAAAGAAGTCATGCGTTTTGGCAATTCTGATAATCTTAGCAAGAACTGTTTAGTACAATATAGCTCAAAATGTGGGTCATAAAATGGAATCTTAGGAGAGGGCGTAATAGGTAAGCCCACTATTCCAAATCTTCATATTTTACTGGGTTTAATGTAAAAGCAACTTATCTTCCTTTTATAATGATTTACTCAATATACCAGTAACATTAAGAAGACTGATACATAAACAAATCAGATTTGTTCTAGCAACAGAAGACACTGAGGTGTGAACACTTTCACACTAAAGCTTGTCTTCTGCCTCACCACCTAGGGGTCACCCTCATGATGCTACAATATAATGATTGTTAAAGAAGAAAACAAATTCTTAAAAGTAGAGAAAAGCCTAAGCTTAAAGCTTGAGAGTTGATTTTTCCCCAGAAGCACAGCTCAGGTCAAATCAACTTACTTTCAAGTCTAAGGGCATCTGAGTCCCTCCCTGAATTCTCAACAGAGAATACAGGGTCCTCCTCTGTTCCTCTCTCAGAGGGCTCTTCTTCAGCAGCATCCAGTGACTGTGAGTTGTCAAAATATTTCTGTTTGTCATGGCTGTTGTCCAGGGTTTTCTCATGACAATTACCTCAATGACAAGAGACACAGATATAGCACATTAGAAATATCTCTCGTGTAGTACTACAGTACAAGGTCCTAAAATATCAAGAAGAGCAAAAATGTGACAATGCCGGTTTTTCTTCAGCAGAACACACAAAAATCAGTGAGCTGCAGCACCCAAAGCCAGATCATTACTGTGATTCAAGATTTTGCGCTGAAGTTCAAGTTTCAGCTGTAGGCTATTGTCAAGTATTTAGGAGGAGAAAAACAACTGTAACAACAAAGATCAAGCCCCAAGACCTTGTTCCATTCATAATGGCCATGAAATATTTTCTTGAAGTTAGAAATATCATCAAAAAGCTTTCCTTCTATTTGTGAGAAATGACAGGTTAATACCTGGATAAGTCTGAGATAAATTATAGCAGAGAAAAATACTATTTTTGCATCATGGCTTAAAATGAGATATACCAAAAGGTGAGGAATTATTAAAAATTAAAAGCCAAAGAATTAAAGGGGGATGATGGCAGAAAGTCAACAATTAAGGCTGCAATATAACTTTTGGAAATGTTTTGCAATGTTTCTTTTGGAAAACAGGTTCTGGTCATATCAATAAAAATAACTTTCGGCATGTATAGTGGGAATGACCTCTATGGCGACTTTTACCTGTGAGTCAAAGGATTTTGATCCTATTAAGAGTTTTGTGTTAATATGAACCCAAACCCCCACTATTCAGCTATACCTGATGGTCATTCTCTGGGTAGGGGAGTATGTTACCAGATAGTTATATCTAACATGGCAGCAATCTGGCTGACATCTGTCCCTCCTTTGACTACCCTTGATTAGTTCTAGCTGATCTGGCAAGCTGAACAGGTGTCCTCTTTCCCCCTTGTGTTCCATGGACATTGTCAATGAAAATGCATTTTCATTGGAGAATCACAACTTTCCTGTTAGAGGACAATTCTTTGGTTAAGAGTGTGTAAGTAGCTGTTCTCCTTTACCAGAACATTCAAACACATTCTATGTTTAATTTTTAGAGAATGTTGTCTCAAAGATAGACCGATCTATCTATCTATCTATCTATCTATCTATCTATCTATCTATCTATCTATCTATCATCTTATCTGTGTGTACAGATTCACCAAATCAAGCTCTCTCCACATGAGTGGAAACACAAGATGTCTCTTTCTTGACTGATGGCTCTCTTTCAGATTTCACAATTTAAGGAAGTACTTCTAATGCCATCTCCCTTACTGTGCCAAGAAAATGTAATGGACTCAAAACCTTTTCCAACTTAATGACTTTAGAGTAAGGGGACCACATGCTTAGAGAGTCATTTTCCATTTTCCACTTTTACACTATTATACATTGGAGGCTACCATATTTAACAAGACTATGTCAGAAATTGAGGATTCTTTGTTTTAAGAGTTTTAGCTCTCAAGAAATCGACAAACAACTTGGGGAGACAGTAAATACAAGACAGCAAAGAATACTTGTTCCAAATAAGTGCTTCAGAGAATAAGCTTTGAGTAGTTAGAACTCGAATTTTAAAGAATAGGCAGGACTTATAAAAGGGGAACTACATGAAATGGAAGAAATATTTTTTGAATGCTTTATATTTTTTCCTCCACTTTATCCTCATAAAAACCATGTGCATCTTCATTTTAGAAATGAGGAAACCGATTCTCAGTGAAATAAAGTAACTTGCCTAAAGTCAAAAGTAAGTAGTAGATCTGAGATCTGGATCAGGTTTATCTTATTACAAGGCTTCTAGGCTTCCCCCCGCCGATCAGTAGGGAAGGCAGCATTCTAGGCAAGGAAGAATAATGTGTTGGGCAAAGCAACAGGCACAGGAATTCTCATTTGTGTTTGGGAGCAGTGAAAAGTACAACTTGTAAAAGACTGAATGTGGTGTGTGTGTGTGCCCACCCATGAAGGGCTAATGGGAAAGAGGCCATGAGAGTGTGTGTGTGTGTGTGTGTGTGTGTGTGTGTGTGTGTGTGTGTGTGTGTGTGTGTGTGTGTGTCCCCGCCCATGGAGGGCTAATGGGAAAGAAGCCATGAGCAATGGTAGTTGCTTTCTTTCTCCAGATTCTCCTATGACAGGACAGAGGTTGTTAATTTGCCTCCACTTCTATTTTCACCATCTGGTATGTGTAGTTAAGTCAGGGGAGCTAAACATAAGAGCATTAAAATAAAACAGAATAATGACATCAACCAACTCTGCACACCCAATTGAGTATAATTTATTATGAAGAACATCACACTTCTCAGAGACAATTCTTAATTGGGATATAAATAAGCACGACTATTAAAAGCAGAGAGGAAATAATTATGACAATGATGCTGATTAAAGCATTCTTCACATTGATACATGTTGTGTAAAACATTATAAAAGCAAACGACAAACATTTAAGACTGGAACCCAGTGAAACTCTGTGTTTTCTGAAGTTGATTTCCTCCCTCAACATTTGATTCTCTTCTGTTTCTCTCCCACCCTCTGCCCACAGTAAAAATTTAATTGGTCTCATCTTTTTAAACTTATGCAATACGAAAAAATATCTTGTAGGTAATTTATAAAATATTATGTGCACAAGGGACCCTGAAGCTAAATTACTCCTTCTGCATGACCTCAAACTCAGACATCTTGTGCAAGCCATGTGCATTCTAAGAATGTCTTGTCCTCAAATTCACAAAATTGGGGCCAACATCTCTCAGAGGGAGAGGAGAAGAAGAATCGGGAGGAGAACAGGAGGAATAAAAAAAGAGTAAGAGGTTTATGTTAGGGTATTTCTTGGAAGTAGGCATCAAAATGATCACATAAAAGCTACATGCTTTAAGAGTAGAATTGTGAATACTAACGTTCTTACGCTCAACTGTTAAAAACAGACCAGTTTGGCCAGGCGCGGTGGCTCACGCCTGTAATTCCAGCACTTTGGGAGGCTGAGGAAGGCGGATCACGAGGTCAAGAGATCGAGACCATCCTGGCCAACATGGTGAAACCCTGTCTCTACTAAAAATACAAAAATTAGCTGGGCATGGTGGCACATGCCGGTAGTCCCAGCTACTTGGGAGGCTGAGGCAGGAGAATCGCTTGAACTTGGGAGGCAGAGGTTGCAGCGAGCCGAGACTGCGCCACCGCACTCCAGCCTGGTGACAGAGCGAGATTCCATCTCCAACAAAACAAAACAAAACAAAACAAAACACCCAAAAAACCAACAAAAAAAACCAGACCGGTTTAGGGTTTTGATGTGATTTGCATATGTAGCTTGGCGATAGTTGAATTATCTAATTTTAAAAATTACTCCTTCCAGTTTCTAAGGGTAGGTGAAGTATTTCAGAAGAACTTAAAATTTCCATTCTTTAGACTACCGTATAGGTCTGCTCCAGCTCAAAGGGGAACTAAAAAAAGTTGCCTTTGTGGAAAAATATTGCCTGTTTTCCTGGCAGAGGTCGGAATGATGTTCTCATGAAAGAAACACAGGAAAATATTGGAGAAGGAAAAATGGAAAGATACCTGGAAAGTAGCAAGTCATCTTCTATGCATAAGACTTATTTTTTGCTGACACAAAAATGGGGAGATTCTATGACTTACACTAACCTTGAGAGGTATGAGTTTTCTTTAAAGGAACAACACTATTTAAACAAAATGCTTTAGGTAACGAGGTCCCAGGTGAAAATGGAAAACACTTTTCTGTGTTTAATGCTGTTACTTGCTTGCAAAGCATTTAGCATCTAATTCAAATCCTGGCAGTTCGGTTTTTCTTAGAAGTAAGAGACTACAAGACTATCAACTAAGTATAAAACTCCAAAAAGGGTATTTCTGATTCTGGAACTACTATGAGATCCTAGTATATTAACATTCTTTTCTATGCTTAGATATCTCCTGCATAAATAGGGTAATTAATACTAACCTATCCTACAAGGGTGTTTGCAAAAACAACTACATATTTAATATACTTGTCAAAGTAAAGTCTCCTGACGGGTAAAGTCACAATTTATCATGTGGCTAAACAGTTTTTCAAAGTATTCTAAGTTCTCAGGATCTCCTATCTTCTCATCTTAATTGTTTACAAATTGCTAGAAGAGTATTTTCCACTTTCTAATTAGAGTTGGGTAACCACTTATTTGTTAAAAAGAATTCTTACCTTCTAAATCTCATATATTGGTAGAGATTCCTGGTTGGGTAACTTAGGATGCTTTTTGGTTAGTTATAATAAAGAAATGCCACAAATGAATTGAGAGGCATCAAAACTTTGTAAGAGCATTAGAGCAGTGGTTATGGGTACAGCCTGGCGCAAGACAAGTTACTTTACCTTTTTGTGAATCGTTTTCCTCATCTACAAAGTGAGTTTTTTGTTTTTGTCTTTTAAGAGATGGGGGTCTCACTATGTTGCCCAGGCTGGACTTGAACTGCTGGGCTCAAGTGATCCTCTTACTTCAGCCTCCTGGCGTGTGCCACTGCACTGGCTGCAAATTGAGCTTAATAATAATATCCATTTCATTAGGTTGTTGAGAATTACATGCAAAGAGCTAGACCATTGCGTAGCACATGGTAAGATGCTATTATTATTAGCCCTGACTCCCTGAAAAGCTGCACTGGAATAGTAAGTTATCCCAATGTAATCTTTTTAAAATAAGGCCTTTTAGTTATAGCCAACTCAGAATCTCTAGTATGAACAATTAACCTGCTATTAGAAGTTATCAGGGTATCCATCTCACGCCAGTTAGAATGGCAATCATTAAAAAGTCAGGAAACAACAGATGCTGGAGAGGATGTGGAGAAATAGGAACGCTTTTACACTGTTGGTGGGAGCGTAAATTAGTTCATCCACTGTGGAAGACAATGCGGTGATTCCTCAAGGATCTAGAACTAGAAATATCATTTGACCCAGCAATCCCATTACTGGGTATATAACCAAAGGATTATAAATCATTCTACTATAAAGACACATGCACACGTATGTTTACTGCAGTACTATTCACAACAGCAAAGACATGGAACCAACCCAAATGCCCATCAATGATAGACTGGATTAAGAAAATGTGGCACATATACACCATGGAATACTATGCAGCCATAAAAAAGGATGAGTTCATAACCTTTGCAGGGACATGGATGAAGCTGGAAACCATCATTCTCAACAAACTAACACAGAAACAAAACCAAACACCACATGTTCTCACTCATAAGTGGGAGCTGAACAATGAGAACACATGGACACAGGAGGGGAACATCACACATCAGGGGGTGGTGGCTAGGGGAGAGACAGCATTAGGAGAAATACCTAATGTAGATGACGGGTTGATGAGTGCAGCAAACCACCGTTGCACATGTATACCTATGTAACAAACCTGCATGTTCTGCACATGTATCCCAGAACTTCAAGTATAATAATAATAATTAAAAAAAGAAGTTATCAATGTATCTGCATAATTTCAACTTTGTGTGTGTGTGTGTGTGTGTGTGTGTGTGTGTGTGTGTGCGTGTATGTAGGGGATGCTGGGGGCAGTATAGAGTCCATTTCTACCAATCTTTTAGAAGAAAGCAGCGATTAATTCAGATCAAACTCCTTAGCATATCTAAGCCCCAAAATATTTAGTACACTTAGAAATTAGTCTCACAGTAGGCTCTGTGCTCTCTAAAGGACATTTTAATAGACAGACTGCCTTACAATATGAAAATAGGCTATGGGTACCATGTTACCTATAGTCTTTTACTTCTTTGCTGTTCAACAACTCCCTCCCTCTAGTTTTTTTTGTTTGTTTGGAGGCAGAATTGCTCTGTCACCCAGGCTGGAGTGCAGTGGCATGATGTGGGCTCACTGCAGCCTCTGCCTTCCAGGCTCAAGCCATCCTCCCACCTCAGCCTCTCGAGTAGCTGGGACTACAGGTGCACGCCACCACACCTGGCTAATTTTTGTAATTTTTGTAGAGACAGGGTTTCAGCATGTTGCCCAAGCTGGTCTCAAACTGCTGAACTCAAGCAATCTGCCCTCTTTGGCCTCCCAAAGTGCTGGGATTATAGGCATGAGCCACTGTGCTCAGCCCCCTCTAGTTTGTTAATCTTGCTTCAGTCGAAGCTTCCCCAAACTTTTTGTTTTCATACAGTAAATATAAGTTATATTCCCATGCAATTTATTATAAAACTAATTTCTAAGACATAAATAATAAACTGATTTGTAATAGGAGCTATAATTCAAAATTTAAGGCAAAGATGTTAGAAAAGTAGTCTTTGTGAAACAGTGGAATATTCTAACGGTTTTCCTACCATCCCTGCTCCAACAGGCTTATATTATACTCTACAGTCTACTTTCTTCTGCCTTTCAGAAAGGTTACCCTACAGGAAGCATTCCGATATATTCAATTAAAGTACCTATGTGGAAAATACAGACATCATCATCCTTTTAACAGATATGAGTGACTTTTTCTATAGTATTTTCTCCTTACCTTTCTACCCAACTGCACTCAAAATTATGCAGTTTTAAAAATGATTTCTTTTGGAAATAGGTAGCTCAGAAACACATGGTGACTGTTTCCTTTTATTATAATTTAAGCTACCTAATAACACTATTTCATATTTATCTCTAGTAAAATATAATCTGTCTTTTAGAAGAGGTAGTAAAATACCATGAAGTGAACAAAAATATATCTTTCAGTTGCTCACCACTGTTATACAAAATTACTTAAAAATATTACCAGGAAGCTTTTACTACAGGTGACATGTGGGACTTTGGCACCACACAGAGTAACAGGTATAGCTGAGGGAAAAGGAGACCTTACTGGGAATAGATACCTTTATGATTTTCACCTCCAGAGGTTGTAACAGAGTCTAACAGACCTTTTACCAAGAGGAACACTTCCATGGTATAAATTCAAATCCTGCCTTGGCTGCAGCCTTACTGTACAAACTTGGGCAAATCAATTTACATTTCTGTGTCTAGGATTTTTTACTCTGAAATGGAGAAACAAACTACTGTCCTACTGTCAGAGGATTCTTGGGAAACGTCGTTAATGAAACCACTGCTAATATAAGCATACAGAACCTGAATCTGGGTGAAACCTAGGTTGCTGATGACTGTACCTGAGACAAATGAAGATGCCTCACCTCCTCTGCCCTGTTCTATCCTCTATTTGGGAAAGAAAAAAGAAATTATTTGAACAGAAATAATGGCTCCTTAGACTTGTTCTCATTCAGTAATTACTGCTGAATGAAATTCTTTGCAGAAGGTTTTAAAATAATGGTTATGTGCTGACTGACCTCAAAAGTACAATGGCAAAGAGAAAACAGACCATAGTAAAGACCAGAAATCAGCACTCTCTCCTGGTGAGGTGATTAAGTCAGAAGAGTTTACAGGAAAAAAGAAGGAAAGAAAGAAAAGTATGTGATTCCCAAATATGAATGTGTATGTGTGTGTGTTTTCCTTTTACTACATATTCTGGAGTTAAATTCTGTCCTGGGAAATACTCTGTTCACACATGGTCACACCTGAAACTTGCTTTGCCCAAGAATTTAGAGCTGAATTGGTTTCTGCAGACCTATATGCCCCTGCATCCCATATGCCCTGCTGCCTTTTAGAGTAGAGAAAGGAGAACTGGCTATAAATCTGGCCTCTTGGTCTTGCCATGTGGCCTTCTCTTAAATGACTACAGCACGGAAAGCAAAGTCAGCACCAGTTGAGACACAGATACCATGACATGTAGGCTGTGTTAGAAACTATTTTAATGAAGAATCCAGGCTTTCAGCAGTTATAAATGCTTCTAGAAAGGTAAATGATCAGATTACATATCTAAAGCAAATTTAAAATTCATTATAAGTTTACTATGAGACTTTTCCATGCAGAAATTATATTGAAAAAGAAAATTAACTGACATAGCTATTTTTTTTTTAATTTAAATCTCTGGCTTACTTCAGCCTAGGGAACTTTTCTTTAAGCAAGAATACTGGGGAAACAAATTCAACAGACTTCCTGAGACTGACTCATAGGTGTTAGTTTTCAATGAGGGTCGAGAGAGACACTAGTTTATAACTTTCATTAAAAACAGGAGGGACTGAAGGTGGGACAATACAGGCCACTTGTCAGACATGTTAGCTCCTACTGGACCAGTAAGACAATACAATTCCATTTTTCTTCCCCCTCTTACAGTGGGAACTGTAGACCTTAAAAGGAGATTTGTATCTACTTATGTATATTGAGGGGGGTTTCCTAGAAAGCACTCTGGGCAAACTTTGGGTGGATACAAGTTAATTACTCATTATTACATTTAATACTTAGTTATCTGAGTAGTTCAGACTTGAAATATCATCAGCTACTTTGCCATTAAAGAATATTCTATGTGCTAAATGTTGGGGGGAGGGTATGGAATGCTTGGTGAGCTGGGGTATGCAGATGAAAAAAGGATTGGTTTCTGTACTCAAGGAGCTAGGAGTCTTGTTAGAGAGTTGTATGATGTACACAGATAACTACCATGGCAAGTCACAGGAGCCAAAGGAGAGGCACAGTTAAATTGTCTGATTACACATTACTTATAATTAGAAGATCAAGTAAGGCATATGGTGGAAGTGGGTCTTGAAAGATGGGTAAAATTGGTACTTTTATGTGTATGTGTTGTGGGAAAGAGCTGGAGAGTTATGGGATAGAGCTGCAGAAAGCAATGAGTGCTAACTCATCAAACTAGCAAAGCAGGATGTATGTAGTCAAGAAAATTAACTACCCGCAATAGCATCATCATTTGGTACCAAGATTTGGTACAATTTCCACGGATTCTGCAAAAGGCAGATGTTACAAAGTTCTTACGGTCAGTGAGTAAAATACAACATATCTTTCTGATTCAATCACACACTCTTACAGTGAGTCTGCTTCACTCAATTCTTAAACTCAGAACAAGCATACAAACAGTCGGAGGGGGCTTAGATTTCCTAGCTACCCACAACCCTTAGTGTTTACCATCTGCCTCTCCTTTTTCCTGCTACAAGTGGTCACCTGCTGACACACAGGAAAGTGATCGAGTAGGAAAACCAACAGACTTGGTTTACGTAGTAAGTATGATATTTAGGCCAACCAAATGTCCTTTGCATTGGTATAGGTAGTAAGTATGATATTTAAACCAAAGTTTAAAATATGGTATTGGTATTTAAAACTTACTAGCAAACTAGACTTGGTTTAGGTAGTAAGTATGATATTTAAACTTACCACTGGTATAGGTAGTAAATATAATATTTAAACCAACAGACCTTGTACATTACACAACTCTTTAACAAGACTCTCCTAGCTCCTTGAGAGCAGAAACCAATCCTTAATTATGCCCAGCACTTTTTGGGCTTATCAGGCTTGTCTTTTTCCCTAGAGCAAGGATATAGAGCAAGGCTGAGGCTAATGAAGTTATAAAGGCTATTTTGTCTTTTTTTCTCCTCAAATTAAGTGAATTACAAGGACAGTATCTTGAAATGAGAACTCAAGATCCTAGTTATTCCATAATTGATCAAGATTTGAGTCTAGTAATACCTCATAGGTCCTAGATAGAAGGAAAAAGATCAAGCACTAGGAAATGTCCTTTGCATTGGTAGAGGTAGCAAGTATGATATTCAAACCAAAGTTTAAAAAATCCCGCTGAAGTCCCTCTATCAAACAATGTTATGAGCAGAGACTTGTGGATGGATCTCAGTAATAAAGTTTCCTAATACCCTGATTGCAGATCCTGCCTCAAGGGTATGGAATTAAGATAGGCACTTTAATTTGAACATATCTACTTACCCGTAAGTAAATATGGCCAATGCATGATCAAGGGGAAAGTGAAAAGCACATGATGATATTATGTATTTTTGTTACATATTGTTTCCTCTTGCTTTATGCCACCAAATGAAAGTCACCTGGTGCACTCACCTCAGTGGCCACTTTGCAGGTAATAACATGGTTTCCAGGATCTTACTCAGTCTCTCCCAACTTTCAACATTTATGGCTTTTAGCCAGTGTACTGTGAGAGGGGTGGTGAATTGATTATTAATTTGTTCATATTAGGTTTTTCTCTAGCTGTATTTCTCATCATCAAGTGAAATAGGGCTTTATTATTACAGAGGTGCAGCAGGAATCAGAAAACTTGCTTGACAGCAGTATCCGCTCAGCTGCTACGGACCTCTAGCTCTTTTTCCTGAAATGTACTTAGGCAAATTGTGCTTATTATTTTCCATAATCATCTCACTGTATATTTGTGACCTGACTGGGTTATTAACAAAGCCTGACAGCTAAAGAGGTTTAAAGGATGGCAAAATTTGAATGACAAATTTAGGTTTGTTCCTATAAAAGGCAACTAAACGGGAAGACAAATCCAAAGCTATGGCCTTTTCAATATCTGTGAAATGTGATTTAAATTTCTCCTGCATCTTTGAGATAATAATTAAATATACTTTGCTGGTTAGTAACAGATTACTGAGATTTTCCTGGCCAAAGAGTGGCTCAGTATGAAATAAATTCAACCACTAGTAATAAATACTAACAATGAAAGAAAAAAGGGGGAGAAAAACCCAAACAGCATACACATGTACACATATATATGGCAGACATCCTCAGTCTTATGTGTTTTAAAATCTCACGAATGCTCTTTTCTAATGATTACCAGACTTGCTGCTTTATATCCATCAGACCATGGAACTGAGTAGAGATCATACAATGATTAAATATGAAAAGGGGTTTACATAGTTGGTGCTGTTTTAAAAAAATAGTCTAAAACTAGGAACTCATTTCAACTGTCTCAAAGCAAACATAATTTTCTGAGGCACAAATCACTTAGAAATTTTAAAAAGAGCCCACTCTACCAACGTAGAATAGGTTGTGTATTTTGCCAATTAGAATAATTAAAAAAAAATTTTTTTTTTCAAGAGACAGGTGTCCCATCATGTTTCCCAGGTTTAAGGGCAGTGGTGTGATCAGGGTGCACCCTAGCTTCGTAGTCCTGGTCTCCAGTGATCCTCCCACCTCAGCTTTCTAAGTAGCTGGGACTACCATGCACACCACCAAGCCCAGCTAGAATCATCTTTCTGAATGGAGAAGAGTTGTATAAATGCTTGCTATCTAAGATGGCAAAGCTTAACATTACATAAACTGAAATGTCTCCAAAACATCTAGAATGATGAATGAAAACTCAAGATTTAGACAACATGCAATGAACTTGCCTAACTCACTACACACAAGTGTATATAACAAGAAGTCAGCCCCCTTCAGTTCCTGTAAGGAGAATGAAATACAATTGCAGCAACAAACCATATTAAAAATACCTTGTTAAATGACTAGGGGGAACTATATAAAACAGACCCCCTCTTGCTTACAGGGCTTAGACTATCCTTCTGAGAAATGCCCTATTTCTTCAATTGCCCATCAAGGTTTTCTACTATTTTATTAAAAATACACAATTAACTTTTCATGTTTCTTTTTTTAGATGGAGTCTCTCTTGCCCAGGCTGGAGTACGATGATGCAATCTCAGCTCACTGCAACCTCCACCTCCCGGGTTCAAGCAATTCTCCTGCCTCAGCCTTCCCAGTAGCTGGGATTACAGGCATGCACCACCACACCCAGCTGATTTTTGTATTTTTAGTAAAGATGGGGTTTCGCCATGTTGGTCAGGCTGGTCTTGAACTCCTGACCTCAGGGGATCCGCCTGCCTCGGCCTCCCAAAGTGCTGGGGTTACAGGCGTGAAGCCACCATGCCCAGCCACCTTTTCATGTTTCTAACAAATGAAGTTTTTAAAGAAAGCTTTCCTCATTTGTGTTCTATTATTATTACATGTTTTTTAAAGAATGATTCTTGGCCGGGCACAGTGGCTCACACCTATAATCCCAGCACTTTGGAAGGCTGAGGCAGGTGGATCACCTGAGGTCAGGAGTTTGAGACCAGTCTGGCCATCATGGCGAAACCCCGTCTCTACCAAAAATACAAAAAATTAGCCAGGCATGGTGGTGGGCACCTGTATTTCCAGCTACTGGGGTGGCTGAGGCAAGATAATTGCTTGAACCAGGGAGGCGGAGATGGCAGTGAGCCGAGACAGAGCCACTGCACTCTAGCCTGGGCGACAAGAGCGAGCGAGACTCCGCCTCAGGAAAAAAAAAAAAAAAGGAAAAAGAATGATTATTGGTTTCATCTCCTATTTGCTTTAAAGTTATTTTAGTCACTAAGTAACAGGATAAAATGAGCTATATTTTAGAAACTATATCTAATAGCTCTAAAAGTAATTCAATTATATATAGAGAGCTCACTTTAATACTTTCATTATTCTAAAATTTATTAATGTTGTTTTAGTGTAGCTATTTCCTCATTTTATAGAAAATGCTTTTGATAAAATGAAGTCACCAATGATTTCTAAACTGTTAAACCCAGAGCTTCCCACAGTTTATTCATTTACCAATTACTATCATGATTTTTCCATAGCTAGCAGTATCATTACTTAACATAATGTTTTTCTTTAATGAATCTAAAGTCTAATCTTACACTAATTTAGGTTAAAAGGGAAAATCATTATCATTTTTCATAAATCAGAGGTTTTATGTACCAGCTAAATATATTTTCTAATGCTCATCAAAATAAACCATAAATATTAAAATTAAAATACCAACTAAAAGCTTGCAAATGAATCAATTCAGGACACACTACTATTGTCCTCTTTGTCCCTCTCAAACTCTCTGTTCTTCTAAACTTCATGACCCTGCTCTTCCAGTGCCTCTATTTACGCACTCTTTCCTGACTCTGTTCCTTAAATGTTAGTATTTTCTAAGATTCCATTCTTGGCGTTTTCTTCACATCCTGCACATTCTGAGGGAATCAGAGGCATCTCCAAATGAACATGTCTATCACTGAACTTGCTATTCCCAGCACATCAATGCATAGATGATTTCTCCTCTGTATTCCCATTCTTAACAACATTGACGTCTATCCAGTTACCAAAGTTAGAAACCTCTCTAGTTAATTCGCATTCTGAGACAACTGTTTTCAGCCTTTCCTCTCTCATCAAATCTCCAACATTCTCTGTACCTCTTCACTCTCATCTGACAAGTCACCTAATATGTTGCTGAGAAGCAACCAGAAGTCCCACCATCACATCTTTCAACATACCTACAACTTTACTTATATATCATCCTTGTTCCTAAGGACTACTCTTACATTTGTGCCTTAGATTTCATCCCCTCCTGTCTACTCAAGAATTCTGCTTCTACAGTTAGCCCTAAGCTGCATCTTCAATTTTTCCCACTTTGCTGGATCATTCCTACTGAAACATGCTGCAGGGCTTTCTATTTTTAGAATAACAAAAACAAATACCTTCAACCCCACAGGCCCCTCCAGCTATATCCCATTTTCCTGCTCTTCACTATAGCAAAACTTAAGAGTTGCTTGCCATCCTCACTTCCTCACCTCCTTTCAAAACCGATTTCACACAAGCTTTTACAAGATTACCAACAATCTCCATGTTACTAAATCCAGTGGTTCATTCTCTGCCCACATCCAGCTCAATCTCTCAGGATATAGCATGCTGGTACAATAATAATGATATGCTTGATAACCCCTTAAAACATTTTCTTCACTTGGCTTGTGGGATAAAATACTTCAATGGTTTTTCTACTAGCTTACTGGCTACTCCTTTATTGCTCTTTTTCTTCCTGACCTTTAAATGTTGGCTAGAATACCCTAGTAACTGATTTTTGACCCATTTTCCTTTTTATAGTAATTATTGAGGTAATTTCATCCAAGCTAATGACTTAGAAAATACATACGTCCATGACCCATAAATTATTATCTCTAGCCTGGTCTCTTCCCCATCATTATAACACTCATGTATCCAACTACCTATTCAACATCTCTACTTGAACACTTAATAGGCAACTCAAATTTAACATGTCCAAAACCAAACTTGTTTTTCTCCCCAAATCTGCTCCTTTCTCAGACCTGAGTATCTCATTAAATAGCACCACTATTTACCTGATTGCTCAGGTTCCAAATTTAAGAGTCACCCTTGACCTCTCTTTCTTTCATTTCCCATATCCCTTTCTAGGAGTGTCTTTTTGGTTCTACCTTCAAAATATATTCCAAATAGGATCATTTCTCACTTTCTCCCTGTCCACCCCAGTGGTACAGGCCAATATCATCTCTCACTGATATTTTTGCAATAGCATCCTAACAGGTCTTCATGCTTCCGCTCTTACCCCACTAGTCTATTCTCAACAGAGCAACCAGAGGAATTATGTTAAGATGTAAATCAGTTCATTTCACTCTTGTGTTCAAAATCTTCCAAGTCAGCAGTCCCCAACCTTTTTGTCACCAGGGGCTGCTTTCGTAGAAGACAACTTTTCCAAAGACTGGGGGGTGGGTGGGGATGGGGTTTTGGCATAATTCGAGCACATTACATGTTTTGTGCACTTCGTTATTACATTATAACATATGATGAAATTATTATACAACTCACCACAATGTAGAATCAGTGGGAGCCCTGAGCTTATTTTCCTGCAACTAAATGGTCCCATCTGGGTGTGATGGGAGACAGTGACAGATCATCAGGCTTTAGATTCTCATAAGGATCGTGTAACCTAGATCCCGTGCATGCATAGTTTACAATAGGTTCATGCTCCTATGAGAATCTAATGCCACCACTGATCTGACAGAAGGTGGAGCTCAGGCAGTAATGCGAGTGATGGGGACTGACTGTAAACGCAGGTGAAGCTTTGCTTGCTGGCCCACCACTCACCTCCTGCTGTGTTGCCCAGTTCCTAGTCTTACATCTTTCTCTTAGACGAAAAGCCCACATTATTAGAATGGTCTGCAAGGCATCAAAAAAGTGGCTCTATCCTCCACCATATTTATCTCTGCTTTCATCTCCTACATCTCCACCACAGATGGAAAGCCCTCCTTGCTATTCCTAACATGAACATTTGCAATGCTATTCTCTCTGCCTGAAATGCTTTTATGCTGTATATCTGCATGGCTTAGAACCTCTATCCTTCCTCAAGTCTTATGTTCAAATGTCACTTTCTCAGTGGGGCCTCCCTTAATGACCCCAACCCCTTGAGCACTCACTTTCTAATTAAATGATTTATTATGTTTATTATCTACTCTCTGTTTCCCTCTACTAGAATGTAGCTCTGTAAGAGCTGGAGGTATTTTCTGTTTGGTTTCCAATTCCTAGAATAGTGACTGGCATATAGTAGATAAGTGTTCATTGAATGAATGAATGAATGAAGAATAAACCACACCCAGTTTTCTTTGGTTGAAAGAAAACAAATTGTTGCTTTAGAAGATTATATCCTCTATCAAATTTCATATTTCTTAAGTATTATTTGGCAAGGCTAACAACCTATAATGACTGGATGAATAGCTGTGAAAAGATCTCAGGCAAGGGCTAATAGGCTCATTCTTTAAAATAAAACATTTTTTTTGGCATGCAGGACAAAAAATTCACATTAAAAACCAACAAATATTTATATATAATGTCTTTCAGAGGCTGAAGTATAAAACCATTGGTCATCAGAATCTGATAATACTGTCTCTAAGTTCTTATAAAAACCAAAAGTATCCCTTTTGTTCAAAAAAGCTAAATGCTGGAAATCCCAAAAGAAAAATACTGTCTACTAAGCTAATACTACAAAAGTACAGGCATAACATCTTCCACGTAAAATAGAAGGCTATGTGGCAATCTAATGATGCAAGATTCAGAAAAGATCAGGGTGACATGTTAAACTGAGAGACCATTTTAGGTATGCTCTTGGGGTTCATTATGACTGCACCCTATAATCCAGTTTACATCCATGTTTTACGTAGAAATGCATCTCTTTTGAGGGATGACATAAAAAGTGTAGTGATTATACCATTTTTATAAAATGTCCCAGGTATCTACAAATATGAATTCTTCCAATCTTTCAATCATGGCAGTGGAATAATTTATGATTGGCTGAAGGTAGAAGAATTATGCACAGGAACCACACTGGCCCTGGAAGACAGAGGACTCACTTTTTAGTTTCAGCTCCGCCAAAGACTGACTGTAATTTGAGTAAATCACAATCTTTGCTTGTAGGTTCATAAATACAAAAATTCTTTTTCCTATTCTCTCCTCTATCACATGTTAAATACATGTTAAAGATACATGTTAAAAAACTGTTTGTTAACCAAATAACTACAGCCCTTTTAAGTAAAGAAATATACAGATTTAGACACATTACATACACAGAAGTACATCTGGTTTTGTTGCAGGATATACCTGCATCTCAGGATTTTAAAATCTGCAATACATCAACCAGTTTTAATTCTTTTTACAGAAATAAATGGAGGTGACCTAACTAGTAGCATATTTAAAATGCTGTTTAAGAGTCAGGTGCAGTGGTACACACCTGTAGTCTCAACTGTTTGGGAGGCTGAGATGGGAGGATTGCCTGAGCCAGGAGTTAGAAGCTATGGTGTGCTATGATAGAGTCTGTGAATAGCCACTGCACTCCAGCCTGGGCAACACAGTGAGACCCTGCCTCTAAAAAAAGTACTATTAAAATTGGGTCTATAAGAATATCTTTTTTTAAAAAGCAGATACCTTCACTAATTCTTATAAAAGAATGTAAAAGGATGTGATAAAGCAAAGATCCTTCATTGCAGGCAGTATATATGCTGGATAATCCACTGGAGGGCAGCAAAGTGCAGGATTTCTTTTTCTTCAACATCTGAACTCTGTAAAATTGCTTTAAGCTGCAAGTTACAAATCTACAAAAATTTAGGTTGAAGAACACAGACTAAAACTACAGGCAATGAAACAAGTTATAAAAGGAGATATGATTTACATAAATAGATGCTATAAATACAGAAACACTGTGAAGACAAGATAATCCATCTGCACATTGGAATAGATATTAAATCTCACGTATATGATTTGAAAATTCTACTTTTTGTTCCAGAGACAAAAGATATCAAATATGTATTAGACAGAGAAACTTGCAGACAATTACAGGAACACCTAAACATTAAAGTCTGAGTTCTTCTGCATAATATTTATTCATTCTTTCTAAGGATCTGGGCCAATTTTTTTAAGTAGGCGTGTGCCTCAATTAATTAAGAAATGACCAGAGCTCAGAAATCTTGGGTTTAATGCTTAATTATATGCTGTAAACAGCGAAGTTGCTGTTTGTGGCATAAAATTCTAATACATAGAACCTATTGGTTTTATGCTAATATAAGAAAAATAATAAATATAGACCATTAAAAATAAAGTAAAATCGAATGTATCAAAGATATAAGACAGCCTAGATTACTTTAGTAGTAGAAAATATCTTTGCTAGATGTAACTTTTTAATTTGCAGATTAGTATTTCAAAAATATTTTACGGTAATAAATGCTTGGAAAGTCCACTATCATGTTGTAATGCCACATCAATGTATTTCTGGACTTTTCTACAGATTCAATATTTAATCATTTTGCTCATATTGTTATTAAAAGTTATTTTCCATTTTTTAGAGAAGATAACCTTTACTGTTCCATAAAGTTTCATTCTGTGACACTTTTATTTTTTCCAATAAAAAAAGGCTGTTTTTTTTAAGTGTTGAGCACTTCATAGACATTGCTTATATTCAAAAGCATTATAAGTTTATTTAACAGATTCTATTTTACTTTTAAAAGGACGAAGCTGTTATTGAAGAATAAGTTTGCTACAGTAACCAATTCAGTTCTGCTTAAGTTAAATAAAACTGTAAAATGACAAGCCTATAAATGTGGAAAACAGTAGGTATTTTAAAACTGCCCAAACAAGATGTTTAATCGAAACTGAAAGCACTAACTTTTACAGTCAATTCAAGAGTGGGCAAGTAAAAAAAATCAATGTATTAAGTTCTTCACAGCATCCTTGAAATGGTAGTGATATAAAACTACCTATAAAAGACCAGGATTTATGAAATTTTATTCAAAAGAGGGAGAGATGATGATGATAAACAGCTGCTATAAGAACACATGAATCTAACAAATGGCAGCCAATACATTGATTTGTAGGTTAATAAAAGTTTGAAAACATTGTCAGATAAATAATACTTCATTAATCAATACAGTTTTAGCTATAAAGTCTTTATAAGTACAAAAAAATTTTTTTAGCATAGTGATTGTGTATTTTTAAGTTGAACAAAACAGTATTTACAAGTGATACAATACATTACCTGCATAGGCATTCCAAGAAACACAAATTAAAAATCTGCATTAAAAATTCCATGATTATATATGAAAAATAACAAAATACTTGCTAATGTTAAACTGCCCATCCTTTTACCACCAGGTCATACTATTTAAGACATTCTACTATATTATAGTTGCTGTAAAAATAATTGTTTATTTTTCTTTTTTGAGACGGAGTCTCGCTCTGTCACTCAGGCTGGATCGTGCGGTGGCACAATCTCAGCTCACCGCAACCTCTGCCTCCTGGGTTCAAGCCTGAACTTCAAGTCTGATTCTCCTGCCTCAGCCTCCCGAGTAGCTGGGATTACAGGTGCCCGCTATCACGCCCAGCTAATTATTGTATTTTTAGTAGAGATGGGGTTTCACCATGTTGGCCAGGCTGGTCTTGAACTCCTGACACCAGGTGATCCACCTACCTTGGTCTCCCAAAGTGCTGGGATTACAGGCATGAGCCACCATGCCTGGCCAACAATTATCATGAATTCTGTGACCCAGCCAGCAATCTCATGAATTCCATGACTATTACATGGAAAAAGAATCGTAAGCCTTGTCACTCTCTTGAAACCTCTATATTGTCATAATAAATACTTGAAACAGATGTCAGACAAGATAACTTATAAAACTTACTTCAATATTGCAAACATGAAAAAGGAAACGGCAAACAGAATCATCTGATTTCACTAAAGGTAAAGAAATCCTAATCATCCTTCAGAGGTTTTTCCTTTTTTTTTAATCAATTATTTAGCAAAGCTCAGAGATAACTGGAATAGATGCAACTGTTTAGATTTCAAGCATAAGAAGTTCCTGGTTTCTATAAAGGTGTTTGGCTTCTTTCAAGTTTTAGCTTTTCAAAGCTACAAGTCAGCAAAGTAACTATGAATGAATGGGATTACTCTGGAAATAAGTAACTCAAAATCATTGTCAAAGAAAAACACAATATTGAAATTGTTTCACTACTACTAATGAATTTTTAAACCTAGAAAATGCTATAGCATACATATCCATTAGGAGGTAACAGTATTTATTTAGGTATTAGCAAATGTTGGATTATTTTCTAATTCATATCAGAATGATTTTAAGTCTACCAGCAGTAATAGACTATTAGCTGTTTTTAGGTAAACTATGACATTTGAAAGATCACAGCATTCTGAGAAGATGCAGTAGAATTTTTAAAACAAGAAGACCACAGAATATATTCCAGGATTAAGTAACTTCTTCTGGTGGCCTTAGTGAGTTTGAGCAGACATTCTAACTAAATTTAGTAAATTAATTAATTACAATGTAAAAGGTACTAAATATTTTTTATTGATGAGCTCCCTCTGAAAGAACTATTATTAAAAAAAATTGTGTTTCCATGTCAAGTTATTTTCTCTTATTGTTATTATATTGGACCCAATAATATTCTCTGAATTCTCTGGACTATCAGATACTACAACTCTGAGAAAGATCTGTTCCAAGTTATTAGTTTCCTGGACCAGTTGAGGTTACATTCTGGGGAAAAAGTTCAAGACAACTGTATTCCCTCTTTTGACATGAGTTACATGTACTAAGAATATATTTCAAGAAACTGAAATACTAAATAAAAACATGTAAAATTAATGCTAAGGAGAAGACTTTTTAGAAAAGGGTCACTACATGTATACAGTGACAAAATGCTTCTTCTCAAAAACAGAAATAAATTTCAACAGAGTTGAGGGAGATGATAGTAAATTAAGAAAAGAGATTCTATTAATATAAAAAGCTCATTGAAAAAGTAAAATCCTTTTTATAAGGCTGTTCTTAGGTAACCTACAACATTTAAAAGACCACAGTGTTGCGAGAAGATGCAGTAGAATTAAAAACAAACAAACAAAAAAAGACCACAGCATATCTTCCAGGATTAAGAAGATAAAAATTCACAATTTGCACCTTTAAAGTTCTGAGCACCTTGTATTCACTATGAATTTCTAATGGCTTACTTTTAGCCAGTATCTACTATATGGTAAGAACAATGCAACTATTATGTATCCATAAATATAAAAAATTTAAAAATAAAAAAGAAAGTAATGGCAGAGCTGCAGCTCAAACATGAATCTGTAAGATTCTAGTGCTAGCCACTCCACTCTATTGCCTTGCTATACTGTTTTGGGCCTTTGACATTCATAAAAGAACTTTAATTCAGATTGTGATCAACACTGACCCACAACTGAGCTACAGAGGTATATTGCTGGGAGATTCTTGGTTTCTTCAGTAAATAATTGGGCTTTGATATTTAAAAGGCAAGCACTACTTACCGTCTATCACTCTATTAAAATTGTAAGGCAGTCTGGTATAGCGAATCAACAAAACCACTTTCTGGTCCCAAATCTACTAATAATTATTCATGTCTTTTACACAAGTCACATAAATAAGTGGATGTCAGGATTTTGTTTTTAAATATCAAAAGTGAAGGAGCTGAACTAATATCCATCTGATTAAATATTATAACCTAATTTGAATATTAATAAAGCACCCACTGTGCACTCTACAATGGCTAGATACTGAGGATCCACACGTATGTAAACTGCACCCATCCCAATTCAAGGCAGAGAGTTAAAATTCACGATTTTATTTTTTCTTATAGTGAAGGTTAAACAGAGAACCAAATATCATGTGATTCTTAGAAAGAAGGTTCTAATAACGAAAGTGCAACAGCTTTAGATATTAGCTTTACCCAGGTGGATACACCTATACACAGGCATATATGCCCATATATATGCTGTGGGAGGGAGTGGAAGAAGAGAAAAATATGCCACTTAATGTTGGGTCACTATATTAAAGGTAGAGTAAAGGTCTGAATCACCTTCAATGAAAGACAAGGAGCTGTATTTCAGTGACTGAGTATATAGAAGAACTGCTTCAATTAAAACTGTATACTTTGACTTCATGGACAGAAAAAATGTACTTTACTAGGAATGTCAGTTATTATAAAACACCAGAGATTTTGGAGGGAGGAAAAAAATCTCAAAGCCTATCCATCCCAGTTGAATATACCACATATTTTAGTTAGCCTTTCTTAACCAGAGTTCTAAGAGAGAATTAAGCCTTAATACCCTAAGGCATCTATAGTAAGTAAGGAATTAACATCTTTTCCTATGCATCTGGAATTATACTGGTTATCTAAAATCCTTGGGTAAAATAGAGAAAATCATTTTCTGTGTTCTTTTGATCAGAAGAGGAACTCTGGCTGAGCTCATTAGTTTGTCAGCATTTGAAAGCTGCTTACCACTGCAAACAGAAGAAGTGATGTTGTACAGAAAAGGATAAAACTGCATACAGCGGATCAACTTCAGGCTGTTTTCACACTCTGGACATTTGGTGGTTAATTTCAAGGCCTGTCTAAAGGCCTCAAGTGCCCCACTGATATTCTTCAGAGCAAGGTAAGCATTTCCCAGGCTCAAAAAGGTCAGAGGCTGAAAAGAAAAAAAAATCGGCAAAATGTTAATGAACTAATATTTTCTGGGAGTTACAAAACGTTTACAGTATATGGCTTTTGGCTCTTTTTAGGTTACCCCATAAACGTTATTGCTAACTATCCATTTTATTCATACCAGCCAATTCTAAACTGTATAATACATGTAAATGTGTTCACTTTTTTTGCTAAGATAAAAAATATATAAAGTATGTAATATAAATTATATATGTATATACCCCTGTAACCGCCACACTGCTCAAGATACTAAAATGTTTTCAGTACTCCAGGAGGTTCCCTTGGGCAATCCAACCCCAGAAGTAACCATTGTTGTGATGTGACTTCTGTCATCATAGTTCTTGAACTTCAGGTAAATGAAATCAAACTGCATGTTCTCCTATGAGTACATGTAATATGTGTCCTTTTGTAGCTTCTTTCACTCAATCTAAAATTCATTCATGCTTCTGTATACATCAGTAGCTCATTGTTTTTTAAGCTGATGTGTAATGTTCTAACATAAGAATACACCACAGCTTGTTCATCCGATTAGCAGTTGGGCTATTTCCACTTTCGTCTATTATGAATAAAGTTACTATGAATATTCTTGTAAATGTCTTGATAGGCACATTGTCCTCATTTTCTTTGAGTATATACTTAGCACAGGTTGTAAGGTAGATTTATATTTAGTTTTAGTAGATAACAACCAAATAGTCTTCCAAATGGATGCACAAATTTACACTCCTACCAGCAAGTGTGAGAATTCAGAGACTCTGTATTGTCAGTCTTTTTAATTTTAGCTATTTTAGTGAGCTGCAGTGGTGTCTAACTGTGGTTTTCCTTTGCATTTCCATGATGAGTAATAATGTTGAGGGTTTTTTTTTTTTCAGGTGCCTATTGGCCATTTGGATATCCTCATTTCTGAAGTGCCTGTTCTTTTCTCTATCTAAAGGAATTAGGTTGCCCTTAAGGCCTTGAAGGAGCTCTCTGTCTATATTATATATTAGTCTTTTGTTGAAAATATTTATTGCAAAAATCTTCTCTGTCTATGGTTTGTTTTTTTACTCTCTGAATAGTATCTTTTGATAAACAGAATTTCTTAATTTCAATGAAGTTCAGCTTATCATTTTTTTCTTTTATAATTAGTGCTTTTTGACATCTTTGCCTACTGCAAGGTCATAAAGACTTTCTCCTATGTCTTCATAAAGAAGGCTTATTGTTTTATCTTTCATATTTTGGTACATGATCCACTTCAAATTAATCCTGTGTATGGTGTGAGGCAGAAGTCAAAGTTCTTATCTTTCTCCATAAGGATATCATCCAATTATTCTAGCACTAACTTACTGAAAAACCAAAATGTTTTTTCCTCACTGAACTACAGGTACCCCTTTGTCATAAACCAGTGGCCATATTCATGGTGGTCTACTTCTAAATTCCCTATTATGTTCCATTGCTATGTTTGAGTATCTTTGTACCAATACCATACTCTTTTAATTATAGTAAATCTCAAAATCTGGTAATAAAAGCCTTCCAACTCTGTTCCTCCCCATCACCCTGCCCCCATTTGTGTGTGTGTGTGTGTGTGTGTGTGTGTGTGTGTGTGTGTGTGTGTCTATTCTAGGTCCAGTTCTATGTAGATATTAGAATCAACTTATCAATACACAAACACATATATGCAATTACTAGGTGTTTGACTGAGATTGAATTGAATCTATAAATTGATTTACAGAGATCTTACATCTGAACAATATTGACTCTCTCAATGTGTGAACATGATGTATATCTCCCTTTACAAGTTGAGTATCCCTTATCCAAAATGCCTAGAACCAGAAATGTTTTGGATTTCAGATTTTTTAACATCTTTGAATATTTTATTATATTTACTGGCTGTACATCCCCATCTGAAAATCCAAAATCCAAAATGCTCCAATGAGCATTTCCCTTGAGTGTCAGGTTGGTGCTCAAAAAGTTTTGAATTTTGGAATGTTTGGGATTTCAGATTTTTGAATTTAGGATGCTCAACCTGTACTTATGTCTTCTTTCTCTTAGTGATATCTTGTAATCAGTATATAAATATTGTATATCTTCTTTTAGGTTTATTCTTAGAAATCTGATGTTTTCTTTATTTCCTTTTTTTGAGACAAGGTCTCATTCTGTTGCCCAGGCTGGTCTGGAACTCCTGGGCTCAAGAGATCCTCCCACCTCAGCTTCCCAAGTAGCTAGGAGTACAGGTGCATACCACCACACTTGGCTAATTTTTTTTGACTTTTTTTGTAGAGAGTGGATCTCATTGTGTTGCCCAGGCTGGTACTGAGCTCCTAGGCTCAAGCGATCCTCCCCACTTAGCCTCTCAAAGTGCTGAGATCACAGGTGTGAGCCACCACAGCAGATCTGATGTTTTCTTGATGCTATTGTAAACAGTGTACTTTGTATGCTATTTTCCAATTGTTTGCTGAGACTTTGTTTTCATAAGCAGCCCAAAGTATTCAGTTTAGGTCATTTTAACTGAAATACATCTATAGTGTTTTTATATTTGCTTGTGTGCAAACCATATGTTTTAAATTTATTTTATTATTAAAAATAGTTAAAAAGATCTAAGAATGTTTTATTTTCAAACTGTACAATATATCCCTATGTAAAACAATGCTTATGATTTATCCAATTACCTGCTTTTGACTGGGGCTGTTAGATCATCAGAAATGTCTCACTGTAACCAAGCCAGAGGATAAAAAATATTCTAGATTAAGGAAGTCTAACCTAAGCAGCTCAGATTACATTCAAACTATTACTTAGTAATTCACACCCAGATACAAAATTAAATCCCATACTTAGACTTCAAATGTATCTTTATATTTTGCATAAGGAAACAAAGTGTTATAATTATCCCTATGACAAAATGACAGCTGTAAAAATATCCTGCATTGAGATAAACTGGTTAGCATTTTGGAAAAAAAGTTGAACTTCATCCCTTGAACGAAAAAATAAGTAGTGAGTATTTACTATGTTGCAGGCATAGTTTTGAACATTGAGGATACAGCAGAAAATAAGAAAGGTAACTGCTGCCTTCATAGACCTTACAGTCCAGTGTGGGGATGTCAGTGAGCAAAATGGGACGGAGAAAAATATAGAAGGAAGAAATAAAGGTAGCACTAGATTGTGGGGGGCGGGGGGAGTGCACCATTTAAAACAGAGTAGTATGAGAGGGACTTACTGAGAAGTTAGTATTCATAAGACTTCAAGGAGGTGGAGTAAGCAATGAAGAATATTGGTGGGATGAAGTACTCCAACCAGAGAGGATAGAAAATGCAAAAGACCTGAGGTAGGGGCATGCTTAGTATGTTCAAGGAACTACAAGGAGGCAAGTGAGGCTAGAATAGAATGTGCTAAGGAATGACTTCACAGAGATAAGGTCAGAAAAGTAACAAGGTCATGTAGGACCTTCTACATCATTACAAATTCGTATTTTCCCGTGAGTTCTATGGAGAGCCACTACAGGGATTTTGAGCCAACAAATAACAACATTTGACTTTTTATAAGGATTTCACTGTTGCTGTATGAGAACAGACTGGGGGACAATGGCAGAAGCAGAGAAACCAGTCTAGAGGCTATTAAAATAATCCAGACAAAAATAATTATGGTTTGGATGGGACAGCAGTAGAAGCAATGATAAATAGTAAAATCTGAGGTATATTTTGAAAACAGAATCAACAAGGTTAGCCAGTGGACTGAATTTTCCCTGAGAACAGGAGAAAGGTATGAAGGAAGCCCCTAAGTTTTTGGTCTGAGCAACTGGAAAGATAGCTTTATTATTTCCTGAAATGAGGAAGACTGGGAAGAATAAATTTGGAACAGCGTTAAGGAGTTTGGTTTTGGCCTTTTGTTCTAGAGCGCCCTTTAGACATCTAAGTGGAAATGTCAAGTAAGCTGTTGAATAAAGGAGTCTGGAGTTCAGGGCAAAGGTGACGGGTAATTCAACAGGAAAAGGGCAGTCTTCTCAAGATATGAAGCTGAAGAACTGGATATCCGTGTAAATATGAACTTTGATCCCTACCTCACACTACAAAGAAAATTTAACTTGAAATGAATCATAGACCTAATTGTAAAGCCTAAAACTATAAAATATCCAGGAGACGTCACAGGAAAAGATCTTTATATATTTGAGAGCCAACTATTCAAAGATTAAGCCATAGAAAACAAAAACAAACAGTTTATTGAGAACACTTGAAATCTAACAATAGAAATCAACATTGAAAAGACTGGCAAACTTAAGGGCAATTTTTAAATGCTAAGATAAAAAGGCAAAGAGAGAAAATATTTTTAACACATGAGAGATGGAGTTAAAGAGTTTATCATACAAAGGGTTTGCACAAAATCTAAAAAACAAAATTCTAAAATGAACAAAATGTGTATACAAACTTTTACTTTAAAAATACAATTACAAGGTTGGGCATAAGGGCTCACACCTGTAATCCCAGCACTTTGGGAGGTCAAGGCGGGCGGATCACTTGAGGTCAGGAGTTTGAGACCAGCCTGGCCAACATGTTTCTATTAAAATACAACCCTGTTTCTACTAAAAGTACAAAAATTAGCCGGGCATGGTGGTATGCACCTGAAATCCCAACTACTCCAGAGTCTGAGGCACGAGAAGAGCTTGAACCTGGGTGGCGAAGCTTGCAGTGAGCTGAGATCATGTCACTGCACTACAGCCTGGGTGACAGAGCAAGATTTTGTCTCAAAAAAAAAAAAGAAAAGAAAAAAGGAAAAAAGAAAAACAAAAACAACCACAAGATAAAACTTTACGTTACAACGGAGAGGTGGTATTTTTAAGCAAGCGAAACTTGTTTTATAAATGTTAATTCAGAGGTAGTATAACACGACTAGAGTATTTGCCCTGTGGCCAATCTCCCTGAGTTCAAAACCAAGCACCAAGCTCTGTGACTTCCCATAAATCCCTTACTCTGTACATTTAACTCTTAAGAGTTTCCTCATCTATCAAAGGGGAAATTCCATCTCACAGGGTTGTTATGAGGATTAAATTAGTTACTACATGTAAGATGCTTAGTATTGTGCCTGGCTCTAGTAAACAATCAAAAAAATTGGCAGTTATTTCAGTTGTTCAATTCTAATAAAGACACAGGTGGAATTAATATTTTTAGACCTTATTCATGGCAATATATACTGGCCCAACCATTTTAGTGGGTTGTTTGGTATTTTGTGCCAGAGCCATCAAAATATTCATTCTCTTATTGACTTAGTAATTCCACTGCTAACAATCTTTAAGGCCTTTGCAGAAAACCATCATTGATAATAGCTAAGTACTGTTAGCAACCTAAATATGCAGCAACAGAAAAATAGGTTGTGGCATATCAATTCATTGGTCCTTTATACAACCATTTAAATTGAGGGCTTTAAAATTAGGTAGGAATAAGTTTTTTAGAGATCACCTGTACAGTAGAGTTGAAACATTATGAAATATTTGTATAGAAGACATGCTTATAAGGAAAAATTTCCAAAAGTTGGGAAGAGGGTGCTGATTAAGGAACATTTTTGGGGCCGGGTGTGGTGGTGCATGCCTGTAATCCCATCACTTTTGGAGGCTGAGATGGGAGGATTGCTTGAGCTCGGGTGTTCAAGACCAGCCTTGGCAACATGGTGAAACCCCATCTCTACAAAAAAATACAAAATTCAGCCATACGCAGTGGTGCATGCCTGTAGTCCCAGCTACTAGGGAGGCTGAGGTGGGTGCACTACTTGAGCCTAGGAGGTGGAGGCTGCAGTGAGCCGTGACCACGCCACTGCACTCCAGCCTGGGCAACAGAGCAAGAACCTGTCTCAAAGAAAAAAAAAAGGTATATTTTTGGGGTACCCACCCTGATCCATTAATTTATCTTTTTATTCTTATTGTAGCACCATGGTATTTAACAACTAAAATTTTAGTATGATTTTAAAATATCAAAAGGTAACTGATCACTAAAGGAGGTCTTTTTTCTTCAGAAGAATACTACCTAAGTCCCTTGGCTGAAAACAGTAAAAAGGGAATCATGAAAAGTTTCAAGGGAATACGGCTGCATTGCGCTTTCCATTGCCCACTTTATCACATCTGTTCCCACTGTACCAGCACCTGGTACACAGTAAGCACTAGATAAATATTTGATGTACTTCTCTGGCAATGTGACCTGTTACATAATATTGAGATTGTAAACTTCTGCTTAAAATCCAGTTGTGAATTTCTGTATTTCAAAAGAAAACAGGCAATATTTTCTTCTCATCCTTAAAAAATCAGTTTTCAGACACCATAAATAAACCTCAACCATTCATGCACATCCCTTCTGAAGGTTTCTTTGAATACAAAACCTATAAACATTTAGACATTAGGTATAAAATCAATTTAATTGTATATTTATTATAACTGAATTTCATGAAACCTAAAATGACAGCAATTATAACATCCATCCTGATATCAGAGATGTTAAAATATGAAAAACCAAAGTTGTATCTTCAAAACCATGAACTACAAAGCACTGATGTAACTCCATAAGCTGCATGTGAGAGGTTTGGGGCATGAAAATCAATGTATCTATTTATTCTTATCAAAACCACCTTTGAACTGTCCTCTGGCTTGAAGGGTATAAATATTTCTATAAATTAAAGTTGTAAAACAGTGTAATATTAAGCAGTGTGCATGCTGTGATGAGTAGGATAAAATACAAACCAGATGTTTCAGACAGACATAAAAAAGCGGCAGTATATTTTTACAGCTTATGTTATTCTTATTTAAATGTAAGTTTCCAAAAAAAAAAAAACTTAACTGTGTAATTATAAATTTCACTCAAAATTTAAAGAACACATCAAAATACAACAAAAGCTTTTTCACACTCTCTTGAAATAATGCAAACGCTACTGTGAAAGACAAAACATGACATTTTTTATGCTTTCCCTAGAAAAATACAAATTGTAATCTAAATTTGAGTTACCCTACATAGTATACGGAACTATGAAATCCCTTAAAACCTCACCTCAGAGCTATTGATGGCCAAAGCTTGAAGTAGCAGCTTAGTGGCATCAAGATGAAGGCCGTAATGAATCAAAAGGTTGGCCAAGTTGACAAGAGGAACATCTTGGTATTGAAGTGGAGCTAAATTCAAAGCCCTCTGAAGACAGGCAATAGCAAAAGTGCTATTTCCTACTGCTCTCCAGTATAGTCCAGCTTCATTGAGTATGAGCCAGATAGGAGCATTTGGCTGAAAAATCCAAAAATACTTCAGTTAGTACAAGAATACAGTACTTGTTCTAAATAAGATTTTTAATAAGTGCATTTTAACTTTTACTTATAATTAAGAAGCATTTAAGTTTTAGATGTCTAAAGTAAATGACTCACCTTATTAATAGCATGAAATAAGAAAGACCCAATTTCTTCTTCTGGGATAGTATAGTTATTAATACGGGAAAGCAAAATCTGAAACATCAAAAGGAAGACTGACTCAATTGAAAATAACAGGGAAGACATTTGAAAAGAATTTCTATAGATGGCAGTCTTTTCTTAAGCTCCTCAGGAACAGCTAATTTGAACAAATATTTATGATCATATATATGACATAAATTCATTCACATACCAACAGGTGTTGACCTGCTCACATGTATGTAATAGTTTAACTAAAAAGTTAAAAAGACATATATACCCCCACACATTAAAGTAACCTACCATACCCCATTAAAGTCAGCCTAAGTGTTCAGAACCCAAGAAGAAATTATTCAAAAGACAACAGCATGCAATATCTGATGTAATAAAAATCTACTGTCTTTCCTTCCTGGAAAATACCAGATACTCAATTATTCTACTTCATGTTCCTGCAGCATTTATATAACGGTAAACAACTCTAAGGCACAGATCATGGTCTGTTTATCTTTTTGTATTCCTAGCATCCAAAACAATGTCTGGCACATAATGTTTTTTGCCTAAGGAAATGTCTATTGAATATAAGTAACAGTAAGTGCCTATAGTTTTGAAATTAACTTAAAAAAAAAAAGGTGGTTGTGATGGTCTGTGATTGCTAAAAAGGTAATTTTTTTTTTCATTTTTATCTATGGAATGATATCTAATATGGTAATATACAGTAATAAAACACTCGTAGTTATATATAATTAATAGGAATTTAGGAAAAGAGCATAATTGAACTTCTAATGTTTGCAGAGTCATTATCAAATTAATATAAATTCCTATGGACCTCATATAAGGTCACAGCAGGGTTGATAAGGCCAGAGAGAGATTCTTCAAGCTTTCAATTTATATACACTTCTGGAGGCCTGGAGGATGCAAAGCTAACTTTTAGTGGTTGCAATGGCCTGCATTACACCAACTCCATTAGATAACAGAGAGTTCTGTGCTACTCATCTTTGAAGTGCTCTGCGTTAGAGGAATAGTGTTTAGGTGATCTACGTATAGCAGCCCCGAGGAACTCTCTGGCACTCCTTTAATAGCATGACTGACTTCGCCATCATTTCACCAATTCTTTAACTCTATCCTTCCATTTTATACACTTAAAGCTCAACAGCTACCTTCTATCAATTTTTTGTTCCATTTAAGAGGCTTCTGAAGTCACCCAGAATGGACGGCAATAAATACCAGCCTAAGTGAGCCTTACTTTTCGTGCATGGTCATCTGGCATTTTGGCTTTCAGATCCATGCGAACCTCTAATTCTTTGACTAAGTAGGACAGAGTGTGGCTTTTTCTGAAGTCAGTTATGGAACAGTCAGGGGTTTGGGCCTCTTCTTCTGTAGAATAATCATCACTGCTGAGTTCGTGGATCCTGGCACAAGAAAAAGGAACAAGATTCATATTTTCAAAGTTTGGGTGACTTCAAGATAAAGACTTAACTTTTCAAGTCCAAGGCTGGTGCTCTCAAAGAACCGCTAGATGACAATCATGCAGAATCAGGTGCTTTGCCAAATCCATCACCACTTGCCTGAGTCCTTTGTTTTCCGGAGGCAGAAAATACGTTGGCAATTCCCCACCAACAGGGACTCTAGGGTAGCTTTCTGTACAATCTGCTCTTTTAGGCCATAGAATATGCTGTTTGTCCTGATAAAGAAACAAAATTTCTCATAAATTTCTTTGGATTCAATATTTCAATATGCTAAATAAACTTTTAAAATGATATACTACAATAATTGAACAAAACTATAATATCTTAAGATTATGGTAGACTCTATAATATTCCTGCTACTGCAGATTATTAATCTAAGTCAGTAATTCTACCTGCTTTACCACAGACTGGTTCAGGGTTGGGCGGGTATAAGCCAGTTGAGCCAGTGAGACACAAGAAGAGGCTTGCTTGGGGCTTTTCGGAAAGAGAAGCAAGTCTTAGGCTCTTACGTTACATATGAACAAAAAATCATGTTGTTCCAGTTGCTGCTGGCTGTCATGACCATGAAAAAAACCAAGCTTTTGGATGAAACCAATACTGTGGATGGCAGAGTGAAGAAAAAAAAAAAAAAAAAGAAAAAGAAGAAATGGGTCACTGATGACATCACTGGGCCACTGAATCAACCAAACCTGAAGTTTATCCTATTTCTGGACTTCCTGTAGTAACAGGCACATTTTCTTTGTATTTAATTTGAGGTGGAGCTTATGACTTGTACCTGAAAGCATACATAAGCCTATAAAACCTGGCATTGAACACTACTTTTCCCTGAACTAAGGTCTTTTCTTTGCCAATGCCAAAGTTTAACAATTGTTTTATGATTTGTAAAATGTTAATTTTCTCTAAAAATAAATAAGATGTACCAGAGGCTTACTAAACTTAAATCTTCAAGCTATCAAACTTTGAGGGATTTATATTAAATATAATTAAATCTAAGTGGCTGTTTAATTCTGTTAAACCCTTGATTAAATTCTGAAAATTTAATGGTGAATAAAAAGCACACAGTCTCTGTCCTCATACCTTGGTATCCGCCTCAGCTAACCTACAATTCTTTCTTAGCTAGTCTAGACAGGCACATGTACTAACTTGTTTATTGTCTGTATCATCTACCAGAATGTAGGCTCCAGAAGAGCAAGGGGGCTTATCTATTATACTGCCAGCATTAGCCTGGCACACAGGTGGGAGTTCAATAAAAGAATGCCGATTAAGTGAAGTATATAAAAACATACGCTTGGGTCAAGTTTAGAAACTTGTTAAGGTTGGTAATAATACTCAGAGGATAAAGCTTTGAACTGAAATCAGGGTGTCTATCTGCTCTACTTGACTGGGAAAAACTCAAGGCAGAAATTGCATCTTACTCATTCACTACCTAGCAGAATAGCTTCCATTTAATAGAAATGTACTACACGTTTGCTGAACTAATCTGAACAGTCATAGAGGCCATATTAATCAGTGAGGTTGAGGGCCACTGCTTTAATGGATCTTGCCAGTTTGAGAAAACTGCTTCGTCATCCTCTATTAACTTACCCTATATGCATCAGAGTCCCTGCCCCAAATCCAGAGAATAGAATGGGCTACGGGAGAAGACTTGACCGAATCATTGATATCACTCTGATTTGATTGAACATCAAAGTTCACAGACATCATACTGGAGGTTGATGAATCCTCACCAAACTAGAAAATGAAACAAAAAGTTCAATCAAATTGAAAGTGGAAAAGGAGTTGTGATTATAATTTAACTCACACCAAAAAAGCGAGTGAATATTCAAAATTAGTAGAAAATCAGAAAGTAGCTCAGTAATAAAGCAATTGGATCTTTTAAGAACTATGCCCCAACGATATTCTTTCATGGATAATACATAGTTAACAACTTTCAATAACTTTGCCATTGGAGTATGAGAAAAATGGCATAGGTCGTTTTCCTGTCCCTTTGCTTCATTTTTATGATTTAGTCTCTTTAGGTTAATAATTAGCTAATTGAGAAATCTGGTTCATTATTCCCCTTTTCTTCCTACACTAAAATGCTCACCACTCTAAAATTGGTGTGCCGTGTGTGGGTAGAGGCGAGGGAACTTAAGAAAGTATTCTTAAGGGTTCTATAACTATCACTTAAGGATTACAGACTGTTGTGCAATCAATTACAAAGAAAAGTTTTGAGGGTGAAAGGGTAACCTAGATGAGAGAACACAAACATATACAGCCTTCCTTCAAAGCAAGGTGGAACAATGTTGGATATACTTACAAAGATGCTTGTGTATTTCTGAAACCTTGCTAGATAATGAGAATGGGACTGGGGATGGGATGGGGTAGGAAAGACAAAAGGAAAAGGAATGAATATGACGAATTTGTAGCTCTAGGTCTTTGTGAACAGGAATGGATTCTTTCACTATATAGTGGTGATACAATTTTATGAATATAGACTATTGGAAGCTACACTCCTTCAAATGATCGGTCTTGAGACCATCAAAAAGTCCAAAAGGTGTATTGGGTTTCAATCTATTTCATTTCTAAACATCCCCCTTCTTCCCTTTAAAATGCTTGGTTTTAAGATAAAGAGCTATAATCCCAGAGGGTGTGAATCTGGTCTTCTTTATTTTTTCCCTTGGAAACCAAACATGAGATATTGCTGGGAGCTGGTTTACAATACTCATAGGAAGCTTTTGGTCCCTATCACTATTTCCCCTTTAAAATGGCTTCTTAATTTTTGTCTCTTATTTTTTCCCAATGCAGTCTGGATTTTTCCAGATTAAAGAGTTCTAAGTTTTTGTGGTTTGTCCTCCTATAGATGCTCTCCTAATCTCTTAGTTATCTTAAGTAGTTATTGCTGGAAATTTCTGTATCTACGATTAGACATGATGAGTTTTCTCTAAGATAGAATAAATGTTTTATTTCTAATACAGGTTGAGTATCAGTTTTCTGAAATGCTTAATCAGGAGTATTTCAGATTTGAGATTTTTTTGGATTTTGCAATATTTTATTACACTTACCTGTTAAGCATCCCAATCAAAAAATGTGAAATCCAAAATGCTCCAATGATCATTTCTTTTGAGCATCATGTCAGTGCTCAAAAAGTTTCAGAGTTTGAATCTTTTTTTTTTATACTCAGAATTCTGGCTGTACTTGCTGTCTGTACCACTTATTCAACATCTATTATATACTATCTGGTATCATTACATGTGTTAGTTCTTCCCAACTAGATAGATTAGGATTGTATATGTGTATGTGTGTGTGTATACACGTGTGTATATACAGCGACAGAAAGTGAGAGAAAGTACACACCTAGCAGTGGGCTTAATAAAGATTTTCTGTTGATAATGAGCATTTTGTTGGTGGTATTGGTTGAGGCAATATAATTGGACTGATTACTTCAGGAAACAAATAGCATGGTTGCTCTCAAATTTTAAATAGGTCTTACTCTAAAAGGGAAAGTGGGGAGATGAAAGCTTTGAGTTCAATAATAATAATAGCCCAATTCTAGCTCCCATGGTAAAAGAGAAAAGAATCAAATGCATGTGCATATAAATATTTAGATGGTACTTTAAGAAATAGAAAGCATCCATGGAGTTATTGAGTACTCCCTATAAAATCTGACTTCGTAAACATAACAACATAACAGATAATCAAAATCTCTCTCTCGCTCTTTATTTATTTATTTATTTATTTATTTATTTATTTATTTATTTATTTATTTTTTGAGACACAGTCTTGCTCTGTTGCCCAGGCTGGAGTGCAATGGCATGATCTGGGTTCACTACAGCTTTGACCTCCAGAGCTCAGATGATTCTCCCGCCTCAGCCTCCCGAGTAGCTGGGACTACAGGTGCATGCCACCATACCTGGCCAATTTATATATGTTTTTGTAGAGATGGGGTTTCACCATGTTACCCAGGCTGGTCTTGAACTCCTGGGCTCGTGATCCTTCTGCCTCTGCCTCCCTAAGTGCTGAGATTACAGGCGTGAGCCACTGTGCCCAGCCTCAAAATCTTAAAGATCTAAATGACAATCACAAATTTTAGGGATCAAATATACAAAGAATCAAGAGGAAAAACAAAAGTTTTAAAAAATCTTTATAAAGCAAACGTTTATAAGAATTAGACTGGACCAAGAAAAAGACCTGAACATAGTCCACATTTTCAAAGATATCTCCACGATGATAGCGTACAGGCTGGTCCCACTGGCAATGTAAACTATGCTGCTGGTTGACCAGTCGGCATATCTGATGATTTCCTGGAATAAGAAAGGAAATTACACAAATGATGAGCAAGGTCAACAATGCCAATGTGATTTTCTTAGACTAAGTCATTTAGTATCAACCCTGTATCCCTCAGAGCCTAGCAGGCTACTTACGTAGGACGTACTTATATAGAGAAATATTCATTAATGGTTAATCAAATAAATCATTCTAAGAAGTCCCAGTTTTTCCACCTACAAAAACAAAGGGACTCCACTAGATGATTACTGAGGTATCTTTCAGCAATTATAGTCTGTGATTGTAAAATCTAGTGATTACATCGTTTTAAGAGACTTTGGCCATCTTTCTGGAGAGAATTTGCTTTACATACTTCATAATTTTGTTTCAAATGCATATATAAGAGCTCTGGTTACATTTCAATATACTGGGCAGTAAGTAATTCCAAAGACTGAGCATACTCTTTACACTCATAATAGCAAAGAAAACTTGTTAAGGGAATTGTAAAATAAACTATAAATGGTCACAGCTAAGTGCCAAAGGTTAAGAGGCTTTCTTGACCAACATACTTATCAAGGGAGAAGGGTATAATTAAGAGATTCTATTAATTTATTCTCTGTTATTGAGTTGTCAGATCTGCTCCCTTGTCATTAGAAACAAAACATTCTAGATATAACCAAATCATTGTTCTCATGCCAACCCAAGTTCCTATAAACCAGTGGTTCTATTTTTATGGATCACAGATGCTTGAGAGATTTTAATAAAAGCTAGATACCCTCTTCCCAGAAAAATAAAATTGGACACATACACAATTCTACATATAATTTTGGAGAGGATTTCAGAACCCCCTGAAACTAATCCATTGACCCAGGTTAAGAATTCCAGTCTAAAATTTTACTTCTAAAACACTGTTTTTAAGAGAGCAAGAAAAAAAGGAGTATGGATGGGTTGTTTGTAGGGTGGGTCTGGCTTGTATTCACTTAGTGTAAGGCCTTGTTACCCATAGTGCAGAGTTTTTAGACCTGCGGCAACAAGCATCACCTGGGAGCTTATTAGGAAGGCAGACTCTCAGGCCTCAATTCAGACCTACTGAATCATAATCTGCATTTCAACAAGATCTCCAGGAGACTGATATGCATATTAGGGTAGGAAAAAAAACTGATGTTGAACACAGAATGCAAATAACTGTTAAGACTTCTAGGATCTACAAGACTTGTTTTTTATTTCAAAATGTAAATTTGAAAAAAGCAAGGTAGACCAAACCAGCTCCCCAGGCCTCCTGGTATACCCACAGTGATGAATCATGCTTTCGAGATGTAGGGAAGTCATAAACACAACTTCACACTGCTTTAAGGCTACAAGAAAGTTATGATAGTAAAGCATGCTAAAAGTGAATTTCCTAACCTGTCTTCAATTACTTGGAGTCACTACTTACCTAATTGTGCCTCTTTTGCCATCTGAGTCTCATGAATGATATTTCTTAAGATTTGCTCCTCCTGAATCAGTTTATGTTTTTCTAGGATTTCCTGCTGTCTCAGGTAGTGGTCATGCTGCTTTTGATACTCTTTTAACTCATTCAGTGTTCGCTGGAGAGATCTTAACATTTTTTAATACCAGGAAAAAGTTAGAGCTATAAAATCATAAATTTTAAACCCACTTAAATGCACAGATTTTTCTGGTTCTCAGCAACAATTACTGTGTGTTTTCCTTTTATTTAACATACAACCCTGTATCACCAGTTCAAGAATACTAGGGCAAAAAGATAAATGTGAAATTCTTCCTTTAAATACAACTTTTTTAAAAAATGGGGTCTTGCTCTGTTGTCAAGGCTGGATGGAGAGGCCTGATTGTAGCTCACTGCAGCCTTGTACTCTTGGGCTCAACTCCTGGGCTCAAGGGGTCCTCTTGCCTCAGTCTCCTGGGGAGTATCTGGGACTACAGGCACACGCCACCATGCCTGGCTAATTTAGTTTTAGAAACTGGGTCTTGCTGTGTTGCCCAGGCTAGATTTGAACTCCTGGCATCAAGTGATTCCTCCCCTCCACCCTGCCTCAGTCTCCAGAATAACTGGGATTACAGGCATCAGCCATGACACCTGGCAATACAACTATCATGACATCAAATGGTATATTGCATTTTTCAGGTGCCATAAAAAAATACATGACGATATACAAGTTTATGTATTTAACAACTCTATTTCTCTCTACAAAATTTGCATTAGTTCCATCAACATTCAAAGTCTTTCTAGAATCCTTTCCTCCTTTTCACTTTTTCCCTAGATTCTGCTTAAAGACAAAGTTAAGAGTTAGGGGCCACAGTACTTTGCTTTCATACTCTAGCTTATTGGTTACAGGCCAGGAAAAACTACAGAAACTATGCTTCGAAAGGAATATGCTTCACCACCTGATTTCAGTAAATCAGCTGCCTGATTACATTTAATCAGAAAACCCATACTGCCTATTACACACTGTAACATACAGAGATTTTAGGAACTATACAGATTGTGTAAAGATAGAGCCAGCTCAATTATTAAGAGCATGATACTGGAAAAAGCTCAGCCAGGTATAACAGAAACCAGTTATGAATAAGCAAGCTGGCATCCTTTTTACTTCCTACCACATTATGCCTTAAAAAGATTGGAAAAGAAGCAAATACAAAAGTTTAATGAGTTCTAAATCTCTGTTTAATTCTCTACTAACCAAAGTAAACTCAAATATTACAGCTAATTCTGAGATATGAAAAATTCACTTCTGAGTTAACATGAAGTTTCTTAACTAGCCCTACTGATTGAAGGAAATGTTTTTTAACTTATTATACCTCAAGGATCAAATACAATAGAATTCCATTACTGTACAACCTAACACACAATCATGATTAAAACGTGGGCCAAATAATGTCTCTCAATGCCATTTAACTACCTTAACAATAACTCAACCCTAGGAGCCACCACCTCTCTCCAAGAGGAGAAATATCAACTATTGCACATGTAAGTGATTTTACTGAAACTTAGTATATTCTATGCAAATAAAAATGCAGTCAACAAAGTAAGTAGTCAACTAAGTATCCCAGTCTCCCCACCCCAACTGACTTCATAAAAGTAATCAATGGTCAAAATTGTAAACATTTAAGTGACAGCTTTTACTACAAATATTCTCTAGTTGCAGGAATCCATACAATTAAAGATATTCCTCTACACAACCACTGAATTGTGCTAAACCACCAGGACTTACAGAAAAAGGATAGGACTTGCAGTAGTGAAGAGGTTTCTTTCTTAATTCCAGTTACCAAATTAACACTGATATCCCCTACACAGATTTAACCTAAGGTTCGATAGTGCTAATGCTTGAGTGAAATTTTTCCTCTCAATTACCTATGCTGAGCCTCCAATTTCTGCTCCAGTTTTTGCTGACATAGGACAGCATGCTTCCTCTTTATAGCTTGCTCAAACCCAGGTCTGGCCTGCAAAGCGTGGTCATAACAGAGCACTGAGTGGTTATATTCCCCAAGCATCTGAAGAGACAAAAACAAACATACACACACACACACACACACACACACACACACACACACACACACACACACGGAAAAAAAAATGTTAGCCACGGCCTGGTTGCATCTGTCCAAATCCTCTAATGATTTATGAGATCACACCTACCTCTTACTCTACAGTGACCATTATTTTGATCAGTGACCAGATCCCTACAATATTAAGGCATACTATAGGATGGTTTAGTTGGCAGGTATTGCTAACCTTAAAAGGTGTACCCTGTAGAAGTTTAAAATTCCAATTTAATTATTATTATTGTTTTTTTGGCAAGAGGCTAGAATAATTACATTACTGTGTTGAGGATTTTTCTTCCTCCTAATTTCATTTCCATCGTTCAGACCAAAAAAGGAATGGAAAAAAGTAACATTCTACTGAGGGGGGAGAAAAAAAAAAAAAAAAGAAAGTGGCAACTAGCATGACTCATGAAACAAAGAGTAGTACTTACTGCATATATATTCCCCAAAGTGTAATAGCTGGTGAAGAAGTCACTGTCATCCAGAGCTGCATGGACCACGACAGCAGCATCAGCAGAGAAGTGTGCTCTGTGTAGAACGTTTGCCAGGTTGACCAGGGCAATGTCTTTATTGTGCCTAAGGAAAGCAGCACATATTCCATGATTATGTAGAACCACTTGACAAGGAAAAATGACATTCAAAGTTACTTGTGCTTAGGAAACTAAGATATAGGTGGAGAAAATAAGATAATCATAGTGTTTCATTTTTAAATTATTGATGGCTCTTAATCTGATAGCTACAAATTTTGTCACTAAAATAAGGTATTGCAGACACTGTATGATTTTACAATTTATTTAGGGCTTATATTTGCTTTAAGAAAAGTTAAACTTAGTTTATGATAATTCCATTCAAGTATCATGTGAATCATAGGGCATCTACATATTTTTTCCTTAATGGAAATGGAAAGTATATTACACAATTATCACTTTGAACTTTTTGAGATCTGTGATTTTTTTTTTTTTTTTGTGGTGGGACTTATTTCTTTGAACAGGGATGGAGAAAAGTATATAATGCAATGTTGCTTCTTACTGCTTTCTTATGTATTGTTTCTTTAACAGTCCTGAGGAATGTGGAAAATCAGGTCCAGAAGAGGAGGAATCTTACCTGGAAGAGAAGTGAAGTGCTCGCATGGCACATTCTACTACCTGATATGGCTCATTCTTAATTCTCCAGTAAAATGAAGCCATGTTATACAGTACCCACGAGGAAGTGTTCTAGAGATTAAAAAAGTAAAATTACAAACACGACTCAAGACAGTTTAACTTAGAATACTCAAAAGGAGCACCTTTAATATTCTGGCTCTTCTGAAATTCAAGATGAAGAAGAGCCAGACTGAATGATAAGCAATGATAAAGAACAGGACACAGTGCAAAGAAACTATACCTGTCAGAAGAGCATTCTAATCATCAGCTGAGCACGTGCATTAGGGTGTGATCTTCATATAGAGACCATCCAACTCCAGCTTATTCCAAGAGGGAAATAAGAAAAATCCCACCAACTGATCACAACTTGTTGAGCTCTATTTCAGGACTTCAGAAGTTAAGTCAGAAGACCTCATCTACTTAGAAATAGCTCTAACATGAAATTCCTGAAATTAACATTTTAGAATTTTTTCTATTTATGTAATATCTGAGTGAAGGCACAAACCAACAGGCTTACTCTAAACATAAAGACAGAAAAAAAAAAAGGAAAAAGGGCCAAAAACATGAACAAACAGCTAAGAAGTATGTAAAATGTGTAACTTCACAAAGAAATAGAAACTTAAAAGATACAAGTTTTCCTTTTACAAAGTGGCAAAGACTAAAAAGAAAGCCAATACTTACTGAATATTATTAACTTTAGATATTAAACTATAGAAATGCTAAGTTACTATAGCATTTCTGGGGGACAATTTGACATGTATGTAAAAAGCTTTAAAAATGTAATGTATATTACATTATCATACATATTAATGTATATTACATTTACCCTTTGACTCCCACAATTCTACTATTAAAAATGTATCCTATGGGGAATAATTACGTTTTAACTATAAAGCTGTGTAAAAATCAAACTCCAAAAGAATATATTACAAACCAGTTTTGAAATTATTAATTTTACTTTCTTTTATAGATTTTCAGTGACTCTTTCACAAGGACCAATTATTTTTAAAAGAGTTATTTTAATGTAGTTAAAAATAGTTTGAATTTAGTTAAACGTAGCTTTTTAAGACTACAATAAGTACAATCCTGCATTATTCATCCTTAAGTATTCTATCTTCAAGAAAAGTATGTGATTTTTGAGTGATGCAATTACAGATTTTAACACTATGAGCAGATCAACTATGAACTTCTACTTGAAGCTGGTTAAAGGACAGTACATTCTTCACAACTGACTTGTGGCCGAGGTTTCAGTTTTCTTTTTGATGGCCTTTTGAGAAAGTTGTTTTTCAAATCAACAAATGCTTTCATTTTGATTTTCATCTTTTATTTTCACATTATAATGTAAACGGGGACAAAAAGTTCAATTAAAAGTTCTACATGAGGCCGGGCGCGGTGGCTCATGCCTGTAATCCCAGCACTTTGGGAGGCCTAGGCGGGTGGATCACGAGGTCAGGAGATCGAGACCATCCTGGCTAACATGGTGAAACCCCATCACCACTAAAAAGACAAAAAATTTGCCGGGCGTGGTGGCGGGCGCCTGTAGTCCCAGCTACTCGGGAGGCTGAGGCAGGAGAATAGCGTGAACCCAGGAGACGGAGCTTGCAGTGAGCTGAGATTGCGCCACTGCACTCCAGCCTGGGCGACAGAGTGAGACTCCATCTCAAAAAAAAAAAAAAAAAAAGTTCTACATGAACTACTGAAGAGATCATGATAAGTTAAATATATATCATAGCATACTGGAGGTAAGATAAAAATATATATTTAAAGAAATATCTTTGTGTAGTTCTCATAAAATCTCCCCCAAATCTATAAATGTTCTAATGTTACTGTGAACTACTCCCTCCTTTCTTTGACCACTTTCTGCCATTGACTCTTAGGACACCACATTCTGCAGGATACCCTTTCTGGTCTTTTTTGCTGGCTTTCCCCCTCTGCTTGATAACTACATGTGGGAGGCACCCAGGAGTCAGACTGGCTTCTTCTCAAACTTCACTCTTCCCCAGATGACTTCATCCAGTTCCATGGCTTCAGATATTCATTATTTAATAATTAATCTCTATGTGCCCAACTCTAACTTTCCCTGAAATTCCAAACTCATATAGGTATTTCGAATTTAACATGGCCCAAATAGAACTCTTATTTTCTCTTCTCCCACCCCAACCCTCTCTTCCTTCTAGTTGTTCAAGTCAAAAATTTAAGTTTTCCTTGATTCCTCTTTTGCCTTCAATCCCCATATCTAACTCATCTGCTTCTAAACTCCTAAATATCTCCTGAATAGTTCAAGTCCTCTCATTTCCACTACTAACAATTGCTAGTCCAAACCACCTTCATCTCTCTCTTGAACTACTGCAACAGTTTTCTAACAGGTCTATTTCCAGTTGTGGCCCCTTCAATAACTTCTTCATATAGTAATCAAAGTGATCTTTTCAACTATTAATTGCAATACATTGCTTCTCTGCTCCAACTTCTCAGCACACTTGGAGTAAAATCCAAAATCCTTACCCTGGATTTCAGACCCTTACATAATCTGGCACTGGCCTACTTCTCTGGCTTCATTCCTTATCATCCTTCCTCTTGCTCACCAGGCTCCAGCAATATTGGCCTGAATTTGGCTGCATGCCACCTGTTACGGACTGAAAGTCTATGTCTCCTCAAAGTTCATATGTTCAAGTGTTATCAGGCCTGTGAGGAGTGGATAAAGGCTAAATGAAGTCATAAGGATTGGGGCCCAAATTTGATTTCTTCCTATAAGTGTCCTTATAAGAAATGGAAGAGACAGATCTCTCTCTGTCTTCAAGCATGCACACAGATGAGGCCATGTGAGGACACGGAGAGAAGGCAGCCATATGCAAGGCAGGAAGAGAGCCCTCACCAGGAACCAAATCACTGGGACCTTGATCTTAGACTTCCCAGCCTCCAGACTATGAGAAATAAATTTAAGCCACCTAGTATGTGGTAAGAACAAATATATTTGGTCTTTGTCCCTAGTTCCTGACACACAAACCTAAAACTTGAAGAATCACAGGAGTAATGTGTGTCTTTCATATGCTAATGGGATGACTGGAGGCAGGTGGCCCCCAGATAGCTTCAGGACAGATGCTGGTCCCAGAAAAGCCAAGGCATGATCAGAGGGTTAGATCTTTCAGAATCCCATCCTCCCCCTGTCCTTCGGGGAGGGGAGAGAGAGTAGAGATTGAGTTCATCACTCATGGCCAATACTTTAGTCAATAATGCTTACATAGTGAAACCTCCGTAGAAACCCTTAAACAACAGAGTTTTGAGAGCTTCTGGGTTGGTGAACACATTGAGATTCTAGGAGGGTGGTGTTCTGGAGAGGACATGGAAGCTCTGTGCACCCCTTCCCCCTATTCCCTGGCTTATGCCTTTGGCTGTTCCTGAATTGCATCCTTTACAATAAACCAATAATAGTAGGTAAAGTGCTTTCCT